>NC_000009.12:128848187-129162005 GCF_000001405.40 Homo sapiens
GCACACCTGTAGTCCCAGCTACTGGGGAAGCTAAAGTGGGAGAATCACTTGATCCTGGAGAGGTCAAGGCTACAGTGAGCCATGATCCCACCACTGCACTCCAGCCTGGGCGACAGAGGGAGATATGTCTCAAAAAAAAAAAAAAAAAAAAAAGTAAATGCCTGAAAAAGAAGAAAAAAATTGAAGAAATCACACTGCACAATTTGGAAGCTTAATGCAAACATACAGGAACCAAGAAAGTGTGATACTGCTTAAAGATAGATATATAAGTCAATTGAATAGAACTGACAGTCCAGAAATAAATGGTCACAATTGCTATTTGATAAGATGCTAAGAAACTCAAATGGGGGCCAGGCATGGTGGCTCACGCCTGTAATCCCAGCACTGTGGGAGGCTGAGGCGAGTGGATCACTTCAGGTCAGAAGTTTGTGACCAGCCTGGCCAACATGCTAAAACCTCGTCTCTACTAAAAATACAAAAATTAGCCAGGCATGGTGGTGTGCACCTGTAATCCCAGTTACTGGGAGGCTGAGGCAGAAGAATCACTTGAACTTAGGAGGTGGAGGATGCAGTGAGCCGAGATCACGCCACTCACTGCACTCCAGCCTGGGTGACAGAGTGAGACTCTGTCTCAAAAAAAAAAAAAAAAAAAAAATTGGGAGGCTGGGTGTGGCTCATGCCTGTAACACGAACACTTTGGGAGGCCAAGGCGGGAGGATCATTTGAGGTCAGGAGTTTGAGACCAGCGAAACCCCATCTCTAATAAAAATACAAAAAATTAGCTGGGTGTGGTGGCACATGACTGTAGTCCCAGCTACTTGTGAGGCTGAGGCAGGAGAACTGCTTGAACCTGGGAGGCAAAGGTTGCAGTGAGCCAAGATCGTGCCACTGTACTCCAGCCTAAGCGACAAAATGAGACTGTCTCAAAAAAAAAGGTGGGGAGGCCAGGCATGGTGGCTCATGCCTGTAATTCCAGCAATTTGGGAGGCTGAGGTGGACGGATCACCTGAGGTCAGGAGTTCGATACCAGCCTGGTCAACATGGTGAAACCCCATTTCTACGAAAAATACAAAATTAGCAGGGCATGGTGGCACATGCCTGTAGTCCCAGCTACCCAGGAGGCTGAGGCAGGAGAATCGCTGGAACCCAGGAGGCGGAGGTTGCAGTGAGCCGAGATCACACCACTGCACTCCAGGCTGGGTGACAGAGCAAGTCACCGGCTCAAAAAAAAAGCGGGGGTGGGGGGTGGGAAATAATAATCTTTTCAACAAATGAACAAATGGTGCTGAGACAACTAAATATCCACATGTAAATGAATGAATTTGGGGCCAGGCGTGGCAGCTTATGCCTGTAATCCCAGCACTTTGGGAGGCCGAGGCAGGCTGATCATGAGGTTAGGAGCTCAAGACCAGCCTGGCCAAGATGGTGAAACCAAGATGGTGTACTAAAAATACAAAAAATTAGCCAGGCATGGTGGTTGGCACCTGTAATCCCAGCTACTCAGGAGGCTGAGGCAGAGAATTGCTTCAACTTGGGAGATGGAGGTTGCAGTGAGCCGAGATCACGCCACTGCACTCCAGCCTGGGAGACAAAGTGAGACTCTGTCTCAAAAAAAAAAAAAAAGAAAAGAAAAGAAAAGAATGAATTTGGACCTCTATCTCACAGAATACACACATATAAATTTTTTATTTTCTTCTTTTTTTTTTTTTTTTTTTGAGATAGGGTCTCACGTTGTTACCCAGGCTGGAGTGCAGTGGTGCCTTCTCAGCTCACTGCAGCCTCGACTTCCTGGGTTCAAGTGATTCTCCTGCCTCAGCCTCCTGAGTAGCTGGGATTATACGTGTGTGCCACCATGCCTGGCTAATTTTTGTATTTTAATTAGAGATGGGGTTTTGCTATACTGGCCAGGCTGGTCTTGAACTCCTGGCCTGAAGTTGTTCTGCTCATGACGGCCTCCCACAGTGTTAGGATTGCAGGCATGAGCCACCATGCCTGGCCAGCCCAGGCTGTTCTTGAACCCCTGACTTCAAGCGATCCTCCTTCTTCAGTGTAGGGAAAAGAAAGAGAGATCAGACTGTTACTGTGTCTATGTAGAAATGGAAGACATAAGAAATTCCATTTTGACCTGTACCTTGAACAATTGCTTTGCTGAGATGTTGTTAATTTGTAACTTTGCCCCAGCCACTTTGCCCTAACTTTGAGCTCACAAAAACATGTGTTGTAGGGAACCAGGGTTTAAGGGATCTAGGGCTGTGCAGGATATGCCTTGTTAACAAAATGTTTACAAGCAGTATGCTTGGTAAAAGTCATCGCCATTCTCTAGTCTCAATAAACCAGGGGCACAATGCACTGCAGAAAGCCACAGGGACCTCTGCCTTGGAAAGCCGCGTATTGTCCGAGGTTTCTCCCCATGTGATAGTCTGAAATATGGCCTCGTGGGATGAGAAAGACCTGACCGTCCCCCAGCCCAACACCTGTAAAGGGTCTGTGCTGAGGTGGATTAGTAAAAGAGGAAAGCCTCATGAAGTTGAGATAGAGGAAGGCCACTGTCTCCTGCCTGCCCCTGGGAACTGAATGTCTCAGTATAAAACCTGATTATACATTTGTTCAATTCTGAGATAGGAGAAAAACCACCCTATGGCGGGAGGCGAGACACATTGGCAGCAATGCTGCCTGCTATTCTTTACTCCACTGAGATGTTTGGGTGGAGAGAAACATAAATCCGGCCTACATGCACATGCAGGCATAGTACCTCCCCTTGAACTTAATTATGACAGATTCTTTTGCTCATGTTTTTTGCTGAACTTCTCCTTATTATCACCCTGCTCTCCTACTGCATTCCTCTTGCTGAGATAATAAAAATAATAATCAATAAAAAGTGAGGAAACTCAGAGACCGGTACTGGTGCAGGTCCTTGATATGCTGCATGCCGGTCTCCTGGGCCCACTGTTGTTTCTCTACACTTTGTCTCTGTGTCTTATTTCTTTTCTCAGTCTCTCATCCCACCTGACGAGATATCCCACAGGTATGGAGGGGCAGGCCACCCCTTCATCTGACGCCCAATATGGGGCCTTTCTCCAGGGTGAAGTTATGCTGAGAACGTGAGTATTGAGGACAGCTGATGAGAGATTCCCGAGTACGTCCACGGTCAGCCTTGCAGTATGCTTGTGCGCTCGGAGGAATCCAGGGTAACAATGGGGCAAACTGAAAGTAAATATGCCTCTTATCTCAGCTTCATTAAAATTCTCTTAAGAAGAGGGGGAGTTAAAGCTTCTACAGAAAATCTAATTACGCTATTTCAAACAATAGAACAATTCTGCCCATGGTTTCCAGAACAAGGAACTTTAGATTTAAAAGATTGGGAAAAAATTGGCAAGGAATTAAAACAAGCAAGTAGGGAAGGTAAAATCATCCCACTTACAGTATGGAATGATTGGGCCATTATTAAAGCAACTTTAGAACCATTTCAAATAGAAGAAGATAGCATTTCAGTTTCTGATGCCCCTGAAAGCTGTGTGATAGATTGTGAAGAAGAGGCAGAGACAGAGTTCAAGAAAGGAACGGAAAGTTCACATTGTAAATATGTAGCAGAGCCGGTAATGGCTCAGTCAACGCAAAGTGTTGACTACAATCAATTACAGGAGGTAATATATCCTGAAACATTAAAATTAAAAGGAAAAAGTCCAGAATCATTGGGGCCATTGGGGCTACAACCACAATGGCCACCTCCTCCTCAGCCGAGTGAGTGCTGGGGGAGGCAGCCTGAAACTAGGCACACTGCGACTTGGCTCGTGGCACTCATTATTGCCCAACCTACAGTTCACTACAGTGAAGGAGCAATTCAGACTCGCCCTGCAGTGTCCTGTATGGGTCAAACAGTGGCCACTCTCTAAGGAAAAGTTGGGGGCGCTACATAAAATAGTTAAAAAACTATTTAAAAAAGGACATGTTTCACCCACTTTCTCTCTTTAGAATTCTCCTGTGTTTGTAATTCAGAAAAAATCAGGCAGATGGCGCATGCTGACTGACTTAAGAGCTGTTAATGCCATAATACAACCCATGGGTGCTCTCCAACCCGGGATGCCCTCTCTGGCCATGATCCCCAAAGACTGGCCTTTAATTATAATTGATCTGAAGGACTGCTTTTTTACCATTCCTCTGGCAAAACAGGATTTTGAAAAATTTGCTTTTACTATACCAGCCGTAAATAATAAAGAACCAGCCAGGTTTTAGTGGAAAGTGTTGCCTCAGTCCAACTATTTGTCAGACTTTTGTAGCTCAAGTTCTTCAACCAGTTAGAGACAAGTTTTCAGATTGTTATGTCATTCATTATGTTGATGATATTTTGTGTGCTGCAGAAACAAGAGACAAATTAATTGACTGTTACACATTTCTGCAGACAGATGTTGCAAACGCAGGACTGACAATAGCATCTGATAAGATTCAGACCTCTACTCCTTTCCATTATTTGGGAATGCAGGTAGAGGAAAGGAAAATTAAACCACAAAAAATAAAAATAAGAAAAGACACATTAAAAAACATTAAATGACTTTCAAAAATTGCTAAGACATATTAATTGGATTCGGCCAACTCTAGGCATCCCTACTTATGCCATGTCAAATTTGTTTTCTATCTTGAGAGGGGATCCAGACTTAAACAGTAAAAAACCATTAACTCCAGAAGCAACTAAAGAAATTGAATTAGTTGAAGAAAAAATTCGGTCAGCACAAGTAAATAGAATAGATCATTTAGCCCCACTCCAACTTTTGATTTTTGCTACTGCACATTCTCCAACAGGCATTATTGTTCAAAATACTGATCTTGCAGAGTGGTCATTCCTTCCTCACAGTACAACTAAGACTTTTACATTGTACTTAGATCAAATGGCTACATTAATTGGTCAGGCAAGACTACATATAGTAAAATTGTGTGGAAGTGACCCAGATAAAATCATTGTTCCTTTAAACAAGGAACAGGTTAGACAAGCTTTTATCAATTCTGCTGCATGCCAGATTGGTCTTGCTGATTTTGTGGGAATTATTGACAATCATTACCCAAAAACAAAAATCTTCCAGTTCTTAAAATTGATTACTTGGATTTTACCTAAAATTACCAGATATAAACCTTTAGAAAATGCTCTGATGGCGTTTACTGATTGTTCCAGCAATGGAAAAGTGGCTTAAACTGGGCCAAAAGAACAAGTCATTGAAACTCAATATCACTCAGCTCAAAGAGCAGAGTTGGTTGCTGTCATTTCAGTGTTACAAGGTTTTAATCAGCCTATTAACATTGTTTCAGATTCTGCATATGTAGTACAGGCTACAAAGGATGTTGAGACAGCCCTAATCAAATATAGTATGGATGATCAGTTAAATCAGCTGTTTAATTCGTTACAACAAACTGTAAGAAAAAGAAATTTCCCATTTTATATTACTCATATTCGAACACATACTAATTTACCAGGGCCTTTAACTAAGGCAAATGAACAAGCTGACTTGCTAGTATCATCTGCATTCATAAAAGCATAAAAACTTCGTGCCTTGACTCATGTAAATGCATCAGGACTAAAAAATAAATTTGATATCATATGAAAACAGGCAAAAAATGTTGTACAACATTGTACTCAGTGTCAAGTCCTACATGTGCCCACTCAGGAGGCAGGAGTTAATCCCAGAGGTTTATGTCCCAATGCATTATGGCAAATGGATGTCACACATGTACCTTCATTTGGAAAATTGTCATTTGTCCATGTGACAGTTGATACTTATTCACATTTCATATGGGCAACCTGCCAGACAGGAGAAAATACTTCCCATGTTAAAAGACATTTATTATCTTGTTTTGCTGTCATGGGAGTTCCATAAAAAATTAAAACAGATAATGGGCCAGGATACTGTAGTAAAGCATTTCAAAAATTCTTAAATCAGTGGAAAATTACACACACAACAGAAATCCCTTATAATTCCCAAGGACAGGCCATAATTGAAAGAAGTAATAGAACACTCAAAGCTCAATTGGTTAAACAAAAAAAGGAAAAGGACAGTAAGGAATATAACACTCCCCAGATGCAACTTAATCTAGCACTCTATACTTTAAATTTTTTTAACATTTATAGAAATCAGACCGCTACTTCTGCAGAACAACATTTTACTGGTAAAAAGAACAGCCCACATGAGGAAAAACTGATTTGGTAAAAAGACAACAAAAATAAAACATAAAAAATAGAGAAGGTGATAACGTGGGGGAGAGGTTTTGCTCGTGTTTCACCAGGAGAAAATCAGCTTCCAGTTTGGGTACCTACAACTTACAGAAAAAGTTGCCATCCACCAAAAAAGCGAAGCCGCCGACCTGGGCCCAGCTAAAGAAGCTGACACAGTTAGCTGAAAAAAGCCTAAAGTACACAAGGGTAACACAAACTCCAGAGAATATGCTGCTTGCAGCTTTAATGATTGTATCAATGGTGGTAAGTCTCACTATGTCTGCAGGAGCAGCTGCAGCTAATTATACTTACTGGGCCTATGTGCCTTTCCCGCCCTTAATTCAGGCAGTCACTTGGATGGATAATATTCTATTGAAGTATGTGTTAATATTAGTGCATGGGTACCAGGACCCACAGATGACCGCGGCCCTGCCCAACCTGAAGAAGAAGGAATGATGATAAACATTTCCACTGGGTATCATTATCCTCCTATTTGCCTGGGGAAAGCACCAGGATGCTTAATGCCTACAACCCAAAATTGGTTGGTAGAAGTATCTACTGTCAGTGCCACCAATAAATTTACTTATCATATGGTAAGTGGAATGTCACTTGGGTCACAAATGAATAATTTACAGGACTCTTCTTATCAAAGATCATTAAAATTTAGGCCTAAGGGGACCTTGCCTCAAGGAAATTCCCAAAGAATCAAAAGACCCAGAAGTCTTAGTTTGGGAAAAATATGTGGCTGATACTGTGGTGGTATTACAAAACAATAAATTTGGAACTATTATAGACTGGGCCCCTCAAAACCAATTATATTATGGTTGTATGGGCCAGACTCACTCATGTTCACAGACCCCATCTGTCTGGCCCACTAATCCGGCCTATGATAGTGATTTAACTGAAAGGCTAGACCAGGTTTATAGAAGGCTAGAATCACCCTATCCATGGAAATGGGGTGAAAAGGGGATTTCATCACCTCAACCAAAGTTAGTTAGTCCTGTTACTGCTCCTGAACATCCAGCATTATGAAAGCTTACTGTGGCCTCGCACCACATTAGAATTTGGTCTGGAAATCAAGTTATCGGAACAAGAAATCATAAGCCACATTATACTATTAACCTAAATTCCAATCCGACAATTCCTTTGCAAAGTTGTGTAAAACCCTCTTATATGCTAGTTGTAGGAAACATAGTTATTAAACCAGATTCCCAAACTATAACCTGTGAAAATTGTAGATTGTTTACTTGCATTGATTCAACTTTTGATTGGCAGCACCATATTCTGCCAGTGAGGGCAAGAGAGGGTGTGTGGATCCCTGTGTCCATGGACCGACCGTGGGAGGCTTCCCCATCCATCCATATTTTAACAGAAGTATTAAAAGGAGTTCTAACTAGATCCAAAAGATTCATTTTTTACTTTAATTGCAGTGATTATGGGTCTTATTGCAGTCACAGCTACTGCTGCGGCTGCTGGAATTGCTTTACACTCCTCTGTTCAAACTACAAAATATATAAATAATTGGCAAAAGAACTCCTCAAAATTGTGGAATTCTCAGACTCAAATAGACCAAAAATTGGCAAACCAAATTAATGATCGTAGACAAACTGTCATTTGAATGAGAGATAGGCTCATGAGCTTAGAATATCTTTTTCAGTTACAGTGTGACTGGAATATGTCAGATTTTTGTATTACACCTCGAGCCTATAATGAATCTGAACATCACTGGGACATGGTTAGACGCCATCTACAAGGAAGAGAAGATAACCTTACTTTAGATATTTTAAAATTAAAATAACAAATTTTTGAGGCATCAAAAGCCCAGTTCAATCTGGTGCCAGAAACTGAGGCAATGGTGAAAGCTGCTGATGGCCTCACAAATCTTAACCCCATCACTTGGGTTAAAACCACTGGAAGTTCCACTATTGCAAATTTTGTATTAATCCTTGTATGTCTGTTCTCTGTTGCTGGTCTACAGGTGTATCCAGCAGCTCCAGAGAGACAGCAACCAGCGAAAACAGGCCATAATGACTATGGCGGTTTTGTCAAAAAGAAAAGGGGGATATGTACGGCAAAGAAAGAGAGATCAGACTGTTACTGTGTCTATGTAGAAAGGGAAGACATAAGAAATTCCATTTTGACCTGTACCTTGAACAATTGCTTTGCTGAGATGTTGTTAATTTGTAACTTTGCCCCAGCCACTTTGCCCCAACTTTGAGCTCACAAAAACATGTGTTGTCTGGAATCAAGGTTTAAGGGATCTAGGGCTGTGCAGGATATGCCTTGTTAACAAAATGTTTACAAGCAGTATGCTTGGTAAAAGTCATCGCCATTCTCTAATCTCAATAAACCAGGGGCACAACGCACTGCGGAAAGCCGCACGGACCTCTGCCTTGGAAAGCCACGTATTGTCCAAGGTTTCTCCCCATGTGATAATCTGAAATATGGCCTTGTGGGATGAGAAAGACCTGACTGTCCCCCAGCCCAACACCCGTAAAGGGTCTGTGCTGAGGTAGATTAGTAAAAGAGGAAAGCCTCTTGAAGTTGAAATAGAGGAAGGCCACTGTCTCCTGCCTGCCCCTGGGAACTGAATGTCTCGGTATAAAACCTGATTATACATTTGTTCAATTCTGAGATAGGAGAAAAACCGCCCTATGGCGGGAGGCGAGACATGTTGGCAGCAATGCTGCCTTGTTATTCTTTACTCCACTGAGATGTTTGGGCGGGGAGAAACATAAATCCGGCCTACGTGCACATGCAGGCATAGTACCTCCCCTTGAACTTAATTATGACATAGATTCTTTTGCTCACATGTTTTTTTGCTGACCTTCTCCTTATTATCACCCTGCTCTCCTACTGCATTCCTCTTGCTGAGATAATAAAAATAATAATCAATAAAAAGTGAGGAAACTCAGAAACCGATGCTGGTGCAGGTCCTTGATATGCTGCTTGCCAGTCTCCTGGGCCCACTGTTGTCTCTATACTTCATCTCTGTGTCTTACTTCTTTTCTCAGTCTCTCGTCCCACCTGATGAGATACCCACAGGTGTGGAGGGACAGGCCACCGCTTCACTCAGCTTCCCAAAGTGCTGAAATTACATGCGTGAGCCATGTGCCCTGCCCCATACACAAAAATTAATTCAAAGTGAATCACATAACTAAATGTATGGGCTGGGGACGGTGTCTCACGCCTGTAATCCCAGCACTTTGGGAGGCCAGGGCAGGCGGATCATAAGGTCAGGAGATCAAGACCATCCTGGCTAACACAGTGAAACCCCGTCTCTACTAAAAATACAAAAAATTAGCTGGGCGTGGTGGTGGGCACCTGCAGTCCCAGCTGCTCTGGAGGCTGAGGCAGGAGAATGGCGTGAACCCGGGAGGCGGAGCTTGCAGTGAGCAGAGATCACGCCACTGCACTCCAGCCTGGGCGACACAGCGAGACTCCGTCTCAAAACAAACAAACAAACAAAAAACAAAACTAAATGTATGAACTAAAACAAGAAAACTAGAAGAAAACATAGGAATAAATCTCTGTGACCTTGGGGTTCTAGACATAACATCCAAAGCATACACAACAAAAGAAAAAATAAACTGGACCTCATCAAAATTAAGAACTTTTGTGCTTCAAGGATACCCATTAAGAAAATGAAAAGACAGCCCATGGAATGGAAGGAAATATCTGCAAATCATAAATCTGAATGTTTCCAAAAAAGATACACAAACAGCCAAGGCTGGGCACGGTGGCTCACGTCTGTAATCCCAGCACTTTGGGAGGCTGAGGTGGGTGGGTCACCTGAGGTCAGGAGTTTGAGACCAGCCTGGCCAACACGACAAAACCCCATCTCTACCAAAAATACAAAAATTAGCTGGGCGAAGTCACATGCACCTGTAGTCCCAGCTACTTAGGAGGCTGAGGTACGAGAATCGCTTGAGCTCAGGAGGCAGAGGTTGCAATGAGCCAAAATTGCTCCACTGCACTCCAGCCTGGGCAACAGAGTGAGACCATGTATAAAAAAAAAAAAAAAAAAAAGCCCGGGCATGGTGGCTCATACCTGTAATCACAGCACTTTGGGAGGCCAAGGCGGGCAGATCACCTAAGGTCAGGAGTCTGAGACCAGCCTGACCAATATGATGAAACCCCATCTCTACTAAAACTACAAAAATTAGCCAGGCGTGATGGCATGCACCTGTAATCCCAGCTACTTGGAAGGCTGAGACTGGAGAATCACTTGAATCCGAGAGTCGGAGGTTGCAGTGAGCCACTGCACCATTGCACTCCAGCCTGGGCAACAAAAGTGAAATTCCATCTCAAAAAACAAAAAAAGAAAAAGAATGTTTTAGGCCAGGCCCGGTGGCTCACGCTTATAATTCCAGCACTTCGGGAGGCTGAGGTGGGCAGATCACTTGAGGTCAGGAGTTTGAGACCAGACTGGCCAACACGGTGAAATCCTGTCTGTACTAACAACACAAAAATTAGCTGGACATGGTGGCTCATACCTGTAATCCCAGCTACTCGGGAGGCTGAGGCAAGGGAATTGCTTGGAGGCTAAAGTGAGCTGAGATTGTGCGTTGCACTCCAGCCTGGGTGACAGAACAAGACTCCATCTCAAAAAAAAAAAAAAAGCAAAGAAAAGAAAAGAAAGAAAAAGAGTATTTTGGAGGAATGCTCTGGCATACTTAAAAATAGTTACCCTTGGCCAGGCACGGTGACTCACGCCTGTAATCCCAGCATTTTGGGAGGCCAAGGCAGGCGGATCACGAGGTCAGGAGATCGAGACCATCCTGGCTAACACGGCGAAACCCTGTCTCTACTAAAAATACAGAAATTAGCCAGGTGTGGTGGTGGGCACCTGTAGTCCCAGCTACTCGGGAGGCTGAGGCAGGAGAATGTCGTGAACCCAGGAGGCTGAACCTGCAGTGAGCTGAGATCGCGCCACTGCACTCCAGCCTGGGCAACAGAGGGAGACTCCGTCTCAACAACAAAAAAAAAAGTTACTCTCAGCTGGGTGCAGTGGCTCCTGCCTGTAATCCCAGCACTTTGGGAGGCTGAGGTGGGTGGATCACCTGAGGTCAGGAGTTTGAGACCAGCCTGGTCAACATGGTGAAACCCCATCTCTACTAAAAATACAAAAATTAGCTGGGTGTGGTGGCGCATGCCTGTAATCTCCCAGCTACTCAGGAGGCTGAGACAGGAGAATTGCTTGAACCCAGGAGGTGGAGGTTGCAGTGAGCCGAGATCGTGCTGGTGAGCCACCTTGCCCAGCCATTTTTTTTTTTTTTTGAGACAGAATCTCGCTCTGTTGCCCAGGCTGGAGCGCAGTGGCGCGATCTCGGCTCACTGCAAGCTCTGCCTCCCAGGTTCACACCATTCTCCTGCCTCAGCCTCCTAAGTAGCTGGGACTACAGGTGCCCGCCATCACACCCAGCTAATTTTTTGTATTTTTAGTAGAGACAGGGTTTCACCGTGTTAGCCAGGATGATCTCGATCTCCTGACCTCGTGACCCACCCGCCTCGGCCTCCCAAAGTGCATGAGAGGGGATTTATAGGGAAATTGACTCACGCAATTAATGGAGGCTGAGAAGTCCCCTGAGAGACTATTTGCAAGAGGTGCCAGTAGCGTGGCTCAGTCCAAGTCTGCAAGCCTCAGAACCAGGGACGCCACTGGGATAATTCTCAGTCCAAGGCTGAAGAGCCTAGAGTTTTGATATCCAAAGGGCAGGAGAAGGAGAATCTTCCAGCTCCAGGAGAGACAGAGACAGAAAGAGGAAAATTTTCTCCTCTTTTGTTTTTATTCAAGCCGTGAACCAATTGCATACTGCCACCCACATTGAGAGCGGATCTTCCCCACTCAGTCCACTGACTCCCACGCCAATCTCCTCTGGAAACACCCTCACAGACACACCCAGAAGTCATGTTTCACCATTCTCTAGGTATTCCTTACTCCAGTCCAGCTGCCACCTAACATTAACCAGCAGCACACATCCACGCTGCCAGACATTCGTCAGTTGCAGTTCAGGTTTTCCCACCCAGGTGCTGATTCCAGGGAAGGTTTCTGCTCTGGCAAATCATGATTCTCTGTATCTACCTTTCTGCCTCTCCAGTTTGGGGGCAGCAGGTTACCCTGTGACCTAATTTTCTGATGAACTGAAAAAGAGCCGCTGGTTTTTCAGTTTGTTCAGCCTTTTTTTTTTTTTTTTGAAACGGAGTCTTGCTTTGTCGCCCAGGGTGGAGTGCAGTTGCGCAATCTCGGCTCACTGCAAGCTCCGCCTCCTGGGTTCAAGCGATTCTCCTGCCTCAGCCTAAGTAACTGGGATTACAGTCGCATTCCACCATGCCTGGCTAATTTTTGTATTTTTAGTAGAGATGGGGTTTCACTATGTTGGTCAGACTGGTCTCGAACTCCTGACCTTAGGTGATCTGCCCACCTCGGCCTCCCAAAGTGCTGGGATTACAGTTGTGAGCCACTGCCTCCGGCCCACACGCATTTATTAAGTTTACCATCTTATATGGGCATGGTTTGTGGTTCCCCAAAACAAGCACAATAGTAATATCAAAGATCACTGATCACAGATCACCGTGTCAGACATAATAATAATGATAAAGTTTGAACTATTGTGGGAATTACACACAGACCCTAAGGGAACACATTCTGTTGGAACAATGGGAACAATAGACTTGCTTGGTGCAAGGTTCTCACAAAGCTTCAATTTGCAAAGACCGTGATATCTGCCAAACGCAATACAATGAAGTGTGGCTAGTTTGTTACAACAGCCTTAGGAATCAAATCCAAGGTGATGGGGTTGAGCTGTGTCCCCACCCAAATCTCATCTTGAATTGCAGTTCTCATAATTCCCACGTGTCCTGGGAGGGACCCAGTGGGAGGTAATTGAATCATGGGGGCAGTTACCCCCATGCTGCTGTGCTGGCGATAATGAGTGAGTTCTCATGAGAGCTGATGGTTTTATAAAGAGCTTTTCCCCCTTTGCTCAGCAGTTCTCTCTCCTGCCGCCATGTGAAGAACGTGTTTGCTTCCCCTTCTGCCATGATTTTAAGTTTCCTGAGGCCTCCCCAGCCATGAGGAACTGTGAGTCAATTAAATCTCTTTCCTTTATAAATGACCCAGTCTTGCGCAGTTCTTTATAGCAGTGGGAGAATGGGCTAACACACAAGGCGATGCCAGAGCTCACCCTCTCGTTCCTTAGATTTGAGAGCGGTTCCCAGGAGAGGCCTGAAGTATGTACTCTGACCCCTGAAACTAAGTACCTGTGCCTTGAGCAACAAAGGGTAGTGTTACTGCCATCCCAGGAGGGACATTCCTTGGTGTCACCTCAAGGGAGGGAGTCTGGTGCTTTAGCTCAGGTAACTCAGCTAAACGGATGAGCGGCCCAAGGGCAGGCCCAAGCCCAGGGCTGGTCATGGGAGGCACTCTGTGCCCTCTGCCTGTTCTATGAAGACCAACTATCTGCTGGCCCAGGACTGAGGGGTGTCTTGGGATGGGAACCATCCTGGGCCAAAGGGTCTCTTTAGGTTAGCCATTTCCTGTCCTAGACCCAACATCTTGCTACTTCTTCTAGGACTACAGGAGGAGCTGGATTTCACCCTACCGGGACCCACTCTACTGCTTTCTGACCACTGAGTTAAAAACCCACAGTTGCCTGGTAGGTCAATTCTCTCTCTGACACTCTCCCCCACATCGGACTCTGTGTCCATCAAATCAGTCTTTTTTTCCTGAAGTGACAACATTCTAAGTCATGTCTTCATCATCTCAAGTGAATTGAGCTAATTTTTGTATTTTTTGTAGAGATGTGGTCTCACTGTGTTGCCCAGGCTTGTCTCAAACTCCTGGGCTCAAGGCATCCTCCTGCCGCAGCGTCCCAGTGCTGGGATTACAAATGTGAGCCACTGTACTTGGCCAAGAATAATATTAATAATACAACCAGCTTTAATTTACTAGGACTCACTCTGTCCCAATACTTTTGTCACTGGATCCTTTCAACAACTCTGTAAAGCAAGTGCTATCCTCACCCTCATTAACAGGTGAGGAAATTCCTAACATACTAAAATAACAACACTTACATTGAGCTCCTGCAGGCCTTATAGCAGATTGTACACCTGGTGCCAGCACAGGGCAGAAACTCAGGAGAAACAGATCCCAGCTGTGGCCCTCTTCTCTGCCCTGCCCCAGCCTTGGCCCCTTGCCTTCTCTGGGCACTGCCAGTTCTCAGGAAAGGCGGTGCCTTCTGTGTGTCCAGATCACTGGCTCCATGGGGGTCAAGAAGCTGGGTGGCACCTGTGCTGCACACGGATATGCTTAAACAATCTTGCAGCCTTGGGGGTGGGGCTGGAAACCAGGATCGGCTTCCATTGCAGGGGACTGGCAGTGCATCGGGCCTATGTGTGGCCGGGTAAGACTGGGCATAGGAGTCAATGTTGGTTTGTTTGTTTTTTGACACAGAGTCTCGCCCTATCTTTTTATCACCCAGGATGGAGTGCAATGGCATGATCTCGGCTCCCTGCAACCTCCGCCTCCCAGGTTCAAGTGATTCTCATGCCTCAGCCTCCCGAGTGGCTGGGATTACAGACGCGCGCTACCATGCCCGGCTAATTTTTTTGTGTGTCTTTAGTAGAGATGGGGTTTCACCATGTTGGCCAGGATGGTCTTGAACTCCTGACCTCATGATCCGCCCGCCTCGGCCTCCCAAAGTGCTGAGATTACAGGCATGAGCCACCATGCCCGGCCAGAAGTGAATGTTATGTTGCACCCTCCACAGGGTAGGTCTGTTCTATTACCACACCCAGGATCAGGCCCCAAGTAGACACACAAGGAGGAGGGCAGTGCTGAGAGACGGGGGAAGGATTAGAACACAGGCTTTGATGACCTTGGCAGTGTGACATGAGGCAAGCCATTTTACCTCTCTGAACATCAATTTTCTATGCATGAAATAAATAATAATAATTCATGGAGGCTGGGCATGGTGGCTCACACCTGTAATCCCAGCATTTTGGGAGGCTGAGGTGGGCAGATCGCTTGAGCTCAGAAGTTCAAGACTAGCCTGGGCAACATAACAACACCCTTTCTCTACAAAAAAAAAAACCAAAACAACAAAAGGATCCAAATACAAGAGCTTGCACCTGAGCATGTGCACACATCTCTGTGTCTGTGTCTGTGAGCTTATGGGTGTGGTGAAGGTAGGTTCCAGGAACTTAGGAGGGAGGGAGGGAGGGAGAAGCCATAAGGGGTTCTCAGCCAAGAGCAGAAGGGTACAGGGGGCACGTAGGCTGCCTTAACCCAGCAACTTGGCCAGGTTGGTTGGGAGCAACTTGGGGGCTTGTGGGTGTGTTATTCCCGAGTCGGCCAGCAGGGGGCGCAAGGAGCCAGGCCCCTCGTGGCTTTGAGGTTGCTGGCCCAGGTCACAGAGCAACCTGCTGGCCCCAGGAGGGGACTACGCCTCACTTCACAGAGGAGGCCCAAAGCAGGGAGGGTGCTGCTCCAGGTTCCCGCATAAGGCAGGACTCCTGACCTCCCAGGCACACCTCCCTCCAATGCCCTGCGCCTCACCCCTTTTCTAGGAAGCAGGCCTTCCCTAGTCAGCTCCTCAACAGCCCTGGCAGTCACCTTTTATTTACCACACGCTTTCCTGTGCTAGGTGCCCCGTGGAGCCCTACACGTCCCACCACTTAAAAATGTTTTTCAGGCCGGGCGCGGTGGCTCACACCTGTAATCCCAGCACTTTGGGAGGCCGAGGCAGGTGGATCACAATGTCAGGAGATCGAGACTGTCCTGGCTAACACAGTGAAACCCCGTCTCTACTAAAAATACGAAAAAAAAATTAGCCAGGCATGGTGGCGGGTGCCTATAGTCCCAGCTGCTTGGAAGGCTGAGGCAGGAGAATGTTGTGAACCCGGGAGGCGAAGATTGTAGTGAGCCGAGATTGCGCCATTGCACTCCAGCCTGGGCGACAGAGCGAGACTCTGTCTCAAAAAAAAAAAAAAAAAAAAAGTTTTTCATTTAAAAAATTTTGGTAAAATACACATATCATAAACTTTACCATCTTAACTATGTACAGGTATACAGTTTTGGGAACTGTTTTCATCTTGTAAAACTGACAACTCTGTACCCATTAAACAATTACATCCCTTTACCCTCTGGCCCATAGCCCAGCCCATTTGCTGTCTCTGCGATTTTGACTACTTGAAATCAGGTCCCATCACTTTTATTATTTATTTACTTATTTTTTGGGGGACAAAGTCGTGCTCTGTCGCCCAGGCTGAAGTGCAGCAGCGCGATCTCAGCTCTCTGCAACCTCCGCCTCCCATGTTCAAGTGATTCTTGTGCCTCAGCCTCCCGAGTAGCTGGGACTACAGTTGTGCACCACCATGTCCAGCTAATCTTTGTATTTTTAGTAGAGACAGGGTTTCACCATGTTGACCAGGCTGGTCTAGAACTCCTGACCTCAAGTGATCCGCCTGCCTAGGCCTCCCAAAGTGCTGGGATTAGAGGTGTGAGTCACTGCTCCTGGCTTCCCATCACTTTTAATCCTATAAGAAAGATTCCTTCAAGAGGCTAAGTGGTCAGGTACAGTGGCTTATGCCTGCAAGAGAGGCCAAGGCAGGAGGATCCCTTGAGCCCAGGAGTTCGAGACCAGCCTGGGCAACGTAGTGAGACTCAATCTCTACAAAAAATAATAAATTATCTGGGAGTGGTGGTGCACGTCTGTAGTCCCAGCTACTCGGGAGGCTGAGGTGGGAGGATCACTTGAGCCTGGAGGTTGGGGCTGAAGTGAGCCATAATTGCACTACTGCACTGCAGCCTGAGTGACAAAGCAAGACCATGTCCCTCCCCACATCCCTCCCACACCAAAAAAAAAAAAAAAGGCTAAGTCACACACCCAAGGCCACAGCTAACAAGTAGCAGAGCCTACATATATATATATATATATATATATATATATATATATATATATATATATATATTTTTTTTTTTTTTTTTTTTGAGACAGAGTTTCGCTCTTGTTGCCCAGGCTGGAGTGCAATGGTGCGATCTTGGCTCACTGCAACCTCTGCCTCCCGGGTTCAAGCGATTCTCGTGCCTCAGCCTCCCAAGTAGCTGGGATTACAGGCATGCACCACCACACCAGGCTAATTTTGTATTTTTAGTAGAGGTGGGGTTTCACTACGTTGTCCAGGCTGGTCTCAAACTCCTGACGTCAGGTGATCCACCCACCTCGGCTTCCCAAAGTGCTGTGATTACAGGCGTGAGCCACCACACCCAGCACAGAGCCAATATTTGAACTCAGGACTCTGACTCCTACTTTCCAAAAGCCAAAGCAGCACAGATGCATGGATGCTCAATGGGAAATGAGAGAATTTGGTCCAGTGGCTCACATTTTATTGATGGGGATACTGATAACCAGGGATGGGGAACTGACCCACCCAGATTTCCCAGGACCAGGTTAGCGAAGTCCCAGTCCTGACATTTTTCTCATCCTAATAGGCTGGCTCTTCCAATGGGCGTTATGCACCTGGCACAGAGCAGCTGCTCAATAAACCTGCAGAATGAGAATGAATGTCTATCGCTTGCACCAGACTGTAAGCTTTGTTAGAACAAAGATTCTCTTCTGTTCATCTTTTTATTCTCAACATCTTGCACAGAGCCTGCCATATGGTAAGTGTACATCTCCTCAGTGAATTCCTATTATGTGCTATTCATTCCCTAAGCTAGCCACCATGTATACAAGGGTGATAGGATACCTTCCTTTCCTCCAAGGAGCGCACAATCTAATCAAGGAGACAAACAAGTAACTGGGCCATTTTAATATAATATGAGCCTTAATATGCAAATATTTGTATAAATCGACAACAAAAGACCAGCATCTCAATAAGAAAAAGTGTGAAAAAGATATAAATGGGAAATTCACAAAAGCAAATAGTCGCTGGGTGTGGTGGCTCACGCCTGTAATCCCAGCACTTTGGGAGGCTGAGGCAGGCGGATCACCTGAGGTCAGGAGTTTGAGACCAGCCTGGCCAACATGGTGAAACCCTGTCTCTACTAAAATACAAAAATTAGCCGGGTGTGGTGGCAGGCACCTGTAATCCCAGCTACTCGGGAAGCTGAGGTGAGATAATCACTTGAACCTGGGAAGTGGAGGTTGCAGTGAGCTGAGATCGTGCCATTGCACTCCAGCCTGGGCAACAGAGCGAGACTCTGTCTCAAAAAGAAAAGAAAAGAAAAGAAAATAGTCGCCGGGCGCAGTGGCTCATGCCTGTAATCCCAGCACTTTAGGAGGCTAAGGCGGGCAGATCACTTGAGGCCAGGTGTTCAAAACCAGCCTGGCCAACATGGTGAAACCCTGTCTCTACTAAAAATATAAAAAATATTAGCCGTGATGTGCGCCTGTAATCCCAGCTGCTTGGGAGGCTGAGGCAGGAGAATCGCTTGAGCCCAGGAGGCGGAGGTTGTGGTGAACTGAGATCGTGCCACTGCACTCCAGTCTGGGTGACAGAGCGAGACTCTGTCTCAAAAAAAAAAAAAAGTCAATAACCTTGAAAGGATGCTGAAAATTAGTCATAATTAGTGATACGTAAATGAAAGCGAAGTACTATTTTTTGCCTCTCAGATGGGCCAAGACAAACTTGAGACCCACCAAACTGATCCTACAATGTACTAAAAGGTGAGAATTTGTGATTTGAAAAGCAAGCACTAGGTTAAGAGTGTTCACTGGTGTAAGTTTTGGAGGGCAATTTAATAATAACACATACCACTCTTTGACTCAACACTTCCTCTCCTAAAAGTTTTTTGTTTGTTTGTTTTGAGACAGGGTCTTGCTCTGTCACTCAGTCTGGAGTGCAGTGGCACAATTATGGCTCATTGCAGCTTACACCTCTGGGGCTCAAGCCATCCTCCCACCTCAGCTTCCCAAGTAGCTGGGACCACATGTGCACGCCACCATGCTGGGCTAACTTTTTATTTTTAGTAGAGACAAGGTCTGACTACATTGCCCAGGCTGGTCTTGTACTGCTGGGCTCAAGCAGTTCTCCTACCTTGACCTCTCAAAGTGCTGGGATTACAGGTGTGAGCCAGTGCACCCAGCCCTAAAAGCTGATCTTACAGGAATATTCACACGTATATACAAAAATATACACTTGGATGATTAACGCAGCACTCAGCATGAGAGAAAAAAACTGGAGGCAATCTGATATCCATCAACCTGGGGCTAGTTCAGTATCGCTGTATCACAATATCACTGTATCACTGCGTGGTTTAACCATAGAATGAACCATTGTGCAACCACTAAAAGGAATAAGATTGCTTTTAGCAGTCTGACGTGGAAAGATATTCAGGTTATGTGAAAAATGCAGGTTGATTTCAAAACTTATTGCAAAGGTTTTTTTGTTTGTTTGTTTGAGACGGAGTCTCGCTCTGTCGCCCAGGCTGGAGTGCAGTGGCGCGATCTTGGCTCACTGCAAGCTCTGCCTCCCGGGTTCACGCCATTCTCCTGCCTCAGCCTCCTGAGTAGCTGGGACTACAGGTGCCCACCACCACGCCCAGCTAATTTTTTTGTATTTTTAGTAGAGACGGGGTTTCACCATGTTAGCCAGGATGGTCTCGATCTCCTGACCTCGTGAGCCACCCGCCTTGGCCTCCCAAAGTACTGGGATTACAGGCGTGAGCCACTGCGCTTGGCCCTGCAAAGCTTATAATTAGAATAGTGTGGTATTACCATAAAGACAGACATAGACCCATGGAATAAAATTGAGAGCCCAGTAATAAACCCAAACATCTATGGCCCACTAATTTTTTTTTTTTTGAGTCAGAGTCTCACTCTGTTGCCCAGGCTGCAGTGCAATGGCACGATCTTGATTCACTGCAGCCTCTGCCGATTCTTGTGCCTCAGCCTCCTGAGTAGCTGGAACTATAGGTGATCCACCCACCTCGGCCTCCCAAAGTGCTGTGATTACAGGCGTGAGCCATCATGCCCAGCCTGGCCCACTGATTTTTTTTTCCTTTTTTTCTTTGGTGAGACAGGGTCTCATTCTGTAGCCCAGGCTGGAGAACAGTGGTGTGTGCAATCACGGTTCACTGTAGCCTCGACATCCTGAGCTCAGGTGATTCTCTCACCTCAGTCTCCCAAGTAGCTGGACATTTTTTTCTTTTTTTCCTTTTTTTTGAGACAGGGTCTCGCTCTGTCACCCAGGATGGAGTGCAGTGGTGCGATCACGGCTCACTACAGCCTTGTTCTCATAGAGTCAAGCAATCTTCCTGCCTCAATTTCCTGAGTAGCTGGGACTACAGGCACATGCCACCATGCCTGGCTAATTTTTTTTTTTTTTTTTTTTTGAGATGGAGTCTTGCTCTGTTGCCAGGCTAGAGTGCTGTGGCACGATCTTGGCTCACTACAACCTCTGCCTCTGGGATTCAAGCGATTCTCCTGCCTCAGCCTCCTGAGTAGCTGGGACTATAGGCGCACACCACCATGCCCAGCTAAGTTTTGTATTTTTAGTAGAGACGGGGTTTCACCATGTTGGCCAGGATGGTCTCGATCTCCTGACCTCATGATCTGCCCACCTTGGCCTCCCAAAGTGTTAGGATTACAGGTGTGAGCCACTGTGCCTGGCCAATTTTTTAATTTTTTGTAGAGACGGGGGTCTCACTATGTTGCCCAGGCTGGTCTCAAATTTCTGGACTCACGCAATACAAAGGCCTTGGCCTCCCAAAGTGCTGGGATTACAGGTGGGAGCCACTGCGCCTGGCCTTATTGATTTTTGACAAGGGCACCAAGCCTGTTTTTTTTTGAGATGGAGTCTCGCTCTGTTGCCTAGGCTGGAGTGCAATGGCACAATCTCGGCTCACTGCAAGCTCTGCCTCCCGGGTTCACACCATTCTCCTGCCTCAGCCTCCTGCATAGCTGGGACTACAGGCGCGAGCCACCACGCCCGGCTAATTTTTTGTATTTTTAGTAGAGACGGGGTTTCACCGTGTTAGCCAGGGTGGTCTTGATCTCCTGACCTCATGATCTGCCCGCCTCGGCCTCCCAAAGTGCTGGGATTACTGGCGTGAGCCACCGTACCCGGCACCAAGCCCATTTAATAGAGGAAAGAATAGTCTCTTCAACAAAGGGTGCTGGGACAACTGGATATTTACATATAAAAGAATGAAGCAGGAGTTTCACCTCGTTCCATCTACAAAAATTAACTCAAAATAAACCAACAACTTCGAAAATTTTTATTGCAGAGATGGGGTCTCACCACGTTGCCCAGGCTGGGCTTTAACTCCTGGCCTCTAGCAATCCTCCCGTTTCGGCCTTCCAAAGTGCTTGGATTACAGGTGTGAGCCATTGTGCCCAGCCTGATCACATTCTTGATAATGTACTTTTTTTTTTTTTTTGAGACAGAGTCTCACTCTGTTGCCCAGGCTAGAGTGCAGAGGCGTGATCTTAGCTCACTGCAACCTCTGCCTCCTGGGTTCAAGCGATTCTCCTGCCTCAGCCTCCCGAGTAGCTGGGACTACAGGTGTTCGCCACTACGCCCAGCTAATTTTTGTATTTTTAGTGGAGACAGGGTTTCGCCATGTTGGCCAGGCTGGTCTTGAAATCCTGACCTCAGGTGATCCCCCCGCCTCAGCCTCCCAAAGTGCTGCAATTACCCGGGCCCGGCAGATAATGTTCTTTGGTACACAAAACTTTTTAATTTTTATGAAGTCCAAATATAGAAGTACCTTACAACCTAGCAATTTCACTCCTAGGTATATACCCAAAAGAACTGAAAACATATGTCCACACAGAAACATGTACACAAATGTTTATATCAACAGTATTCATCATAGCCAACAGGTGAAAAAAACCCAAATTGTCCATCAATGGATGAATGGATAAATTGTAACATATCTGTACCATGGAATATTATTCAGCCACAAAATGGAATGAAATATGTGCTGACACATGCTGTAACTTAGATGAACCTCAAAAATATATTAAGTGAGGCCAGGGCGACATGGCTGATGACTATAATCTCTGCACTTTGGAAGGCTGACGTGGGAGGATCATTGTTTGACACCAGCCTGGGAAACACGGCAAAACCTTGTTTCTACAAAAAATACAAAAATCAGCCAGGCATGGTGGTGTGTGCCTGTAGTCCCAGATAATAAGATGGCTGAGGTGGGAGGATCGCTTGAGCCTGGGAAGTGGAGATTGCAGTGAGCTGAGGTCATGACACTGCACTCCAGTCTGGACAACAGAGCAAGACCCTGTCACAAACAAACAAACAAAACACACTAAGTGAAAGAAGCCGGACAAAAAAGGTCACATAGCTATGATTCCTTTTCTGTGAAATATTCAGAATAACAAGTCTATAGAGACAGAAAGCAGATGAGTGGTAACCAGAGGACAGGGAGGAGGTAATGGGGAGTGACTATTTGATGGGTACGGAGTGTTTTCCTAAGGGAACGATAAAGTTTTGAAACTACAGTGACATAATGTTTGTACAACATTGTGAATGCACTAAATGCCACTGAATTGTATACCTTAAAATAGTTACTTGTATGTTAGGTGAATTTCACCTCAATTACAAAAAAAAAAAAAAAAGTATGGTAATTTTTTAAAAGGGTTGAAGAACAATATAACCCATTTACATTTTTTAAATTGTAGAGACAGGCTGGCCGCGGTGACTCACACCTGTAATCTCAGCACTTCAGGAGGCAAAGGCGGGTAGATTGCTTGAGCTCAGGAGTTCGAGATCAGCCTGGGCAACATGGTGAAATCCCATCTCTACAAAAAATGCAAAAAATTAGCTGGCCACGGTGGTACGTGTCTGTAGTCCCAGCTACTCGGGAAGCTGAAGTGGGAGGATTGCTTGAGCCCAGAAGGTTGAGGCTGCAGTGAGCCAAGATTGTGCCACTGTACTCCAGCTTGGGAGACAGAGTGAGACCTTGTCTTAAAACAAAACAAAACAAAACAAACAAAAACAAACAAAAAGGGCAGGTTGAAGAACAATATAACTCTATTTGCATTTTTTTTAATTGTAGAGAAAGCTGGATGTGGTGGCTCACACCTGGAAAGGTGGCTCACACCTGTAATATCAGCACTTTGAGAGGCCGAGGCAGGAGGACTGGAGCTCAGGATTTCCAGACCAGCCTGGGCAACATAACAAGACCTTGTCTCTACAAATAATTTTTTAAAAATTAGCTGGGTGTGGTGGTGCATGCCTGTGGTCCCAGCTACTCAGGAGGCTCAGCTGGGAGTATTGCTTGAGCCCAGGCAGTCGAGGCAGCAGTGAGCCATAATCACAGCACTGCATTCCAGCCTGGGTGACAGAGTGAGATCCTGTCTCAAAAAATAAACAAAATCAATTGTGGAGATACATATGTGAGGATGCATACATATATATACATATACACATACACATACATATTCAGGTAGTCTTTACTTTCCACAGTAGTGTGGCATTATAAAAATGACCATGTTGGCTGGGCGTGGTGGCTCATGCCTGTAATCCCAGCACTTTGGGAGGCTGAGGCGGGTGGATCATGAGGTCAAGAGATCAAGACCATCCTGGCCAACATGGTGAAAGCCTGTCTCTACTAAAAAAAATACAAAAATTAGCTGGGCATAGTGGCACACGCCTGTAGTCCCAGCTACTCCGGAGGCTGGGGCAGGAGAATCACTTGAACTGGGAGGCGGAGGTTGCAGTGAGCTGAGATCGTGCCACTGCACGGCAGCCTGGGCAACAAGAGCGAAACTCTGTCTCAAAAAAAAAAAAAAAAAAAAGACCATGTTGAATTGGCTGGGCATGGTGGCTCACACCTGTAATCCCAGCACTTTGGGAGGCTGAGGTGGGTGGATCACGAGGTCAGGAGATTGAGACCATCCTGGCTAACACGGTGAAACCCTGTCTCTACTAAAAATACAAAAAATTAGCCAGGCGTGGTGGCGTGCACCTGTAGTCCCAGCTACTCGGGAGGCTGAGGCAGGAGAATGGCATGAACCTGGGAGGTGGAGACTGCAGTGAGCCAAGATTGTGCCACTGCACTCCAGCCTGGGTGACAGAGCGAGACTCCGACTCAAAAAAAACAAAACAAAGCAAAACAGAAAAAGACCATGTTGAGGCCAGGCGCAGTGGCTCATGCCTGTAATCCCAGCACTTTGGGAGGCCGAGGTGGGCGGATCACCTGAGGTCAGGAGTTCGAGACCAGCCTGGCTAACATGGTGAAAGCCCGTCTCTAATAAAATACAAAAAGTAGCTAGGAATGGTGGCACTCACCTGTAATCCCGGCTACTCGGGAGGCTGAGACAGGAGACCAGCTTGAACTCGGGAGGCGGAGGTTGCAGTGAGCCAAGATCGCACCGTTTGCACTCTAGCCTGGGTGACAGAGCGAGACTCCGTCTCAAAAGAAAAAAAAAGACCATGTTGGCCAGACGTGGTGGCTCAGGCCTGTAATCCTAGAACTTTGGGAGGCCGAGGCAGGCAGATCACTTGAGGTCAGGAGTTTGAAACCAGCCTGGTCAACATGATGAAACCCCGTCCCTACTGAAAATACAAAAAAAATTAGCCGGGCATGGTGGCATGTGCCTGTAATCGCAGCTACTTCGGAGGCTGAGGCAGGAGAATTGCTTGAACCCGGGAGGCAAAGATTCTAGTGAGCCAGGATCGCACTACTGCACTCCAGCCTGGGTGACAGAGTGAGACTCCATTTAAAAAAAAAAAAAAAAAAAAGACCATGTAAACTTAAATTGTGCAAAGAGAACTTAATAATCGAGAAAATTATTATTGGATAATAATAATTAATAAGACAATTGTTCTGTGACCTTTTAAAACTCTCTTACCATCTGTTAAAAATGTAGCCCAGGTGTGGTGGCTCATGCCTGTAGTCCCAGGACTTTGGGAGGCCAAGGCAAGAGGATGACTGGAGCCCGGGAATTGGAGACTAGCCTGGGCAACAAAGTGAGACTCTGTCATTTAAAAATAAAAAAGTATAGAAAATGAAAAAAAAAAAAAACTAATAAGAACTTAGTACACTGTAATTTAATATTAGCAACACTGAAAATTAAGACGTTTTCTTTCGTTATAAAAGTTTATCAAGGAAAAAATTTTATTGCAAATAGCTTGGGCCAGGCGCGATGGCTCACTCCTGTAATCCCAGCACTTTGGGAGGCCGGTAGGCAGGCAGATCATTTGAGGTCAGGAGTTTGAGACCAGGCTGGCCAACATGGTGAAATCCCGTCTCTACTAAAATTACAAAAAAAATTAGCTGGGTGTAGTGGCAGGTGCCTGTAATCCCATCCCAGCTACTTGGGAGGCTGAGGCAGGAGAATCGCTTGAACCCGAGAGATAGAGGTTGCAGTGAGCGGCACTGCACTCCACAGAGCGAGACTCCATCTCAAAAAGAAAAAAAAAATTAAATACAAATACAAAAAATTAGCCGGGCATGGTGATGCACACCTGTAATCCCAGCTACACGGAAGGCTGAGGCAGGAGAATCGCTTCAACCTGGGAGGCAGAGGTTGCAGTGAGCAGAGATTGCACCACTGCACTCCAGCCCGGGTGACAGAGCAAATCTCCGTCTCAAAAAAAAAAAAAAAAAGAATATTCTGAGGCCGGGCGTGGTGGTTCACACCTGTAACCCCAGCACTTTGGGAAGCCGAGGCGGGTGGATCACCTGAGGTCAGAAGTTCAAGACCAGCCTGGTCAACATGGTGAAACCCCGTCTCTATTAAATACACAAAAATTAGCCAGGCGTGGTGGCGGGCGCCTGTGATCCCAGCTACTCAGGAGGCTGAGACGGGAGAATCGCTTGAACCCAGGAGGCAGAGGTTGCAGTGAGCCGAGATCACGCCACTGCGCTCCAGCCTGGGCAACAAAAATGAAACTTCATTCCAAAAAAAAAAAAAGAATATTCTGAACTGAACAGTGCTGCAGTCTTCCAGTGGTTTAATTTAGGATACAGAATGAGCATTTCTTCTATGTTTGTTGCCAAGGCTGGAGTGCAGTGGTGTGATCTCGGCTCACTGCAGCCTCAACCTACCGGGCTCAGGAAATCCTCCCACCTCATTCTCCTGAGTTGCTGAGACAATAAGCACGAACCACCATGCTCAGCTATTTTTTTTTTTTTGTAAAGATGGGGGTTTTACTATGTTGCTTAGGCTGATGTTGAACTCCTGGCATCAAGCAATCATCCTGCCTTAGCCTCCCAAAGTGCTGGGATTACAGGTGTAAGCCACTGCACCTGACATCTTCTATGTCTTGATGAATACGAGTCATCCTTAGTCATCCTTTGTTTTCAATGTTGTGAAATATCTCTGGGAGTTCCTGTTCTGTACATTTTGTGGTGAGATAATCCTGCCTTTTTTTTTTTTTTTTTTTTGAGACGGAGTCTCGCTCTGTCACTCAGGCTGGAGTGCAGTGGCGTGATCTCGGCTCACTCCAATCTCTGCCTCCCAGGTTCAAACGATTCTCCTGCCTCAGCCTCCTGAGTAGCTGGGATTACAGGCACGCACCACCATGCCCGACTTATTTTTGTATTTTTAGTAGGGATGGGGTTTCACCATGTTGGCCAGGCTGGTCTCGAACTCCTGACCTCAAGTGATCTGCCCACCTCGGCCTCCCAAAGTGCTGGGATTACAGGCGTGAGCCACTGCGCTCAGCCCAGGGAGTTCCTTTAATGTGAAGTTTTGCTGGTATTATTTCCTCTGGGTCATTATCTTTTTCTTTAGAACCACTTTCCTCATTTATGTTGATAAGTTTGCCTTCAAGAAGTTTCTCTGGATGCAGATCTCAGGTTTCCCAAACTGTGAACAGCTGCAGAGTTGCCATCCCCACAGCTAGCTATTTCTTCCATTATTCCATTTATGTTCAATTTGTTTTTTTTTGTTTTTTTTTTTTTTTTGGTTTTTGTTTTTGAGATGGAGTCCTGCTGTGTCGCCCAGGCCGGAGTGCAGCTGTGTGACCTTGGCTCACTGGCGTGGTGGCTCACGCCTGTAATCCCAGCACTTTGGGAGGCCGAGGCAGACAGATCACTTGAGGTCAGGAGTTCGAGACCAGCCTGGCCAACATGGTGAAACCGCGTCTCTACAAAAATACAAAAATTAGCCGGGTGTGGTGGTGGGCACCTGTAGTCCCAGCTACTCGGGAGGCTGAGGCAGGAGAATCACTTGAACCTGAGAGGCAGAGGTTGAAGTGAGCCAAGATTGAGCCACTGCACTCCAGCCTGACAGCTGTCCAGGTGACAGAGCAAGACTCCGCTTCAAAAAAAAAAAAAAATGTGTGGGATAACTGCTGCAATGGAGGCAGCTCAGGTGATCTGGCAGCACCGAGGAGGCCCAGCACCACTAGGCATGGGGACCATAGCTGTGCCGAGGACCCTTCTGGGGTAGCTCTCAGGCATCTAAGATCTGAGGCCTCCCTGCTGCCAGGCCAGGGGCCGAGGGCCAGTGGCCTGTGCCCCCCTCCAACACACACCTCTATCAGCCTGGGCAGCTACTGGCCATTTGCTTGACCCGAAGGCAGTGGATGACCCCTGGGCCCGTGGAATGCATCACTGATGCATTCCAGGGGCTGATGTCAATAACCCAGGGGCTGATGTCAGCTATGCCACTGTCCCCCAACCCCCATTGGACCAGCTCTGCCCAGAAGCCTGTGGTGACACTGGACAAAGTCCAAAGCCTCCTCAGCCTGGCGTTTGGAGCCGGCTGGAATCCAGGCTTGGCAGCCTCCACCTTCCCTCCCTTTACTCTTTTTTTATTTTAGAGATAGGGTCTCGCTTTGTCACCTAGGAGCCTTGAACTCCTGAGCTCAAGTGATCCTCCTGCCTCAGCCGCCTGAGTATCTGGGACTATAAGTGCATGCCCCAACCCCCAGCTCAAATTCTTTGCTTTTAAAAAAAAAAAAAAATAGAGACAGGGTCTCCCTATGTTACCCAGGCTGGTCTTGAACTCCTGGGCTCAAGTGATCCTCTGGTCTTGGCCTCCTAAAGTCCTGGGATTACAGCTTGGATTATAGGCATGAGACACCACACCCAGTCATCCTTTGTTCTTTTTTTTTTTTTTTTTTCTGTTTTTGAGACAGAGTCTGGCTCTGTCGCCCAGGCTGGAGTGCAGTGGCGTGATCTCAGCTAACTGGAAGCTCCACCTCCCGGGTTCACGCCACTCTCCTGCCTCAGCCTCCCGAGTAGCTGGGACTACAGGCGCCCGCCACCACGCCCTGCTAATTTTTTTTGTATTTTTAGTAGAGACAGGGTTTCACCATGTTAGCCAGGATGGTCTCAATCTCCTGACCTCGTGATCCGCCTGCCTCGGCCTCCCAAAGTGCTGAGATTACAGGCATGAGCCACGGCACCCGGCCTTTTTTTTTTTTTTTTCTTGAGATAGAGCCTCTCTCTTCACTCTGTCACCCAGGCTGGAGTGCAGTGGCACAATCTTGGCTCACTGCAACCCCCACCTGCCGGGTTCAAGTGATTCTCCTGCCTCAGCCTCCCAAGTAGCCGGGATTACAGGTGCACGCCACCACGCCCAGCTAATTTATTTTTATTTTTATTTTTTTGAGATGGAGTCTCACTCTTTCACCCAGGCTGGAGTGTAATGGCACGATCTCGGCTCACTGCAACCTCTGCCTCCCGGGTTCAAGTGATTCTCCCACCTCAGCCTCCCGAGTAGCTGGGATTACAGGCACCCACCATCATGCTCGGCTAATTTTTGTATTTTTGTAGAGATGGGGTTTCACCATGTTGGCCAGGCTGGTCTTGAACTTCTGGCCTCTGGTGATCTGCCTGCCTTGACCTCCCAAATTGCTGGAATTACAGGTGTGAACCACTGTGCCCAGCCACCCTTTGCTTTTGAATAAATGTTGCCCATCTTCACTCAAGCTGTTTCCCCTGCCTGGCATACCCTCCAATCCAAAATCCCTAGCAGGGCCTAGCCCCACCTGTACCTCCTCTCTGAAGCTTCTGTGTCCACCCAGGCCCTTTGCTGAACTCAGAAAGCACCTACCTGTGCCTGACCCTCTCCCCCAACCCCATGCTAAATTCTCTAATCCTCATCACAGCTGATTAGGATGGTATTATTTACTCTATTTTGCTCAAAAGGAGAACAAGGAAAACTCACTCAGCCTAGAGAGCTCCAGCTGTGATTCAAACCCTGGTTTGCCTATTTCCAAAGTCCAAATTCTGTCCCGTGAAATCTCCTCTCAGGCGGGTGCTAGGGCTGACAGGAGACCACCAGCCCCTTGGGGACAGGAGCCATGTCTTGTCCAACTTCACCTTGCATGGCTGCTTACAAGGGCAGGCGAGGTGACCATGCCTTCCCAGGGTGGCCCCACGTCACATCACTCAAGTCAATTATGACATTCGGTTTTGGAGCTTCTCAATAGGGGCACACTTAGAATTTGAGATGAGTCAGTTCTTCACTGGGGAGAGCTATCTGGAGCCTTGAAGGATGTTTAGCATCCCTGGGCTTAAAATGCCAGGAGACTCCCAGTTACTGAGACAACACACATCGTGGCACCTCTAGAGAAAGGGTACAGAACTGGGGATACCATGCCCAGGAAGACCAGTCTAGTGCATGAATAACCACAGAAGACCAAACCTTGGACTTGGATCAAATAGTCCCAGCTCCACCATAAACTAGCTATGGGACCTTGGTCATGCCAGGCCGCAGCCTCTTGGGGGCTCAGCTTCCTCATCTGTACAATGAAGGTGACAAGAATCCACAGAGAATATACTGTGGGTCCTGGCTCACAGCCACTTGTCAATGACAACAAGCTATTAACTTTTTTTTTTTTTTGAGACAGTCTTGCTCTATCGCCCAGGCTGGAGTGCAGTGGCACAATCTCGGCTCACTGCAACCTCTGCCTCCCAGTTTCAAGCGATTCTTGTACCTCAGCCTCCAGAGTAGCTGGGACCACAGGCACGTGCCACCACACCCAGCTAATTTTTGTATTTTTGATAGAGATGGGGTTTTACCACGTTGCCCAGGTTGGTCTCGAACTCCTGAGCTCAAGCGATAGTCCCACCTCAGCCTTCCAAATTACTGGGATTATAGGCATGAACCACCACACCCAGTCAACAAGCTATTAACATTTAAACCTACCAGGCTTTCCATAAAATTAGTAACCAAGCAAAATGAAAAATCTCTTATTATATAATGAATCCAAATTTTTTTTGATAGAAAAAAAACAGAATTCCCTGAAGACAAATGTTTGGTGACAATTTGTTGAGCCAATGTTTTCCTGGAGAGAACAGCCTGTCTGAGGAGATCTAACAATTGCGTCACTCAGACACAGTCCCCCTGGGCTTAGGAATTGGCAGAGGAGAGAGAAATGACTTCTGGAGTCCAGACGGCAGGTTTACAGGCTGGAGGGGTTGGTGGAAGACCTGAGTGACACAAACAGTAGGTATCTCACCACTTATTCCTCCTGGCACAGGACCCAGATTCAAAAACCACAATCTCACTCCCATACATTAAAGGAACACACAACAGATAGGCAGATAGCCTCGCGGGAGCCTTGGAGGAGGTGGCATCAGCTTTACAGGTGGGGAAACTGAGGCTTAGAGAGGGGAAATGACTTACTCGAAGTCCCAGAAAAGCACCAGGAGGCCCCCAGCTGCAAGCTGGGGAATGAGGGCATAGGATGAGCATTTTAAAAATTATGCCGGGAGGCCGGGCGCGGTGGCTCACGCCTGTAATCCCAGCACTTTGGGAGGCCGAGGTGGGCGGATCACAAGGTCAGGAGATAGAGACCATCCTGGCTAACACGGTGAAACCCCGTCTCTACTAAAAATACAAAAAATTAGCCAGGCGTGGTGGCGGGTGCCTGTAGTCCCAGCTACTTGGGAGGCTGAGGCAGGAGAATGGAGTGAACCCGGGAGGTGGAGCTTGCAGTGAGCCGAGATTGCACCACTGCACTCCAGCCTGGGCGACAGAGTGAGACTCCGTCTCAAAAAAAAAAAAAGGAATTATGCAGGGAACTGGCAGTGCCATCCAGGAGTGGGATGTGGCCCCAGGTCTGTTCTGGCAGGAGTTACAGTGACTGCCTCATGGCTGTGAAGGCTCCTGCATTCCTTTATCGCCCCCACCTGGATTATAAAATCAGGCGCCCTACTCTTTGGAGCTTGGAGAGGTTAGTGTGGCGTTCTGGTGGTTGGCACCTAATGGAGGCATTCTCCGGGAGGAAAGATTCCTGCTGAAGCCAGACTGAATGGGTCTAACTTGTATATTCTCCAATCCTGTTGGTCACCCTCAGTTTCTTAGTGGACACCAAGGCCAAGTCCAGGGTAGGAGCCCATCTCTCCTTGAGTCTCCAGCCTCATCATTTCTCCTTCTGGACATCCTAGTTTCCAGTCACATTGAAAGTCCCTTCCTTGGAGAAGCCCCTTCTGACTCCACCCAGGCTAAGCCACATGTCCCCTCCCAGGTGGTCCCAAGACCTGGGCTTCCGCCCTCAAAGTACTCAGCACGGGGGCGCTCAACTCCAAGGACAGGAACTATGTGCTTGACCTGTTCTCCACCAGATCCTCAGCCTCTGGCAGCTCACCCAGCACAGAGTAGGTCCCCCAGGCATTAGCACAGATGATCCTGGGAAGCTAAGGGAGAGGCCTGGGAGCCCAGCAGCCTTCCTAGGGAGGGAGGGAGACCTGTAGGAACCCCCTTCTGGCAACTTTCTTAATCTCTCTGTGCCTCACTTATCTGTAAAATGAGACTTATCTGCGTGTAAAATACAAAGTATAATACGTGGGAACATTCACTGTCTACAACTGTGGTTCTGGTTGTTCATTTTACAGGCGGGGACATGGAGGCCCACGGAGTACCTGGCAGGCCCACAGTCCACAGGTTGGAAAGAGGTGCCCAAGCCCTGGACTTTAAGCCTGGGCTCTGACCTTCAACGTTTGCTTTTCACACCACACATCATGTCAATAAATAGTTACTGGATGCCTGTTGTGTGCCAGGCCCCAAGACGGGTGTTGCGTGACTGACAACAGAAAAAGCATCTCAGTGGCGAGGGATAAGCTAGATCATGGGCATTAGTGTAAATCTCCCAGGGTTCAAATTCCAGCTTCTCCACTTCCTGGCTATGATTTTTTTTTTTTTTTAGACGGAGTCTTGCTCTGTTGCCCAGGCTGAAGTGCAGTGGCCCAATCTCAGCTCACTGCAAGCTCTGCCTCCCAGGTTCATGCCATTCTCCTGCCTCAGCCTCCCGAGTAGCTGGGACCACAGGCGCTCGCCACCACACCCGGCTAATTTTTTTGTATTTTTAGTAGAGACGGGGTTTCACCGTGTTAGCCAGGATGGTCTCGATCTACTGACCTCGTGATCCGCCCGCCTCAGCCTCCCAAAGTGCTGGGATTACAGGTGTGAACCACCGCGCCCGGCCCTGGCTATGATATTGCTAAGTTTCCTAACCTCTCTAAGGTTCTTTTCTCTTCTATTAAAAGGGAAAAATAAGACCTCCCAACAGAAGTGAAACTAGGCATTGGCTTAACACGTGATGGATGGGAGCCACGACTATCTTCATCATCTTATTTTTAATTATCTATCTGTGCACATGGTAGTAAATTTCTCGCCCTGGCCCAGGTACCCAAGACCCCAATTCTGTCGGAGACAACCGCAATTAACAACTTCTTGTGCATCTTATCAGACAGCTGGCGCGCACACCCGCAGATACGCCCACCCTCAGGCGTCCTTCTACGCAAAGATGGATAGCACCCATCAACGCTGTTTTTTCTTTTTTTAGACGGAGTCTCGCTCTGTCGCCCAGGCTGGAGTGCAGCGGCGCGATCTCGGCTCACTGCAAGCTCCACCTCCCGAGTTCATGCCATTCTCCTGCCTCAGCCTCCAGAGTAGCTGGGACTACAGGCGCCCACCACCACGCCCGGCTGATTTTTTTGTATTTTTAGTAGAGATGAGGTTTCACCAAGTTAGCCAGGATGGTCTCGATCTCCTGACCTCGTGATCCGCCCGCCTCGGCCTCCCAAAGTGCTGGGATTACAGACGTGAGCCACCGCAACCGGCCCAACGCTGTTTTTACTGTTGTTTCCTTTTTTAACCTAAGGTATCTTAGAAGTCACCCTACATTAGTGCATATTAAACATTGTTCGTCTTAATGGCTGCACAGTATTCCACTGTATGGATTATTTTTTAATTTGGTTGCCGGTACTGTTATCAGCCAGGGAATTTGCGAGGACCCAGCGGGATTTATGGAGCTGCAGAGTTGGAGTCTGGGGACCCAATTCCAACCCCAGATCTGTCCAGAATTCTGTTGTCTCGGGTATCATCTCCACCGGCGCGGTCGTGGGAGGGGGATTTGGGTGCAGACAGGACCAGCCCCAGTGTCCGAGCGAGAATCAGCGAGCAGCACGCGCAGTTGATTCCCGCGGGCGGCTCAATCATTCTGTGCAGCCACTCCGTTATACTTAGTAGCATCAAACTCATTAAGCACTCTAGCACAACCAAGCTCGGAACCGTTAGCCGACCCTCCCAGCCTCGGCACCTGACCTTGGGGAAGTGGCGCTCCGACACAGCTACTCACCCTCACCTGGGCCGCTTCACCCCTCGTTCCCAAGTACACCCCGTAGGTTGCAGCAGTCCCTGTCCCTTTAAGGGGGCCGAGCCCGGCTCCGCTACTTCCGCCCCGAAGCAGCAGGGCGCTAGCGCGGAGGCGAGAGCGGGAGAAAGCGCCGCTAGAATTCTCCTCATAAAGATGGCGACGCCCTGGCCGCCGCGTTCGCGCCCGGCGGTGACGTCACTTCCGGGGCGGAGGAGGCTGAGTGGTGCAGTGAGGGACAAACAAAAGGAGGCGCCGGAGCAGCGCTGCGGCCGGCGGCGGGACGGAGCGGCCGGGGCCTGGGGCTGCCTGCCGGGCGGCCGGGCGCGGCGAGCCCAGGTGAGTGGACGGGGTGGGGAAAGGGGCGCGAGCTGTCACCTCTCGAAACCCACTTACACACGCCCTCGGCCAGCTGCCCGGCCCGGGGCGCCCGGGGCATCTGGGGCTCTGTCTCCGGGCCGGCCCCCTGGGGACCTCCCGCGGTGTTCGGCCTACCTCTGGGCTCCCCAGTGCCCGGAGTCTCCGGGGCACCACCTTCTCGCCGGCTCCGCGGCGCGCGAGCCCCCTCCCAGGCACCCCTGTGCCTCCTTGTGCTTCAGAAACCAGGAGTTTCCGCCTCGGCTCCCCCATGTCCCCTTGTCATCCCCTGGGTCCCCCCAGATCCTCACCCCTCCACACACACTCTCCCGTTCCTAGAGGTTCCACCTCTGGGCTCTCTCCTTGCCATTTCTTTTTCAAAGATTTCCTTAGCTGTCTTCTCCTGAGTTCCTGGTCCCCTTCTCTTCCCTTGCACCCCTCCTTCCTATCGTTCCGATGGGGGCAGTGCCCTGACTTGGGGGCAGGATCCCCGGCTAGGCTCTTGGGGCCTTTCTGGGATGGGATATTTGGGAAGACCGGTCCGGAATCTAAGAACCCAGACCCTGTCCCAGTCCTGTGCATTCAGGTGGGCCCGAGGGCGAGGCGAGATCCAGTGAGGTCCAGGCCTGGTGCAGCCCTAGGTGAGCTGGATACCCAGCAAACTGAGCTCCCAGGCTGAAGGGGCATAGCTGGGGTCATGGAGTTCATGATGATTCTGCTGCTTTCGCTGACTGCTTCTTCCCCTTGATCTGGACCGGGGTGAACCGAGGTCTGCCGGTTCTCAGCTGTTGCGATTGTTGCCTTTTTTGGGAAGGAGGGATGGGTCGGGGGTTGTCTGGTAGCCGCCTCCTGATGGAGACTTGGCTGGAAGGGTGGGCGGTTCCTGGGTGAGCCACACTTCCACTGACTCCTCTTCCCCTGCCCTACCTCAGGAAGCCTTTTGAGAATGAGGTGTGGAGGGAGAGCACCTGGTAAGAGGAAGGGAACTGGGGGAGCCCGAAGTTCCCAAGGACCTCTTCCACCTCTTCTGTTAGTAGTACTCTTAACCCCTGCCAAACTGTATTCTGCCCTTTGGAGCAGACAACCTGGCAGACAGACAGGCTGTAAGAAGCGGGAGGAGATCGGCTGTTGCTGATACTTCCTGTGGAGGGGATGTGGGAGTGGGAGTTTGTTCAGAGAGACTGGGCAGTGCTGATTGCTCAGTCTCACTGGTGTTGCTTCCATGAAGGTCAAGTCTTCCTCTGGCTCATGAAGTGAGGCAAGGACAGATGACCTGTGCTGGAGGAGGCTGTTGTGGACATGCCAGGGATGAGTGACTGGGTGGCTGGTCTCTGCTTCCTTGTTTTCCTGGTCTCAGGGCTTTGGCATGGGGTCTGATGCCCTCTGCGTTCTAGGGACCATAGGGTACAGAGCAGGGGGTGCAGGGCCGGGCGTGGTGGCTCACGCCTGTAATCCCAGCACGTTGGGAGGCTGAAGCGGGCAGATCACGAGGTCAGGAGTTCGAGACCAGCCTGGCCAACATAGTGAAACCTTGTCTCTACTAAAAATACAAAAAATTAGCCAGGCATGGGGCTGCGCACCCGTAATCCCAGCTATTCGGGAGGCTGAGGCAGGAGAATTGCTTGAACCCAGCAGGCAGAGGTTGCAGTGAGCCAAGATCGCGCCATTGCACTCCAGCTTGGGCAAGAAGAGCAAAATTCCATCTCAAAAAAACAAAAAAAAAAACAGAGCGGGGGCACAGGAAATGTTCATGACTTCCCCCCAGAACTTGACTAGATGTGGTGGTTCTCCATCCCTTAGGCACACCCACCAGGAAGCCGTTTCCTTTGCAAACTCTTGAATGACCTTTCTGGACTGTAGGGAATCCTGGGGATCACTGCCGTGGGTCAGAACTCAGGGAAGTGGCCGGACCCTGGGTTGCTGCCTGGCTTGGCCTGGACCTTGCCTGTAGGAGTTGGAGGGAAATCAGCCTGGTTCCTGACTGCCTCGTCTTAGAGTAGAGCTGATTCCAGGTTTTCACATGGAGAAACTGAGGCACACACTGATGGGCCAAGACCTCTTGGAGATTCAGGTGGGATGGATGTGGGGCTCTTAGAGCCCAGCACAGTGTCTCTCCATGCCTTGACTCATTCATTCATTCATTCATTCATTCAGCCATTCTTTAGAAAGTGCCTGTCTTGGGCCTGGGATGGCTGGGAAAACATCCCTGGCCTCCTGAGAGCTGCAGTCTGGGAGGACAGGCAAACCAGAAGACACATAAGTTCTGATATACTGTGGCCACCATATTAATAGAAATATTACAGAGGCAGCCCAGAGGAAGAAGGAATTAGCTCTGGGTGGTTATGTAGGGGGTGGTCAGGGTATGCTTTCTGGAAGAGGAGGGACTAGAATAATTAGTGACAGGGAGTCCAGGGGCCCAAGTTCTGGACCTGGCTCTGCCATGGGCAGGTGATTGGACCACCCAGCCTCAGTGGGTGCCCCATCCTTGACAAGGAGGGTAGAGTGAGGTAGAGGTTGGCTTGGATGGCCTCCGTGCCTATATAGCTGTAGGTACTTTACTGCCTAGTCACCACCACCCCGTATGGAATTGCAGGGTTATTGACCTACCTCCCATGACGGCGGAGACCATCTTCCATGTCTGCCCTCCCAGCACAGGGCCTGGAACTTAGTCAATATAGTAAATACCCAGTGGTAGAAATGATGGAAAAACAGCCATCCCTCCTAGATCAGTCCAGGTGTCTTTGTCTACCCCCGCCCTCCTCCTTCCTGGGTAACTCCTGCTGATCCTTTGGCTCTCTCTGGTGGCTGGGCCACTCTCCCAGCTCCTGGCTCCCCGAAACCCGTGTCGTAGTGATCACAGCTTTCCCTACCCTGCCACTCCCATGCACAGTTCTGCACAGTGTCTGGCGCATATGGAGTAGATGCTCACCAGAGGCTGGTTGACTGTCGGAGATGATGGGTGGATTTGGTGTTTAAGTTGGAGTCTGGGCACTGGCTGGTCTCTGCCTGACCCAGCCACCCCACTGTGGCTCATCTCTTGCCACTTCCCCTCTCTGGCTCTGGATCTCGCCATGCCGAGCCCGCAAGCCTTCTCCAGATGCCATGTACTCTCTCCTCCAGGTAAACATGTGCTGTTCCTCCTGCCTGGAATGCTCTTTTTCCAGCTCCTACTCTTAGGAGTCAACTCAGACAACTCCTCCTCCAGAAAGCCTTCCCTGACCCCACTAGTCTGGGTCTAGTGCTTCTCCTGGCTCCCCCGCAGCAGAGCTCTGAGCTCTCAGACCGTCGCTACTGACTTGGCACCTCCTCAGTAGACCAGGTTCTGGAGGGAGGTGCTCTGTCAGAACCTCTTTTGTCTGCCAGGCGCGGTGGCTCATGCCTGTAATCCCAATACTTTGGGAGGCCGAGGCGGGCAGATCCCTGGAGGTTAGGAGTTTGAGAGCAGCCTGGCTAACATGGGGAAACGCTGTCTCTACTAAAAATACAAAAAATTAGCCAGGCTTGGTGGTGCGCACCTGAAATCCCATCTACTCGAGAGGCTGAGGCAGGAGAATCACTTGAATGCGGGAGGCGGAGGTTGCAGTGAACCGAGATTGCACCACTATACAAAAAAAACCTCTTTTGTCACCCCAGAGCCCAGCCAAGGGCCTGCTACCAAGCAGGCTCTCAGGAAGTGCTGGCGGTGTGGCAGGTAACTGCGACAGTCACACATGTGCCTGCTGACGGCAGCTCTCGCTTCCTTGTAGGGAGGCAGCGTCCATGGAGCAAAAGGAATGCCAGGATCCTGCACAGGCAGACGCGGGCCAGCCTCAGCACCGACAGCCGACGCGCAGATAGCAGAGCCATCCTTGGGGTAAGGACTGGGCCCCTCTCCTTCTCAGCCAGCTCCAGCTCCAGTCAAGTGCCCTTCCCAGCCTGGGGAGCAAAGGGTAGCATCTCCATCCCCACAGTCCTTTGCTTTTCTTGCTGTAGGTCCAGGGTAGAGTGGCAGACAGCAGAATTACTCTCTTCCTCCTTCTCCCGCTGAGTAATGTGTGCTTGCCGCACTCATTGAATGCTGAGTTGTTTCATTGCAAACCTCTGTTTTTTCTCCTTCACCCCAGATCTTATCAGTCTGGGTCTTGCTAATGCAGCCTCATGACCACATTTCCCAAAAAGCGTGGACCACGTTTCCCAAGTGTGTTCCATGAGACACCAGTTTCTTCGGTCACAGTGGTTTGATAATTCCAGGAAACAAAGACTTCTTGTTATCCTTGCTGCAGGACTTATCAGAGTCTTGAATCAGAGCCGTCATCAGGATTGAGCTGATCACGATAAGGGAGCTAGCGACTCGTGTTTCCCCACACTTATTTGATCGTGTAGACATCTTTGGGGACTGGGATTCCTTGGCCTGTGCTTTGGAAAACAGTTCCCAGAGGCAGGAGAGTCCCTTTAGAACATTTGGAGGATTAAATATGTTGACATAGAGCAGGCAGTTGGCAGAGTGCATGTCCTAGAAGGTGGTCCCGAGTCATAGCTGGTGTGTGTATAGACGGCTGTGTAATTTGCCAGACATACTCAGGTCGGTGATCTCATTTGACCATTTGAGGATGCTTAGGCAGTGGCCATTATCTCCAGTTTACAGATGTGGAAACTGAGAATCAGAGTGAGGAAGCAGCTTGCCCAGACTCATCTGTAAAGAAGGCAAGGACATGCGGCTTGAATCCAGACCCTGGAATCCTGGGCCAGGGTCTTCTGTTGTCTGCCCTGAGGCCTTCCTGCCTTTATCTCTCACCTCAGTTTTTTGTGTGAAGGAAGGCCTGAGTCTCCCAGCCTGGATTTTAAAAGAAATAGTAATTTTTTTTTTTTGTAATTACCAACATAGTTGTATATTCATTATATGGTTTTATACTGTTTGGCTATTTTTGGGGGACAGGGTCTCACTCTGTTGCCCAGGCTGGAGTGCAGTGGCACCATCATGACTCACTGCAGCCTCGATCTCCAAGGCTCCAGCGATCCTCCTGCCTCAGCCTCCCAACTAGCTGGGACTGCAGGTGTGCACTACTGTGCCCAGCTAATTTTATTTATTTATTTATTATGGAGATAGAGCCTCTCTACATTGCCCAGGCTGGTCTCGAACTCCTGGGTTCAAGAGATGCTCCTGCCTTGGCCTCCTAAAGTGCTGGGATTATGGGTGTGAGCCACCATGCCAGACCTGTTTGGATCTTTAATGTCATCTAGGAAATGAGTCTCTGCTGATTCTCATCTTCAGAGGTGTGAATGGGAAGGGGTATATTCTTCCACATCTATTGTTACCATTTGCTTATTTTTATAAAAATCTGGTCATGTTTGAGTTGCTGATTCACAGTTTGCTTTTGTTTCATATAATGATATCCCCCGGACCTCTTTTTTTTTTGAGATGGAGTCTTTGTCACCCAGGCTGGAGTGCAGTGGCACAATCTCAGCTCACTGCAAGCTCTGCCTCCCGGGTTCACTCCATTCTCCTGCCTCAGCCTCCCGAGTAGCTGGGACTACAGGCGCCCGCCACCACGCCCGGCTAATTTTTTTTGTATTTTTAGTAGAGACGGGGTTTCACCATGTTAGCCAGGATGGTCTTGATCTCCTGACCTTGTGATCCGCCGCCTTGGCCTCCCAAAGTGCTGGGATTATAGGCATGAGCCACCGCGCCCGGCTCCCCTGGACCTCTTTCCCATGCAAGAGGTAGATAGAGCTGTGTGTGGTCCTGGCAGAATGCACACCCTTGAGCCCCCCTGGCCCCTCCCCCTCACATGCTGGGAGTTTTGAGCTGTTTGGGCATTTACAGCAGCAGAGGGAGGTCGGAAGTGCCTGGTGTGTGATTGTGTCGACTCTCCTGTTTATGGGATAAGGTCAGCCAACTCCTGGCTCTGCCCCATAGGAGTTTCCTGTTGGTTTTGAGGAACTCTGTCCCCTGGAGAGAGGGGAGGCCTGAGCTGTAGTCTTTCATGCTGGGCAGCGCTGAGCAGGAAGCAGCAGGTCCTGCTTGTCAGATCATAATTCCTCCTTTTTGCCAAGGATGGCGTGGAATGAACCGCATGGGCCGGCCTGAGGGGTTTTGGCCTCCACCCACCACCTGGGTTCAGGGGACACACATGAATCAAGCTGAGACAAATTGAGTCTGAGCCATTGTTCTCCTGAGCCCAGCCCTTCCTGGGGATAGGAAGGAACAGGCAGACCCTGACTCAGTTTACCCTTGCTGTATCTGGAGGAAGTGTTGGTTGTGGTCCTTTTGGCATGCTCCTTTCAAGTTTTAGTTCTGAGAGTGGGCAGGTGAGGAGCAGGAGGAGGGCCCACCCTGCCACCTGGGTCCAAAGATGCTCTCTTTTGGGGTATAGCTGACCTCAGGAAGGGTTTGGGCAAGGAGAGCATACAGGCGTGGCAGCCTCGTTTTGCGGGGCTGCGAGAGCGTCTGGCAGGATCGCGCTGGGAGTGAGGTCTGTGCCAGAGCTCCTGACATCTCACCTGTGTTTTTCAGGCTCACTGTCCTGTCGCTTTCCCTCCCCCACGTCACTTCCTCCATTCTTCCCCAGGAGTCTCTTTTCTCTCCCATACACTGCTTGGGAGAGAGCTGCAGAGCTGGCCCCTCCACAGATGGTGCTCAGCGTCTCTGGCTTCTCCTTCCTGCAGTAGCACCTTCATAGTCCGTGGTCATTCTCAGCACCATGTCTCAGTGCTGAGCCACAGGCTGGGATGCTGCACGCATTTGCCCATCTTACCTTCGCCACAGCCTTGCGTGTGAGGTTGCTTTACCATTTTACAGACCAAGCCCCAGAGGGATGAGGTCTCTGGCCCAAAGTTATACAGTGTACATGTGGCAAAGCTAGGACTTGAACCCAGGTTGGTATGGCTTGGCAGCTGGGGCTCTTTCTACTTCACCCTCCATTACCCTCTTTTCTCAGGTTCCCAGGCTTTTGGGGGCCTTCAAAGTCACCTGGAAGCTTGTCTAAAATGCTGTTCCCCTGGGCCCACCACCACAGACCTGCAGAGTCTGCCCTGGAAGGTTGGCCCCAGGAATCTGAACTTTGAAGATGCTTCCCCAGCAGTTGTGAGGCTGGTGGGCTACAAACAATGCTGAGAAACACTGACCGGACGCCATTCTTTCAGCCTTAGTCCCAGTCGTCTACCGCAGAACTCATGCCCTTGGTGTGGAAGCAGGGCTGAGCTCCCCACAGGACTGGGACTGGACAGGTTTTTTTTTTTTTGTTTAATTAATTAATTAATTATTTTGAGATGGAGTGTTGCTCTGTCACCCAGGCTGGAGTGCAGTGGCACAATCTTGCTCACTGCAACCTCCACCTCCCAGGTTCAAGCTATTCTCCTGCCTCAGCCTCCCGAGTAGCTGGGACTACAGGTGCCCGCCACCATGCCCAGCTAATTTTTGTATTTTTAGTAGAGACGGGGTGTCACCATATTGGCCATGGCTGGTCTCGATCTCCTGACCTTGTGATCCACCCACCTTGTTCTCCAAAGTTCCAGGACTACAGCCGTGAGCCACTGCGCCTGGCCAATTTTTTTAATTTAATTTTACTTTTTTGAGATGGAATCCTGCTCTGTTGCCCAGACTGGAGTGCAATGGTGCCATCTTGGCTCATTGCAGCCTCTGCCTCCTGGGTTCAAGTGATTCTCCTGTCTCAGCCTCCCAAGTAGCTGGGATTACAGATGTGCACCACCACGCCTGGCTAATTTTTGTATTTTTAGTAGAGACGGGGTTTCACCTTGTTGGTCAGGCTGGTCTCGAACTCCTGACCTCAGGTGATCCACCCACCTCGGCCTCCCAAAGTGCTGGGATTACAGGTGTGAGCCACCGCACCTGGCCAGACAGTTGTTTTTTAGTGGCTTCATTTTGTGTGTGTGTGTGTGTGTGTGTGTGTGTGTGTGTGTGTGCTGGGAAGGCGAGGGGCTTAACCTTCCCTCCTCAAGGACGTGTGGGGCTGAGGTTTCTAGAAGGGCTTTTACTCCCAGCCACAAATGTTCCCTGCTGTCTTCCAGATGCGTTTCTGTTGCGTCTTGCGTCTTGCAGCAAGTTTGTCTACATCTAAACGTCTCTTGAGGGCTTAAAACCTCAAAATTAAATTGCTTGCTGCAATCTAAGCCTCACGCCTAGAGCAATGTTCCAGTGGAGTAAAAGTGGCTGTAAAATTCCATAGCTTTCACGTGCCACCTGGACGCCGTCAGAGTGCCACTGCCAAACCTGCGCCCTCTGACGGGCAGCATGACAAACGCACTGACCAGCAGCGGGGGCGGTGGGCGGGAATCCTGGCCCTGAAGGGACACCTCGCATCTCCCAGCTGACTCCATGAGTCAGGATCCCTGGGGGTAGCCCCCTTCCATCCCAGAGAGTCGGGTACCAGGCAGCTCACCCTCTGTCAGACCCCCCAGTCCTCCCCCTGGCTCACCTAGGGCTTGGCCAGTGCCCACTCCCCTGGGATCTCAGCAGAAGATGTGTCTGCTGCCTCTCTAGGGTACTGGTGGCCACATTTCATAACCTGTCTAAGAAGGCAGCGCTGGTATTCATAACAGGTTAAGACCTGTAAACCGTGTGTGGCCGTGACTCCATGTGCAAATATGAGCCAACAAACGTTGGCTGGACGTGGCGGTTCCCACCAGTAATCCCAGCACTTTGGGAGGCTGAGGTGGAGGATTGCTTGAGCCCAGGAGTTCCAGACCAGCCTGGGCAACATAGTGACCTGTCTCTACAAAAATAAAAAAAAAATTAGTCCAGGCACAGTGGCTCAGCACTTTGGGAGGCTGAGGCAGGTGGATCACCTGAGGTCAGGAGTTCAAGACCAGCCTGGCCAACATGGTGAAACCCCGTTTCTACTAAAAAATACAAAAATCAGCCGGGTATGGTGACATGCACCTGTAATCCCAGCTACTTGGGAGGCTGAGGCAGGAGAATCACTTGAACCCGGGAGGCGAAGGTTGCAGTGAGCCGAGATTGTGCCACTGCACTTTAGCCTGGTGACAGAGTGAGATCCCGTCTAAAAAAAAAAATTAGCCAGGTGTGGTGGCATGTGCATGTAGTTCCAGCTACTTAGAGGTTGAGACTGGAGGACTGCTTGAACCCAGGAGTTCCAGACCAGCCTGGGCAACATAACAACCTATCTCTACAAAAAATTTTTAAAAATAGCCAGGTGTGGTGGCACATGCCTGTAGTTTCAGCTACTCGGAGGCTGAGGCTGGAGGATCGCTTGAGCCAAGGAGTTCAAAGTTGCAGTGAGTCATGATCGCACCATTGTGCTCCAGCCTCGGCGACAGCGCAAGATCCTGTCTCAAAAAAAATAAAACGGCCTGCCTTCTAGGCCCTTCTGCCCCCAGGGCCCAGACCCAACACTGCCTTCTGGCCCTAAACCCAGGGCTAGGCTCCCTTCCAGAGCTTCCTTATAGCAGTACCCGTGAGACCAGAGGCATCTGAGTATGGCCTGATGGGGTTCCCTGTAGAGCCCTGGTTTCCATGTACCCCCTAAGGAAAAGAGTATCTTGTCTCAAGAAGTATCTTCAAGGGCCTGGGTCCCAGGTGGGTCCGGGAGGCCTGCTTGTCTTTGAGGCAGGTTGGCACAATGGAAAGTCGGGCTTGGGGTGCATCTTCCCAGCTCTTCCTAGCTGTGTGGCCTTGGGCAGGTTACCAAACTTCTCTGGGCCTCCGACATCACACCCATAAAAGGACTGATTTAAACTCTACCATAATAATAACAGCAGTGAACGTTCCAGAGCCTTACTGTATGGCAGGCACTAGTCCAAAAGCTTTATATGGACTGTCTCCTTCTGTCCTCATCACAGCCCTCCAAGCAATAGACTTGTCAACCCATTTTACAGATGAGGAAACCAGAGCCCAGCGAGGTGAAGGGACTTTCTCACGGTCTCGTGGTGAGGTGGGTGCCACCTTGCTGCTATGCATGAAGGTTGGGAGATGGGGCAAGGACATACTGGGCACTTAGTTGACGGTCAGTAACTGGGCGCTCCTGCCCCAGCCTGGCAGGGCGAGGGCAGGTCCTGAGGCTGCACCTCCAGCCCCACCTGCTGCCTCTCTCTGCTTGGCTCCGGAGCTGCTGGGGGAAGCCCAGGTGGGTGTCCCTCACCTGTTGCCTTTCACCCTAGAAGGCGGGCCACGCCCTTGCAAGTTGGTGTGAGGATGAACCTGTTTGGGAGCCCAGCCCAGGTGAGAGCAGTTTGGAACTGACCCGTGCTCCCCTCCCCCTCCAGCCCTGGCGTCTCCCCTCTTCCTCTCCCCAGGAAGTGAGGGTGTACCCTTCTACACAGGGCGAGTCCCAAGCCAGGCAACACCCCCAGCCAGCAGCCTCTGACTCACCCCAGCTGGGTGTGGGGGCCTCCAGGGCAGTGTCCGCCCTGGGGAGGGTGGAGGCTGTGTGTGCCAGACGAGGCTGAGACCTCTCCTCCCACTCTGGCTCTGGGACAGGGGAAGCACATGACCCATGGCCCGTGGTGGGAGCAGATCCACAGGCTTGGAACCCTCCCGGGACAGGGCCTGTTGAGAGCGGCCCCTTCGCGCTCCCTGGGAGAGCACTGGAGGGCCAGCCTTCCCATCTCTGGTACAGGAGGGGTGCCAACCTCCCGCCTCCCCTCCTGCTTGGGAAGTTTTCCTGGCTCAGCCTTGTTTGTGCTTTCACAAAAGGCTCTCTGTGCCCTGTTTACCCGCAGCCCGACTGCCTGCCGCCCAGGTGTGGGAGCCACGCCAAATCCCTGTGGGCCCACATGGGGTCTGGTGCGTGCTGGGGGGGTCTCTCTCTGGGACAGAGTGGGCAGCTTGTCATTTCTTGACTCCCTGTCTTCGAGAAGCATCCAGGGGATGTGGACTGGGGCTGAACCTAATGACTGGCTCTGAGAGCAGATGGCCAACTCTGCCACACGGGGTCCTGAGCCTGGGAGGGTCTCTGAGTGGTCTGCGAGTTTTCGAGGTTCTGCGAGTCCTGGGGGGTCCTGTGGGTCTCTGAGTGGTCTGGCCCTGCTCAGAGACATGGTGCTTGAGGCTCCGCCCTCACCCAGGTCAGTCCCCACTGAATTCTGGGAGGGTCATCTGCGATGGCAGGTGGGACCGTGGAACGACAGCCTGAGTGTGCCCGGTGCTGTATTGACACATGATGCCTTACTTTTAATTCTCACGATAACCCATTTCACAGCTATAACCCATTTTAGGATGTAATATTTCCATCTTGCAGTTGAGGACACAGAGGCTCTGAGGCCCCAGTGAGGCAGTAGTGGGGTTGGCGTTTGAGTTGCCCAACTCTGGGGTCTGAACTCCTCCCTGCTCTGCTCCCAGGAGGTGAGGACCGCAAGCTGCTGAGCGTGAGTGTTACGAGGCAGGGCAGGGAGGATGAGGCTGACCTGTTTCTAATGTACGGATGGCAGCTACGCATAAATTCTTTTATCATCCTGAGAAACCACACAGTGAGGAAGGTCTTTTGATTTATTTCCAAGCAGTTTTTCTACTCATAAACATACCAGATTTAAATAATGGAAGAATGTATAATATAGACAGCCCTCTACAGTCTCACCACGAGTAGACTTAACTATATATAGTTCTGTGCATAGCTTTCTAAATTCTTTTCTGTACACAGTAATGAGTTTGTTATTGATATAATTTTATTTTTTGAGACAGAGTCTCACTCTGTCACCCAGGCAGGAGTACAGCAGCACAGATTCGGCCCACTGCAACCTGCGCCTCCCGGGTTCAAGTGATTCTCCTGCCTCAGCCTGCTGAGTAGCTGGGACTACAGTTGTGTGCTACCACGCCCAGCTAATTTTTTTGTATTTTTAGTAGAGACGGGGTTTCGCCATGTTGGCCAGGCTGGTCTCAAACTCCTGACCTCAAGTAATCCACCCACCTCGGCCTCCCAAAGTGCTAGGATTACAGGCGTGAGCCACCGTGCCCAGCCATCATTCTTGTTTTAAAAAATTGCCAGGCATGGTGGCTCACACCTGTAATCCCAGCACTTTGGGAGGCTGAGGCAGGCAGATCACAAGGTCAGTAGATCGAGATCATCCTGGTTAACACGATGAAACCCCGTCTGTACTAAAAATACAAAAAAATTTGCCGGGCATTGTGGTGGGTGCCTATAGTCCCAGCTACTTGGGAGGCTGAGGCAGGAGAATGGCGTGAACCTGGGAGGCAGAGCTTGCAGTGAGCAGAGATCATGCCACTGCACTCCAGCCTGGGCAACAGAGTGAGACTCCATCTCAAAAAAAAAAAAATTATACCAGTAACAGACCAGGTACAGTGGCTGACACCTGTAATCCCAGCACTTTGGGACACCAAGGCAGGTGAATCACTTGAGGTCAGGAGTTTGAGACCACCCTGGCCAACATGGCAAAACCCCATCTCTAGTAAAAATACAAAAATTAGCCAGGAGTGGTGGCACACACCTGTAGTCCCAGCTACTTGGGAGGCTGAGGCAGGAGAATCGCTTGAACCCAGGAGGTAGAGTTTGCAGTGAGCCAAGACCACACCACTGTACTCCAGCCTTGGCAACAGAGTGAGACTCTACCTCAAAAAAAAAAAAAAAAAGATATCATATTTCCTAATTTTTTTCATTGTGGTAAAATACACATGACATAAAATTTACCACCTTAACCATTTGTAAGTGTACACTTCAATGGTATTAAGTACATTCATATTGTGTATCCATCACTACCACCCATCTCCAGAACTGTTTTCATCTTGCAAAACTGAAACTCTCTGCACCCATTAAACGCTCACTCCCCATTTCCTGCTCCCCCAGGCCCTGGTATCCCTTCTGTTTTCTGTCTATTCACTTATGTGAATAAGTGAAATCAAAGTATTTGCCTTTTATGACTGGCTTCTTTCGCAGATAACACATTTTATATACTGCTCAGCAAAATTCTTTTATGCTTAATATCTCTTAGATGTCTCTGGGGTCACTGCATACACATCTACAAGGAAGGTGGCGTTATTCCTGATTTAAAGTTGTAGAAGCTCGGGAGGCTGAGGTAGGAGAATCACTTGAACCCGGGAGGTGGAGGTTGCAGTGAGCCAAGACCGTGCCACTGCACTCCAGCCTGGGCCACGGAGCAAAGCAAGACTGTCTCCAAGATAAAATAAAATAAGTTGTAAAAGCAGAGGCTTAGGCTAAACAATTTGCCTGGGGTCACAGAATTATTTCTTGCTGGAGCTGGATTTGAACCTACATGTCCCAAACTCCAAGTCCTTGCTCTCTCTGCTCCCTGAGATCCACCTGTGCCTGAGGGAAGGCTGGGGCTCTCTGGGTTACTCATTTAACCCCCAGGCACAGAGATGCCCTGGCCCTGGCCAGGAACCTGGTCCCATTTGTCCTAGGCACCTGCTTGAGCTGCCTTGTGGGAAGGGCCTGTTCTGCATGATGCCCACTTCTACATCTCCCTGGGGGCAGGGCAGGACCAGGTAGGGAGTGCTTACGAGTTCTGCAGGGTCCTCAGGGGCTGAGGAGCAGCAGCTGGTAGGAGGAGCTGCCTCTGCTGCTCCGGTAACCTGGTAAGATGCAGTAGCTGCTGCTCCCCGCTGAGCCTTCGCCTGTGGGAGGTTGGGGAGAGCACTGGCTATGCAGGGTAGGAATGCATGAGTGTTTCAGTGAGTTTTGTGTGATGAAATGGTTTAAGAAAAGTATAAAAACTAGAACAGATACATCCATATCAAGAACTCAGCTTTGTCAGACTTCAGTGTTTTGCAGTAATTGTTTCAGATACACACATGCACGCACGCACACACTTGAATGTGCGCAGGCACTTAAGTAAAATATTCCAAGCACAGTTGAAGTCCCTTCCCCATTTTCTTCCCTCCCTAGATACAATCATTATCTTGGTTTGGAGACTTTCCATGCATGCTTTTGTATCTTCGGTATACTTGGGTATACACCTTGTAGAAAACCTTATATAACATATGCATCATCTACAACTTGTTTTTTGGATCAACATTGCTTTTGAGGTTTATCCACATTGATACATGTTGCTACAGTTCATTAACTTTAATTGATTTAAAGCATTTCCATTGTATGATTAGAACAACGTATCCTTTCTCCTGTTGATGAACATGTGGGTCATTTCTGATTTTTTGCTATTACAAACAATTCTTCAGTGAGCATCCTTGTGTGTGGTTTCTCACTTATGTGTGGAGCAGCTTTCTAAGATGCATAAATAATGAGGAGAGGAGTTGCTGGGTTGTAGAGTACGTGCATCCTACCTTCTCTAAGAGTTCACAGTTTTTGCCAATTGGGGGAGTGAAGTGATATGTGATCGTTTTAATTTACATTCCTTGATTACTAGCAAGGCTAAGAATTATTTCATACATTGGTTCCATTTGCATTTTTCCCCTGTGAATTGCCTATGCGTATATTTTGCCATTTCCCCTCATTGGATTGTTTTTGTCTTATTTATGCAGGATTTCTGTATTTATTCTGGATACTAATCTTTTCTTTTTTCTTTCTTTCTTTATTTTTTTCTTTGAGCCAGAGTCTTGCTCTGTCACCCATGCTGGAGTGCAGTGGTACGATGTCTGCTCACCGCAACCTCCGCCCCCTGAGTTCAAGGGATTCTCCTGCCTCAGCCTCCTGAGTAGCTGGGACTACAGGCATGTGCCACCAGGCCCAGCTAATTTTTTTGTATTTTTAGTAGAGATGGGGTTTCAGCATGTTGGCCAGGCTGGTCTCAAACTCCTGACCTCAAATGATCCACCTGCCTCAGCCTCCCTAAGTTCTGGGATTACAGGCGTGAGCAGTTGTGCCCGGCTGTATTCTGGATATTAATCTTTTGGTAGTTTTAAACTTTGGAAATAACTCTTCCTAGTCTGTGGCTTCTTTTCACTTGTTTATTATTATGTCTTTCGATGTATGCTTTAACTTTAATGTGATCAATACGTTACGTTTCCTATAAGGATTTATACATTTTGTGGTAAGATATTCCTATCTTAATGACATTAAGACAGTCTCTGATTTTTCTTTTCTTTTTGAGATGGAGTTTCACTCTTGTTGCTCAGACTGGAGATCTTGGCTCACTGTAGCCTCCACCTCCCTGGCTCAAGCAATTCTCCTGCCTCAGCCTCCCGAGTAGCTGGGATTACAGGTGCCTCCACCACACCTGGCTAATTTTTTATATTTTTAGTAGAGACAGGATTCCGCCATGTTGGCCAGGCTGGTCTCAAACTCCTGAGGTGATCAGCCCACCTCAGCCTCCTCAAGTGCTGGGATTACAGACGTGAGCCACAGCACACGGCCTGTCTTAGCTATTCTTGATCCTTTGAGATCGTGATTTAAAAAAAAATTTTTTTTTTGAGACAGTTTTATTCTTGTTGCCCAGGCTGGGGTGCAATGGCGCAATCTCGGCTCACTGCAGTCTCCGCCTCCTGGGTTCAAGTGATTGTCCTGCCTCAGCCTTCCAAGTAGCTGGGATTACAGGTGCCCTGCAGCACGCCTGGCTAATTCTTTGTATTTAGTAGAAATGGGGTTTCACCATGTTAGTCAGGCTGGTCTCAAACTCCTGACCTCAGGTGATCCTCCCACCTCGGCCTTCCAAAGTGCTGGGATTACAGGCGTACACCTCCGTGCCTGGCAAAATAATCTTTTTTCTTAATTATGAGTAACAAATGGTTATAATAAAAAAATAGAGGGCAGGGGCAGTGGCTCGCGACATTGCACTCCAGCTTGGATGACAGAGTGAGACTCTGTCTCAAAAAAAAAAAAAAAAAGATAAGTTTGGGGTGAAAAAGGGTAATAAACAGCAGTCTAACCTCACTTCTAAGATTGTTCAGTGTGTGTGTGTGTGTGTGTGTGTGTGTGTGTGTGTGTGTGTGTGTGTAATTTATGGCAGAGGGGTTATGTACTTTTTAGATTTAACATACTTTGAACATTTCCTCTTGTTATCAAGTGTTTTGTTCTAATGCACTTTTGGGATTGCATAGTATTCCCTTATCTGATCATTGAGTATGTTTTTTGTTTGTTTGTTTTGTGAGACGGAGTCTTGCTCTGTCGCCCAGGCTGGAGGGCAGTGGTGCGATCTTAGCTCACTGCAACCTCCACCACCTGGGTTCAAGCAATTCTCCTGCCTCAGCCTCCCAAGTAGTTGATCCAGTAGCTTCTTTAACCAGGGTGTGCTTATTGTCCACCTACTGCGTGCCAGGCCCCGCCTGTCTCTTTACCAGGTGTCCTGGAGCCCTCTGATGGTTTTCCTTCTTCCATTTCCCAACTTAACTCTCGAATGCACTTTTCATTCACTCACCAGGTGTCTCCTGAAGTCAGGGTTGCTCTGGCAGGGCTGGGCCAGGCCTATTTTGCTCTCCACTTCCTGTTCACATCCACCCGCAGGCTCTGGCTGGCCTTGGCACACTGGATGTGTTGAATGTTTCAGGCCCTGGCCTTTTAGCAGCCCTCTAAGGCAGGGCCTATCTTTAGCCCCATTCAAAGATGGGGTAACTAAGGCTCAGAGAGGTGAAGTCACCTGCCCAACATCACAAGTAGCAGAGCCAGTCTGGCCCTGGCCCGGCCCTTGCCTCCAAGCTCATGTAGGCTTGCTCTCCACTGACCTGGGCTCTCACACAGGTAGTTTGGGAAGCCTCATTTCTGTGATCTTCATGATAGTCCTGAGAGCCCACAGGGCATTTGTCACCTTCCGCCATGTTACCATGGGGAACCAAGGTGCTGAGAGGGGAAGGCGTCCTGGCTCCTGGATAGCCCCTCCCTCTCTGCCAGCTGGAGGCCAGAACAGTCGGGACAAGGGGTGTCTGTGATGGTGGCGGCAGCTCTGCAGTCACAGCCCAGCAGTCTGACGCGGGGGTGGGCAGCTGAGGGGGAAGGAGGAGTCCAGGCTGGGCAGAGGCCTGGGCGCACCCACCCCTTGGCCCATTTTTTACACAACATGGACACATGTTTAACAGGTTTGCTGCTCCTTTCTATACAGGGAAACTGAGGCCCTGGGAGAGAAGCTGTTCCACAGCTCCGCCAGGACGCAGTGCCAGCTGAGAGGGCCGAGCACAGGGAGGATAAGCAAGGGCACTTTCCGTAAGGCAGAGATAGCCCAGCCACCCCCACCCCACGCCTCAAAGGCTCCCTTCCCTTCCGGGGCATTTCTGACCACACCCAGGTGCACCCCAAGAAGGGCTCTCGGTGGGGTCTGCTCCATCTGAATGGCCCACCCTGGAGGTGCTGCCTGTCTGGGCCCACTGTAAATCCAGGTTTGAACGCCACCTCTGTCACTTATAGGCGGTATGAAGTTGGGCAGAAGACTTCTGTCTCTGAGCCGGTTTCCGTGGTTATAAAATGGACACCTTAAAAAAAAAAGCCTTAACAAAAGGACATTCTCATATGTGTTAGAACGTGGTGAGCCTTGAGGACATTACGTTAAGTGATACAGCCCATCACAAAAGGACAAATACCTTATGATTCCACTTACATGAGGTCCCTAGAGAAGTCAGATTGACAGAGAGAGGAAGTGGGATGGAGTGCTTGGAGGCGGTGGGAGGAAGGGGTGTCGTGTTTAAGGGGTGTGGGTTTCAGTTTAACGAGATGAAGAGAGTTCTGTGTATGGTGGTGATGGTTGCACAACAGTGAATGTGCTTCATGCCACTGAACTACACCCCTGAACATGGGTAAGATGGTACATTTTCAGTTACATGTGTTTTATGACAGTCTAAAAAAATTGAGGGGAAAAAATGGACCTGGAAACAATGGGGACCTCCTGGCTCAGTGCAGGGGAGAATCTGGCCTTGGCCTTGGTTGTCTGTTTCTGAACTGGAACTGCTCTCTTGTGGGTATCTAGTCATCTGCAGTCCTGAGTTCCTGGGCAGGTCCTTGCACTGGGCCCCTCCCTGTGGGGATTCCTCAGGGCTGGGCAGGGAAAGGAAGGGCCCAGGCTTCCTGGCTTTAGCTGCCTTCCCTACCCCAGCCCCAACCCACATCCACCTGAAACTGCTGCTGGCCTCTCCACCACACCGGGGGCCCACGCCCTGCAGCACCCCACCCCACCTTGTCCCCTTTCAGGTGCTCTCTGGGAGAGACTCTGAGTGTATCGAGTCCTAACAATTGACTCTTGTCCTCAAAGAGAATCTGGCTTCACTAGGTGCTGAGGAGGTGGAAGAAAGATTATACCAGCCTGGGCTGACTGCGCCCCACTCTGCACAAAGCACTTTAAAAGCATTTGGGGGCTGGACGCAGTGGCTCATGCCTGTAATCCCAGCACTTTGGGAAGCTGAGGTGGGCAGATCGCTTGAGGTCAGGAGTTTAAGACCAGCCTAACCAACATGGTGAAACCCTGTCTCTACTAAAATACAAATATTAGCCGGGCATGGTGGTGGGCGCCTATAATCCTAGCTACTCAGGAGACTGAGGGAGGAGAATCGTTTGAACCCAGGAGGTACAGGTTGCAGTGAGCTGAGATCATGCCACTGCTCCAGCCTGAGTGACAGATTGAGACTCCGTCTCAAAATAAAAATAAAAATAAAAGCATTTAGTTCCTAAGACTTGCTGGGTGCAGTAGCTCATGCCCGTAGTCCCAGCTACTTAGGAGGCTGAGGTGGGAGGATCACTCAAGTTCAGGCGTTTGAGGCCAAATGGGCAACATAGCAAGACCCCATCTCTCAAATTTTTATTTTAAATTAGTCCAGTGTGAGGCCCAGCGCAGTGGCTCACACCTGTAATCCCCGCACTGTGGGAAGCTGAGGTGGGCAGATCATGAGGTCAGGAGCTCGAGACCAGCCTGACCAACATGGTAAAACCCTGTCTCTACTAAAAATATAAAAATTATCCGGGCATGGTGGTGCACGCCTGTAATCCCAGCTACTCCAGAGGCAGAGGCAGGAGAGTTGATTGAACTCGGGAGGTGGTGGTTGCATTGAGCCGAGATCGTGCCACTGCACTCCGGCCTGGGCGATAGAGCAAGACTCCATCTCAAAAAAAACAGACCGGGCACAGTGGCTCATGCCTGTAATCCCAGCACTTTGGGAGGCCAAGGCGGGTGGATCATGAGGTCAGGAGATGGAAACCATCCTGGCCAACATAGTGAAACCCCGTCTTGACTAAAATATGAAAAATTAGCCGGCCGTGGTGGTGGCGCGCCTGTAGTGCCAGCTGCTTGGGAGGCTGAGTCAGGGGAATTATTCGAACCTGGGAGGCGGAGATTGCAGTGAGCCCAGATCGTGCCACTGCACCCCAGCCTGGCAATAGTGTGAGACTGCCTCAAAAAAAAAATTTTTTTTTACCCTAGTGTGGTGCTACATGCCTACAGTCCAGCTACTCTGGAGGCCAAAGCAGGAGGATTGCTTGAGGCCAGGAGTTTGAGACCAGCCTGGACAACATAGCAAGACCCCGTCCCATTTAATTAAAATAATTCCATGGCCTCCTCCCAGCAGCCCTGCGTGGTATCATGCCCACCATGTATGTGAAGAAACTGAGGCTGCAAGCAGTGAAGAGCTTGTCCAAGGTCCCACAGAGAGGCTACCAGAGTCCAGGCCCACACCTTGGTACTGGCTTCCCCTCTTCATCCTCGGCAAGAGCCGTGTGGGAGGGAGCCTGCCCCTGTAGGGGGCAGGCAGGTGGCTCTGACCACCCGGCTGGCTCCTGTTGGGGTGGGGCTCCTTTCCCCACACCCTTGGGAACTCAACCCTGGATTTGGTGCCTGCACCCTCTTTCCTGATCTCCCCCGAAGCCCCATCAGAGAGGGGCAGTGACTTTTCCAGAATCACACAGCAGAGGACAAGGAAACGGGTGCAGCTGGGGGTGACCCCTCCAGACAGGTTACCCTTACCAGGGGTAGGCCCAGGCACCAGCCGGGCCAGGCCTGTGAGAGACTCCAGTCCAGGCCCTTCTCAGCTCTGCAGCCAGCCCCAGGCTCTGCCATTGGAACCCCAGGGCCCTCCTCCACTCCCCAGACACACTCAAACTGGAGAGAGGAACCTGAAGCAGAAGTCCCACCTTGATCATTTTTTTTTACCCCCGCTGGACCTAGCCAAGGGCTGAACAGAGTCCGGATGTTCCCAGACCAAGCACGGAGTTGGGGCGGGTGGTCAGAATCAGACCTGATTGGGACGGTGTTTCCTGCCTTGGGCAGGTGGTTTTGCCTCTGTGAGCCTCAGTTTCCCTCACCTGTGTGACTGAGCTGGGAACACTTCCTGCCTCAGAAGGAGGAGTCTGGGTGGTACAGACAAGCCCCAGGTCGGCGGGGCTGGGGCGGCTCCTCGCAGAGGAAGCAGGTGTTTCTGTGAGCGAACACACCCCACTCCCTGAACACGAGGGAGGTGTTGCAGTATCATTGTCACCACATCCTGCCCGCTCAAACAGCCGCGCCCGCCCTGGCTGTCTCATTCCAGACTTGGGGGCAGGCAGGCTGCTGCATGCACCGGGCTCCTCTCCTCCCTCTTCTGTTCCCCAGTCTTTAGGTCCTGGCCCTGGATGGGGACTCCAGGTGTCCACATGTCTCAGTGGAGGCAGCTGTGTGATTCAGAAGCTCTCCCAGTGCCACTTTCTTTCCCAGCAGTGTAGGTGGTGCGTGGACCCACCTGGTCATTAGAGGGCCCGGGCCTTCCTGTGGGGCGGGTGCTTGCCCTGGCCCGTGAGTCCTGGCATCACTAGGAGGACTGACTTCTGGCCTGGAGCTGCCAGCCCAGGGCGGGCGGTGGTGTCTGCTGGCCCCTTTGTGACCTGAGCGCTGGTAATGCTGAGGGGCGGGGAAGCTGCACTCCCAGTCCTGTTTCTCTTGGCACCGCCTGGGTGAGACCTTGGGCAGGCGGAGGGCAAGTCCCACATGGTGGCGAGGACCTGAGCCCGGTGGTAGAGGGACAGGCCTGCTGGGTTTGTTCTTACTCTACTCTGCCCCTTAATAGCAGGGGGATGTTGGCAGGTGATGTCACCTTCCTGAGCCTTAGCACCCCCATCTCTGGGATGGGGCTATAGAGGCCTGGCCTCTTGGGCATCAAGGATGACCCTAGGAGGGCCTGCAGGGGAGGCCTGCCTGGTGCCTGGCACACTTCCAGGCCCTCAGCACTGGCTGTGGCCATCATCACCCTTGCTGAGTGCCCCATTCCACCTGCCTCACATGGGGTCCTGCTCTGCCTTCCTCCTGTCCTCCCCATCCAGCATAGCCTAGAAAGATTGGGGCTGGGGAGTGTTTGGCATTTGCAGAGAGGTGCTGTTCTTTTTTTTTTTTTTTTTTGAGTCGGCACCTCGCTCTGTCACCCAGGCTGGAGTGCAGTGGCGTGATCTCGGCTCACTGCAAGCTCCACTTCCCGGGTTCACGCCATTCTCCTGCCTCAGCCTTCCAAGCAGCTGGGACTACAGGCGCCTGCCACTATGCCCGGCTAATTTTTTTGTATTTTTAGTAGAGACGGAGTTTCACCTTGTTAGCCAGGATGGTCTCGATCTCCTGACCTCGTGATCCGCCCGCCTTGGCCTCCCAAAGTGCTGGGATTACAGGCGTGAGCCTCTGTGCCTGGCCCGAGAAGTGCTGTTCTTAAAGAGTTCCTACCTAGGCCGGGCACGGTGGCTCACGCCTGTAATCCCAGAACTTTGGGAGGCCAAGGCAGGTGGATTGGTTGAGGCCAGGAATTCAAGACCAGCCCGGCCAACATGGCAAAACACCGTCTCTACTAAAAATACAAAAATTAGCTGGATGTGGTGGCGGGCGTCTGTAATCCCAGCCACTTGGGAGATTGAAACATGAGAATCACTTAAACCCAGGAGGCAGAGGTTGCAGTGAGTCAGGATCATGCCACTGCACCCCAGCCTGGGTGACAGAGTGAGACTGTCTCAAAAAGGGAAAAAAAAAAAGTTTGTTACTATTCTGGTTATTAACATTATCAGTAATCAAAGAAAGGTGGCCCATCATCTGGGCACCCCTGTTCCTCTCCTAAGAGAGACAGACACATTTGACACAGGCATTTAAAACTTGGTTTAGATAAAAATCTAGGTTCTGGGTTACAGTGTAAAGTAAAAATTGAATGTAAAGTAAAAGCACAATTTGGCCAGGCATGGTGACTCACACCTATAATCCCAGCACTGTGGGAGGCCGTGGCAGGTGGATCACCTCAGGTCAGGAGTTCGAGACCAGCCTGGCCAACGTGGCGAAATTCCGTTTCTACTAAAAATACAAAAATTAGCTGGGCGTGGTAGCGTGTGCCTGTAATCCAGCTGCTTGGGAGGCAGAGGCAGGAGAATCATGTGAACCCAGGAGGCGGAGGCTGTGGTGAGCTGAGATTGTGCCACTGCACTCCAGCCTGGGTGACAGAGCAATACTCTGTCTCTAAATAAATAAATAAATAAAAGCACAATTTATTCTAATACACAGAAAGGGCTGGGTGCAGTGCCTCACTCCTGTAATGCCAACACTTTGGGAGGCTAAGGCCAGAGGATTGCTTGAGGCCAGGAGTTTGAAACCAACTTGGCCAACATAGTGAGATCCTGTCTCTACAAAAAATTTTAAAAATTAGCCGGGCATGGGCCAGGTATGGTGGTTCACACCTGTAATCCCAGTACTTTGGGAGGCCAAGGCGGGCGGATCACAAGGTCAGGAGAACGAGACCATCCTGGCTAACACGGTGAAACCCCGTCTCTACTAAAAATACAAAAAAAAATTAGCCGGGTGTGGTGGGCGGGTGCCTGTAGTCCCAGCTACTTGGAAGGCTGAGGCAGGAGAATGGCGTGAATCTGGGAGGCGGAGCTTGCAGTGAGCCAAGATCGCACCACTGCACTCCAGCCTAGGCAACAGAGCGAGACTCCGTCTCAAAAAAAAAAAAAAAAAAAAAAAAAATTAGCCAGGCATGGTGGCACACACCTGTAGCCCCAGCTACCTGGGGGAGGCTAAGGTAGGAGGATTGCTTGACCAGGAGGTTGAGGCTGCAGTGAGCCATGATCACGCCACCGCACTCTAGTTTGGGCAACAGAGCAAGATCCAATCTCTTACAAGAAAAATTATAAAATTATAAAATACACAGAAAGGACTGGAAGGTTATTATTCAGTGAAAAGTTAACAGTGTGTAACCCTGGTGGGGATTGTAAAGCGGATTCTTCTTTTTTTGCTGCTACGCTTTTTTACAATTTTCCGTATGTTCTCCAGGGAACATCTAGTACCTTATCCCTCCGTGACAGCCATACGTCTTTCATTGTAAGAGCAACCAGCCTTGGCCGTGTGACCACGAATGGCCACAGAGAGGCATTCTCACAGAGATCTTGCTGCGTGCCTCCTGTGTAGCACAGTCTGGGTTTCCTAATGTGGCTTCTCAGCCAGTGTTTCCCAAGCTTGGCCAATCATTAGAGTCACCAAAGTTATGTGTTAAAAATCAGGTTCCCAGCCAGGCACGGTGGCTCACTCCTGTAATCCCAGCACTTTGGGAGGCTGAGACGGGCAGATCAGGAGGTAAAGGGATCGAGACCATCCTGGTCAACATCGTGAAACCTTGTCTCTACTAAAAAACACAAAAATTACCTGGGCATGGTGGTGCAGGCCTGTAGTCCCAGCTACTCGGGAGGCTGAGGCAGGAGAATCACTTGAACCCTGGAGGCAGAGGTTGCAGTGAGCCGAAATGATGCCACTGCACTCCAGCCTGGCGACAGAGCAAGACTCCGTCTCAAAAAAAAAAGAAAAATCAGATTTCCAGCTTCTCGCCATAGTAGTCAAACTAGACTCTCTCTGGGAGAGCCTGCTGTTGCTGCTGTTTTTAATTCCTTTATACACACGCAACCAGAGATGATTTTACATTAAGGCCTCTCTGTGATCACCCAGTTTGTGAGGGAGGAGAGCCTTATTCTTAATCCCCTCTCTTGAGGCCGCTCCCCTAGGAGCCTGTCATTAAGACCCACTATGTGACCTTTGGTCTTCCGAGTGTTCCCAGAATCTTGTACACACATAACTATACACACATGTGGAATTTTGTTGTTGAAGCAGGGTCTCTGTCACCCAGGCTGGAGTACAGCGACGGGGTCATAGCTCACTGCAGCTTCAACCTCCTGGACTCAAGCGATCCTCCCACTTCATCCTCCCAAAATGCTGGGATTACAGGCTAGGATTACAGGCGTGAGCCACCATGCCAGCCCCCATGTGGAATTTTTTTTTTTTTTTTTTTTTTTGAGTTGGAGTTTCACTCTTGTCGCCCAGGCTGGAGTGCAATGGCACAATCTCAGCTCACTGCAACCTCCACCTCCCGGGTTCAAGTGATTCTCCTGTCTCAGCCTCCCGAATAGCTGGGATTACAGGCACCCGCCACTACGCCAGGCTAATTTTTGTATTTTTAGTAGAGACCGAGTTTCACCATGTTGGCCAGGCTGGTCTTGAACTTCTGACTTCAGGTGATCCACCCACCTCGGCCTCCCAAAGTGCTGGGATTACAGACGTGAACCACGTGGAATTTTTAAACCTTGCTCTTTGTTTTATGGAAGTGAGTTCATGTTGTGCCCCCTCTGCATGTTGCTTTCTTTCCTCATATTTTGCGGGAATCCCTCCAGCCCTTTGCTGCAGCTTTACAGCAGCTGGTTCCCAGTGAACTGGGAGTTTTAAATGTGTCCCTCTGGTCAATCTGTTCATTAAATAGGTGGACTTTAGAAAGGAGTTCCCGATTGCTCTTACTGGAATGCAAGGGATGGAGCAGAGAACCCTGAGGCTGCACTGGGGATCTGTCTAATCTCACTGTGCTCAGTCTTCCTGTGTATTAAATGGGGAGCCTGCCTGCCTCCCCCAGGGTGGTTTCCCAGCCAAGTGGCCACATGCTTTCTGCAGAAGGGCTGATAAGTGGGCTGCCCCGTGGAGTAGGCAGGCTTTGGCTCCCAGCTAGATTTGAGGTGGAATTTTGGACAATGGAAGAATTTTCATTGTCTTCTTCCCCTGACCCCTGGTCCTAGGAAAGCCAGGCCACCCTGTGCTAACCCCCCTCCTATGGCTCCCTTTTAGGTTGAACCATGATTCCGGTGACAGAGCTCCGCTACTTTGCGGACACGCAGCCAGCATACCGGATCCTGAAGCCGTGGTGGGATGTGTTCACAGACTACATCTCTATCGTCATGCTGATGATTGCCGTCTTCGGGGGGACGCTGCAGGTCACCCAAGACAAGATGATCTGCCTGCCTTGTAAGTGGGTCACCAAGGACTCCTGCAATGATTCGTTCCGGGGCTGGGCAGCCCCTGGCCCGGAGCCCACCTACCCCAACTCCACCATTCTGCCGACCCCTGACACGGGCCCCACAGGCATCAAGTATGACCTGGACCGGCACCAGTACAACTACGTGGACGCTGTGTGCTATGAGAACCGACTGCACTGGTTTGCCAAGTACTTCCCCTACCTGGTGCTTCTGCACACGCTCATCTTCCTGGCCTGCAGCAACTTCTGGTTCAAATTCCCGCGCACCAGCTCGAAGCTGGAGCACTTTGTGTCTATCCTGCTGAAGTGCTTCGACTCGCCCTGGACCACGAGGGCCCTGTCGGAGACAGTGGTGGAGGAGAGCGACCCCAAGCCGGCCTTCAGCAAGATGAATGGGTCCATGGACAAAAAGTCATCGACCGTCAGTGAGGACGTGGAGGCCACCGTGCCCATGCTGCAGCGGACCAAGTCACGGATCGAGCAGGGTATCGTGGACCGCTCAGAGACGGGCGTGCTGGACAAGAAGGAGGGGGAGCAAGCCAAGGCGCTGTTTGAGAAGGTGAAGAAGTTCCGGACCCATGTGGAGGAGGGGGACATTGTGTACCGCCTCTACATGCGGCAGACCATCATCAAGGTGATCAAGTTCATCCTCATCATCTGCTACACCGTCTACTACGTGCACAACATCAAGTTCGACGTGGACTGCACCGTGGACATTGAGAGCCTGACGGGCTACCGCACCTACCGCTGTGCCCACCCCCTGGCCACACTCTTCAAGATCCTGGCGTCCTTCTACATCAGCCTAGTCATCTTCTACGGCCTCATCTGCATGTATACACTGTGGTGGATGCTACGGCGCTCCCTCAAGAAGTACTCGTTTGAGTCGATCCGTGAGGAGAGCAGCTACAGCGACATCCCCGACGTCAAGAACGACTTCGCCTTCATGCTGCACCTCATTGACCAATACGACCCGCTCTACTCCAAGCGCTTCGCCGTCTTCCTGTCGGAGGTGAGTGAGAACAAGCTGCGGCAGCTGAACCTCAACAACGAGTGGACGCTGGACAAGCTCCGGCAGCGGCTCACCAAGAACGCGCAGGACAAGCTGGAGCTGCACCTGTTCATGCTCAGTGGCATCCCTGACACTGTGTTTGACCTGGTGGAGCTGGAGGTCCTCAAGCTGGAGCTGATCCCCGACGTGACCATCCCGCCCAGCATTGCCCAGCTCACGGGCCTCAAGGAGCTGTGGCTCTACCACACAGCGGCCAAGATTGAAGCGCCCGCGCTGGCCTTCCTGCGTGAGAACCTGCGGGCGCTGCACATCAAGTTCACCGACATCAAGGAGATCCCGCTGTGGATCTATAGCCTGAAGACACTGGAGGAGCTGCACCTGACGGGCAACCTGAGCGCGGAGAACAACCGCTACATCGTCATCGACGGGCTGCGGGAGCTCAAACGCCTCAAGGTGCTGCGGCTCAAGAGCAACCTAAGCAAGCTGCCACAGGTGGTCACAGATGTGGGCGTGCACCTGCAGAAGCTGTCCATCAACAATGAGGGCACCAAGCTCATCGTCCTCAACAGCCTCAAGAAGATGGCGAACCTGACTGAGCTGGAGCTGATCCGCTGTGACCTGGAGCGCATCCCCCACTCCATCTTCAGCCTCCACAACCTGCAGGAGATTGACCTCAAGGACAACAACCTCAAGACCATCGAGGAGATCATCAGCTTCCAGCACCTGCACCGCCTCACCTGCCTTAAGCTGTGGTACAACCACATCGCCTACATCCCCATCCAGATCGGCAACCTCACCAACCTGGAGCGCCTCTACCTGAACCGCAACAAGATCGAGAAGATCCCCACCCAGCTCTTCTACTGCCGCAAGCTGCGCTACCTGGACCTCAGCCACAACAACCTGACCTTCCTCCCTGCCGACATCGGCCTCCTGCAGAACCTCCAGAACCTAGCCATCACGGCCAACCGGGTGAGTGGCCCGGCCACAGCTCTGCGTGTGGGCTGGCGGGTGGCCTGGCCAGGGCTTGTGGTGGGGCACTCGGCAGGCTCAGTGTCCTGGGACCGTCGATGCCCCTGAGTGTGGAGTCCTCACCTGGGGTTTACAGAACCATCCAGGATAGAAGCTCTGTTCAAGAGACAGACTCCTTGGGCCCCATCCCAGGCCTGCTGAATCCGAATCTCTGGGCCCCGGGCCTGTCTTTGCTCCAAAATGTTGCAGTTCTCCTGCCTGGAGAGACTGCATGGCCAGGCAAGGTCTGTCCCCCAAGGTGACCTTGAGCCGGGTTCCTCTTCAGCAGGGATGTGCTTGGGCAGGAGGTCCAAACCCGGGGGTTCTCTCGCAAAGCCGGGTGGTGGGAGTCAAGACTTAGCCTGGAGTTTGTGTCTTCCTCAGCTTGTTCCCAGTCGGACTTGGAGGCAAGGAGCCAATCCGGGTCCACCCAGGACAGAAACTGTGTGGGTGGCCAGTGCTGGCTGAGGGGAAGCCTTGGATGGTCTCTGCAGCTCCCACACACCTTTCTCCACTGCATTTGGTGGTGTCAGAGGCAGAGTTGGGCCTAGATGGGGCTAGTTTGTTTCTGCCTGCCCTTCTGAAAAGGAAATTGTGCAAATCATTGTCACTGGGAGTTTGGGAGGCCACACCTTCGACATACTTTCAAGACTGTTGGTGGTCTGTGGGTGCCAGTCTCTTACCTGGCTGGGGAAGCCCCCATCCAAGGGCCCCTTGGTGGAGGCAGGCAGTGTGGATGGAGGGCTGGGTACTCCTGTGGCTCTGTGGTCTGGCCTCCGAAATGGAAACAAAGCCACTGCCATTGTGGGGAACGTCCCTCTTCCACCCGTCCTGGGGACCTGCAGGTTTTCCTGGGCCTCACATCCAGGTGGAGATTCCTGTAGTGAGACATGTGGTGGAGGAAGCCTGAGGCCAGGCGCTGGGAGACAAGGGAGAGCCCAGCCAGCCACCCTTCTGCCCCCGACACAGCAGCAGCTGTCGTGCCGGGCCCCTGTGAACTTCACTAGGGATGCCACCAGGTTCAGGAGGCTGAAGAAGAGACTCGGAGTTGACCAGGCCCAGTGGGTCAAACCTGTAATCCGAGCACTTAGGGAAGCCAAGGTGGGGCGGTCACTTGAGCTCAGGAGTTCGAGACCAGCCTGGGCAACATAGGGAAACCCCATCTCTACCAAAAATACAGAAATGATCCAGGCATGGTGGCATGTGCCTGTAGTCCCAGCTATTTGGGAGGCTGAGGCAGGATCGCTTCAGCCTAGGAGTTCAAGACTGCAGTGAGCTATGGTTGTACCACTGTACTTCAGCCTGGGCAATAGAGTGAGACCCAGTCTCAAAGTAAAATGAAGAGCCCTGGAGCCGGCCATTGAAACATGGGGTTTATTTGGGGGAACTTACTTACAGGGTGGTCCAGCAGCAGTGAGCCAAATAGGAAAACCACTCCTGCTTATAAAAAGCGTGCAGCTCATAGAGCATTTTCACTAAGCACCCTCCCCTCTGCAGCCTCCGTGTGGCAACCCGCGTTTCTTAGTTCGGTTGTTGCTGTTGGGTGCATCTGCCATGCAGCAGCCCCACGGTGCAGTCCCTGTTGGTTTCGTGGGCACCTGCTCTGTGTTCGCCCTGTGCCAGGCATGATGCACCTGTCCTCCTTCCACCAACCTGCTGAGTCCTCCCAACAGGGTCTGTCTATAGCATCCTCAGGCACGGAGGGAGGTGGCCCCTGGAATGCCCGGTCTGTCTATAGTATCCTCAGGCACGGAGGGAGGTGGCCCCTGGAATGCCCTGTCTGTCCTCCTGGGCCCCAGGACAGGACACACCTTCTCCAGCATCACTCAGACTAGATGCTTCAGGCCCTCCAGATGCCTGCTGGCTTGGAAGCCTTCCTCCCCTCTTCCCCAGGGCTCCCTTACTGCAGAGCAACCTGCAACCCACATGTATCAGGGATTTTGACAAGTCCTTATCTCCGGCCACCCCATATTATGACTTGAGCACAGTGGGAGAGTGGACCAGGGCAGGGTTTTCTCTTGTAGTTTCGGGACAGGCCCACTGAATAGGAAAACTGGAGTCCCCTGGGGAGAAGCCACATTTGGGAAGCACAGAACAAACCCAGCCCTTCTTTAATCTGTGGAGGGGGAGACCCTGTGGCTTCCCCATAGCACAGTGCTGCCCTTGATAAGCTGGGACTTCCTCACAGCTCCTGCCATTCCTGCCCTGTCCCGGGTGCTGTGCTGGGGCTGTCCTCCTGGTTGGGGGAGGGTTCAAGCCTCCAGCCTGGCTCCCCATCCTGTCCCCCACCCCCAGCTCCTCCCGCCAAGCTTGCCTGTTAGTGTCATGCCTGCTGGCTGAGGTCACCCCTCAGGAAAGGAGCTGGCGGCAAGCACGCTGTCCCAGAGGAAGGAGACCCTCTGGACACCCTGTTTAGCACATGGCTTAATCACATCCTGTCCCCACCCCCTGGAACACCAGAGCCTTAATAGGGAAAACAGTTCACTTGGGCCAACCCCAGGCAGGCCCCTCATTCTGAGTGGGAGGCCTGAGCCCCTCTTCCTCCTCACTCGGGCTTGATGGCTCCTTCTCAGCCACCTTGGCCAGTGGTGACCAGGAGGGGTGGGCGTGGCCTGCCCACGCCCTTGCGTGCTGTTTCTCCAGATTTATACTCTTGCTAATGAAAGCCTTGACAAGACAGTATTCATTCGTTCACTCGTTTACTGATGTGTGCAAATTGTTATGTTTTGTTTGTTTGTTTTTTTGGTAGAGACAGGGTCTCACTGTGTTTTCTAGGCTGGTCTTTAAACTCCTGGCCTCAAAGCCTCCCACCTTGGCCGCCCAAAGTGCTGGTATTACAGGCATGAGCCACTTCGCCTGGCCTTTGTGCAGATGTTTTTTGAGCACTTCTAGAATCCAGCTATGGAGCAAGGCGCCGGGGACATGGGGATGAAGAAGGCCAAGTAACGAGGCAGTTAGCACAGTGCGTAGGCGCTCTGCTGGAGCACCAGGTCCCTGGGAACACAGAGGAACAGGCCCCTGAAGAACGAGGAGGAGGAAGCCAGGTGGAGGGGAAAGGGACAGTCCAGGAGGTTCTGGTGGGGAGGAGCAGTGAGATGGGCTGCCCAGGAATGTGGGCATCCTGGAGAGCAGAGGTGGGGCTATGGGGGGGGGTGTGGATGGCAGGGGGGTCCTGTCCTACACCTCAGTTTCAATTGTCTCTTCATTTGTTTAACAGCCGATCCCTTGCCAGCCCATAGGCTCTGATGACTAAGACCTAGCTCTTTTGTTCAAGCAAGTGTTTACCGAATTCCTAGTGATTGAGTGGGTGAAGGAATGAGCTGACTTGCAGCGTGAGGTTCCTCTTGCGGTAGTGTGTGGGGTGGGGTGAGTGAGAGGTGGGAGGTGGAAGAGAGCTGTTAAGAGACCACGATTAGCCATCAGGTGAGGCCACGGGGCCTGGCGTGGCCAAGGCAGGTAGGGATGGAGAGACATGGACGGATCTGGGAGACGCTGGAGGGGGAATTCAAAGGGACGGGAGTTGATGGTGGGGGTGGTCTGAGTGACTTGAGCTTTTTTTTGTGGATTGTTGAGACTGGAGGAAGCACAGGTTTTCAGAGGCCAAGGTGTGTCTCATGTCAGGTGTCTGGGGCTCTGGGATGTCCAAGGGACCATCTTGAATCCACCTGAAGCCCAAGGAGTCACCCTTTCCAGGCTCATGGGTGAAGATGGGTCCTTGACTTGCTCACTGTGGAGAGCAGAGAGGGAGAAGGACAGGAGTCTGCAGAAGAGGAGGGCGAGGCCAGAGCGTGGGGCACATGGGGCCTGGGGAGTTGGCTGGATTAGGAACTGGTGACTTTGGCCAGAGAGTTAAGGGTGGACAGGGTCATGGAGGCAGAGTGAGGAGAGAGACAGCGGCTTTCCTGCAGTTGGTCAGGAAGGCCAGAGAGCCAAGGACAACGCTGGGGCCCTGGAAGCCTCCTGAGAGAGTTGTCCTTTTCAAAGATCAGGTCGAGTTGAGGCCTTTCAGTGCCGATGGGGACCCACTGAAGTCTCTGGGGAGGTAGGAGAGGGTGCAATTGGGGGATTGGGAACCAACTTCAAGCCTCCAGGGCACGGGCCGGCGACAATCCGACAATCCAGCAGAGAAGGATCGGTCCAGAGGATGGGTGTGGCTGTGGTGGGAGCCGAGCAACTGAGAGTACCTCCCCTTTTCTCTCTGGGGCCTGGAGAGGGCTCCCTGGCTCAGAGCAGGGCATGTTCTGGGGAGGAGGCCTTTCAGGGAGGGGGCTCCAGAGCCAGGCTCCATATGGACCCGAGCTCTGCCACTCGCTGTCCAGAGCTTTCCCACTGTCCCTGACCACTGCATGTGTCAGCAGAGGAGATCACGGGGTGGGAGTGGGGTCTTTCTGGGAAGGCTCTGGCCCCTGGGTGCTCCAGAGCCCACTTCCTGTCTACCCTCTGACCTTCAGCCCCTGCTGACCTCAAAGCCAACCCCAAATGCATTCCTGATCCTTGGTCACAGTGGTGGCAGTGTAGGATACACAGGTTAGGAGCCTTTTTGAAAGCACCCCCTGTGCCTGGGCTGGGCATGGTGGCTCACGCCTGTAATCCCAACACTTTGGGAGGCCGAGGCGGGCAGATCACCTGAGGTCAGGAGTTCAAGACCAGCCTGGCCGACATAATGAAACCCCGTCTCTGCAAACAATACAAAAATTAGCCGGGCATGGTGGTATGCGGCTGTAATCCCAGCTACTCGGGAGGCTAAGGCAGGAGAATCACTTGAACCTGGGAGGTGGAGATTACAGTGAGCCAAGATTGCGCCACTGCACTCTCTGGGTGACAGAGTGAGACTCCGTCCCCCGCCCCCGCCCCCCAAAAAAAAAGAAAAAGCACTCTGCCGGGCCTTGGCCATGCTTATCTCCCTGCTGGGAAAGCCACGTTGCTCCCCAGGAACTCCTGGGCCCTTCTCTAAACGCGGCTGGAGAGAGCAGGTGCCCGTGAGGTTGAGGTCCGAGTCTGCAAAACGGTCCTCAGCCACAGAGTGTCCAAGCTCAGTTTCTAGTCCAACCTGTGCCTTTTACAAATGGGGAAACTGAGGCCCAGAGAGGGAGGGACTTCCAGAGTTACCCTGTAACTGAGTGCCATATTTGGCAGAAGGGAAATACAGCATGGGCTCTGAGTGGGAGGAAATAAGACGTACATCCTCTCCTGACCCTTTCGGAGAGGCTGCAACCTCAGACGAGTGGCGTGTCATCTCTCTGGGCCTCAGTCTCCTTGGCAGGAAAATGGGGGCGGTGATAGAGCAAGCTCAGAAGGGCTGCTGTGCCATCTCCCCATCATCCTCACTTGGGATCAAGGCCCAGGGCTCCTGGCTCCTGCCCTCCTGCCCATCCCATCTGAAGGAGGCAGCCTCGGGACGGGCAGGCTCAACTCATGGCCTTACTTACACGCAGTAAGAACTCATGGCCCCAGCTGATTCCTCGCAGCAGGGCAGGGAAGAAGCTGGCATACGTGAGGCTCTTCCTGTGTGCCAGGAGACAGCACGAACCCACTGCAGCCCCCTGTTTGCTCCTTGCTCCGCTAACAGTGTGGACGGTTCACCAGAGCATGGGCTGTTGAACCGGGTTCAAATCCTGGCTCCATCACTTACCAGCTGAACCTCTGGACAAGTCAGCGTCTTTGGGCCTCAGTTACCCCATCTGTAAAATTGGAAGAGTATTGACAGAATATTTATAGGTAGTTTGCTGGTTAAATAAATTAATAGTATCAGTGCTCACAGTGAGCCTGCCACACATTAAGCTGCATACGGGTGTCGTCTGTTAACAGTAATTGCTCCATATCCTCAGGGAATGTGGTCCAAGGTCCCCCGTGGATGCCTGGCACTGCAGGTAGTGCAGAACCCTATATGTTCTGTTCGTTGCTATTCACAGGTACCTATGATAAAGTTTAATTTATAAATTAAGCATAGTACACTTAGGCTTTGAGGCTATTATTATTTTTTTGAGATGGAGTCTCACTCTGTCACCCAGGCTGGAGTGCAGTGGCGCGATGTCGGCTCTGCAAGCTCCGCCTCCCGGGTTCACGCCATTCTCCTGCCTCAGCCTCCCGAGTAGCTGGGACTACAGGCGCCCGGCACCATGCCCGGCTAATTTTTTTGTATTTTTAGTAGAGACGGGGTTTCACCGTGTTAGCCAGGATAGTCTCGATCTCCTGACCTCGTGATCCGCCCGCCTCAGCCTCCCAAAGTGCTGGGATTACAGGCGTGAGCCACCGCACCCGGCCTAGGGGGTGGATTTTCTCAGCATGCTGTTTTGCTTTCATAAATTGTTGTTAAGCTGGGCAGAACCAACAGCCTGGCTCCTGGTGAGCCCTGGGATGGAGGTGGGAGCAGCTGGCCAATGCGATATACTTCCCAGGGCCAGGTGCTGGAAGATAGTGGGGATCGAGGCAGGCAGGTCTCATCCTTAGAGCCCACATCAAGGGGGTAACAGATGGAAGGATGAGCACTGCGAGTGGGGACATGGGGGCCATGAGACCCAGGAGATCAGGGAAGGCTTCCTGGAGGAAGTGAGCAAGAGCTGAGACCTGGTGCACAGGCAGATGTTGGCCAGAGTTTGGCCCAGATTGTGCTGATGCTGGGGGCCTGGGGATCAGAAAAGATGCTGAGATCTTGGGGAGAGAGGGAAGGGAAGCCCAGAGGCCCCGTCCAAGCCCACACCCACCTCACTCTCACCCCTGCTTTTTTCCCTCCAGATCGAGACGCTCCCTCCGGAGCTCTTCCAGTGCCGGAAGCTGCGGGCCCTGCACCTGGGCAACAACGTGCTGCAGTCACTGCCCTCCAGGGTGGGCGAGCTGACCAACCTGACGCAGATCGAGCTGCGGGGCAACCGGCTGGAGTGCCTGCCTGTGGAGCTGGGCGAGTGCCCACTGCTCAAGCGCAGCGGCTTGGTGGTGGAGGAGGACCTGTTCAACACACTGCCACCCGAGGTGAAGGAGCGGCTGTGGAGGGCTGACAAGGAGCAGGCCTGAGCGAGGCCGGCCCAGCACAGCAAGCAGCAGGACCGCTGCCCAGTCCTCAGGCCCGGAGGGGCAGGCCTAGCTTCTCCCAGAACTCCCGGACAGCCAGGACAGCCTCGTGGCTGGGCAGGAGCCTGGGGCCGCTTGTGAGTCAGGCCAGAGCGAGAGGACAGTATCTGTGGGGCTGGCCCCTTTTCTCCCTCTGAGACTCACGTCCCCCAGGGCAAGTGCTTGTGGAGGAGAGCAAGTCTCAAGAGCGCAGTATTTGGATAATCAGGGTCTCCTCCCTGGAGGCCAGCTCTGCCCCAGGGGCTGAGCTGCCACCAGAGGTCCTGGGACCCTCACTTTAGTTCTTGGTATTTATTTTTCTCCATCTCCCACCTCCTTCATCCAGATAACTTATACATTCCCAAGAAAGTTCAGCCCAGATGGAAGGTGTTCAGGGAAAGGTGGGCTGCCTTTTCCCCTTGTCCTTATTTAGCGATGCCGCCGGGCATTTAACACCCACCTGGACTTCAGCAGAGTGGTCCGGGGCGAACCAGCCATGGGACGGTCACCCAGCAGTGCCGGGCTGGGCTCTGCGGTGCGGTCCACGGGAGAGCAGGCCTCCAGCTGGAAAGGCCAGGCCTGGAGCTTGCCTCTTCAGTATTTGTGGCAGTTTTAGTTTTTTGTTTTTTTTTTTTTAATCAAAAAACAATTTTTTTAAAAAAAAAGCTTTGAAAATGGATGGTTTGGGTATTAAAAAGAAAAAAAAAACTTAAAAAAAAAAAGACACTAACGGCCAGTGAGTTGGAGTCTCAGGGCAGGGTGGCAGTTTCCCTTGAGCAAAGCAGCCAGACGTTGAACTGTGTTTCCTTTCCCTGGGCGCAGGGTGCAGGGTGTCTTCCGGATCTGGTGTGACCTTGGTCCAGGAGTTCTATTTGTTCCTGGGGAGGGAGGTTTTTTTGTTTGTTTTTTGGGTTTTTTTGGTGTCTTGTTTTCTTTCTCCTCCATGTGTCTTGGCAGGCACTCATTTCTGTGGCTGTCGGCCAGAGGGAATGTTCTGGAGCTGCCAAGGAGGGAGGAGACTCGGGTTGGCTAATCCCCGGATGAACGGTGCTCCATTCGCACCTCCCCTCCTCGTGCCTGCCCTGCCTCTCCACGCACAGTGTTAAGGAGCCAAGAGGAGCCACTTCGCCCAGACTTTGTTTCCCCACCGCCTGCGGCATGGGTGTGTCCAGTGCCACCGCTGGCCTCCGCTGCTTCCATCAGCCCTGTCACCACCTGGTCCTTCATGAAGAGCAGACACTTAGAGGCTGGTCGGGAATGGGGAGGTCGCCCCTGGGAGGGCAGGCGTTGGTTCCAAGCCGGTTCCCGTCCCTGGCGCCTGGAGTGCACACAGCCCAGTCGGCACCTGGTGGCTGGAAGCCACCCTGCTTTAGATCACTCGGGTCCCCACCTTAGAAGGGTCCCCGCCTTAGATCAATCACGTGGACACTAAGGCACGTTTTAGAGTCTCTTGTCTTAATGATTATGTCCATCCGTCTGTCCGTCCATTTGTGTTTTCTGCGTCGTGTCATTGGATATAATCCTCAGAAATAATGCACACTAGCCTCTGACAACCATGAAGCAAAAATCCGTTACATGTGGGTCTGAACTTGTAGACTCGGTCACAGTATCAAATAAAATCTATAACAGAAAGTGGCCTTTGGAGGTCTTTGTGTCATGGGAGGACGCTTCCCTCACTTCTCTGAAGCCTGCCGGGCCGTGTGGAACGTTGCTTGGGCACCTACAGGAGAGTTAACTCTGCTCATCTCCTGCCCCATGAGACTCTGTGCCTTTGGAGGCAGTTACTGGAGCTTGTAAGCTGGACGCAGCACCTGCTAGGTAACAGGCTGTGACCTGGGCTGGGGATCCCATAGCCAGCACAATCTCTGTCATCCTACTCACCTGTGGTTGGGCACTCATGAGGGGGTTTTTTTGTTGTTGTTGTTTTTTTGACAGGGTCTCATTCTGTCACCTAGAGTGCACTGCTGGAATATAGTGGCGTGATCACGGCTCACTGCAGCCTTGACCTCTCCAGGCTCAGGTGATCTCACCTCGGCCTCCCAAGTAGCTAGGACCACAGGGGCATGCTGGCTAATTTTTTTTTTTTTTTTTTTTTTTTGAGACAGAGTCTTACTCTGTCACCCAGGCTGGAATGCAGTGGCTCGATCTCGGCTCACTGCAACCTCCGCCTCCCAGGTTCAAGTGATTCTCTTGCCTCAGCCTCACGAGTAGCTGGGACTACAGGTGCCTGCCACCATGCCCAGCTAATTTTTGTATTTTTAGTAGAGACAGGGTTTCACCATGTTGGCCAGGCTGGTCTTGATCTCCTGACCTTCTGATCCACCTACCTCAGCCTCCCAAAATGCTGGGATTACAGACATGAGCTACTGCGCCCAGCCGTGCTGGCTAATTTTTGTATTTTTTGTAGGGACGGGGTTTTGCCATGTTGCCCAGGTTGGTCTCGAATCCCTGAGCTCAAGAGATCCACCCACCTCAGCCTCCTAAAGTGCTGGGATTATAGGCGTGAGCCACCGTGCTTGGCCCCTCATGAGTTTTGATGGGTGGGGATGGGAGAGGAGGGCACTGGAATGGGAACCAGTAGTCCTGGGCCTTTGTCCCAGCTTCATGGGACAGGATGTGCATGAAGCTAGGCAGATCCCTTCTCCAGTGGCCTCTGTATCCCCATGTGGACAATGGGAATTTCCACTCTGTGCTCTCAAAGGTCCCTTGCAATTCCAACAGTGAGTCCCAAGTGGTCTACAGAGGTGGGGCTGAGAGTCATCGTGGGGAAGCCTGCCTCAGCTCCCAGCCCCTTTGGGGGCCTTTGGGAGGTAGTGTGGTAAAGGGCAGAGGCTGAGACAGCTGCTTCCAGATGCCAGTTCTGCCGTGTTTGATGTGGGGCTTCAGTGTTCTCATTTGTAAAATCAGGAAGGTAATGGCACACTTGCAGGACTGTTCAAGGAACAATGGCGATTATGTAGGTAGATGGGGTTTTTGGTGGAGGACCTGGCTGCTAGTACCCAATAAATGGCCTTGTATCTTCCACCCAGACCAAGGATCCTTGTGGTGGGCCAACGTGGGCGCCCTGCGGCAGGAGACTGGGTGAGGAAGAAAGGCCATCATATCTGACTTTGACCTTAGTGATGAGGCCTGGGTGGCTGCTTGGGCACCTCCTCTACAACTGGACAGAGTCTATCCCTCCTCCCTCCACGGGGACTCTGACCCCTCCAGGTGAACTCAGGCCTGAGCCAAGATTCCCTCCCTCTTCTCCCCCTGCCATGGGCTGACAGGCTGAGCAGCTGGACTGTGACTGCCGGGCTGGGGCCTTCTTTTCTGTTTCCGTGGTGGAGGTCCCTCCCCCAGTTTGGTACCCTTCCCACCACCCCCCGACCCCACTCCCGCCCCCACCCTGGCCTTGAGGCTGTCCAGCGCCTGGAGCAGGAGAGTTCGATCTGGAGCTGGTTTACATTTGGAAAAAACCACCATGTAGAAACACCGCCCACCCACTTCCCAAAGTTGAGCAGAATGAACAGTTAGTGGGAGGCTGGGCCTCTCCCCTCCCCCTCCCCCACCCACCCAGGGCTCTCCACTCTGCCTAAAACCACTGTGGTGGTCTTCTCTCTGATTGTAACAGCAATTTTGGAAGCTCAAAAAAATTGTTTAAATTATATTCCACCCAGCTGGGCGCGGTGGCTCACGCCTGTAATCCCAGCACTTTGGGAGGCCGAGGCAGGCAGATCACAAGGTCAGGAGATTGAGACCATCCTGGCTAACGCGGTGAAACCCCATCTCTACTAAAAAATATAAAAAATTAGCCAGGCGTGGTGGCAGGCGCCTGTAGGCCCAGCTACTGGGGAGGCTGAGGCAGGAGAATGGCGTGAACCCGGGAGGCGGAGCTTGCAGTGAGCTGAGATTGCGCCACTGCACTCCAGCCTGGGTGACAGAGCGAGACTCCATCTCAAAAAAAATAAATAAAATAAAAAATAAATAAATAAATAATATTCCACTCAGAACAGCCCCTGCTAACATTTGGTGAACAACTTGTTCACCAGTTGGTAGGCACTTACTCAGCGCCAGGCCTGGTGCCAAGCTCTTTATCAGCTGCGAAGCATTCATCTTATTTACTGCTCACAGGGGATCCTACTGCTAGCCCCAAATTACAGACTGGGAAAGTAAGGCCTGAACATCTGGGACGCAAACACAGTCTGCTTCACTGAGTCTCTACTACAAGCCTTCTGTGGGGGCTCCCAGGGGAATGGCTGGCCCAGTCCGAGGGGACCTCAGTGTTCTTGGCACATGGTAGGCATCTGTCTTTGTTGGGCAGTTGCATCAGAAGGGTTAAGGACAGCTGGGAACACATCCTGCCTCTAGTGAACCTCGTGGTTCTGTCATCTGCCTGCCCCTCACCCAGCCTAACCCCTCTGAACCAGGAGCCTGAGCTGCACTTACTGCTCCCCCCTGCCCCCCGGACGGCCTGGACCAAGCAGCAGCTCCCAGAGCGGTGGCCCAGCAAACACGACTTGACTCGAGGCCAAGGCTCTTGAGGGCTGAGCAGTGTCCCCATGCACACTCCTGAAACACTTTGTCCCTTCGCCATTCAGAAGGCATCATTTTGGGGAAGGCAGCAGCCGGTTTTTCAGAGCCAGCGAGTGGCCCTGCCAGCTGCTGAGCAGGGCAAGCTGAGAAGGGTGGTGGTGTGCAAGTGTTATTCTCTCTTTTTGTTTTTGTTTTTGTTTTTTGAGATGGAGTCTTACTCTGTCGTCCAGGCTGGAGTGAGTGCCGTGGCATGATCTCGGCTCACTGCAACCTCCGCCTCCTGGGTTCAAGCGATTCTCCTGCCTCAGCCTCCCGAGTAACTGGGACTACAGGCACCTGCCACCATGCTCGGCTAGTTTTTGGTATTTTTATTTATTATTTATTTATTTATTTTGAGACCGAGTCTCGCTCTGTCGCCCAGGCTCTAGTGCAGTGGCCCAATCTCGGCTCACTGCAAGCTCCGCCTCCCGCGTTCACGCCATTCTCCTGCCTCAGCCTCGCGAGCAGCTGGGACTACAGGTGCCCGCCACCACGCCCGGCTAATTTTTTGTATTTTTAGTAGAGACGGGGTTTCACCGTGTTAGCCAGGATGGTCTCGATTTCCTGACCTCGTGATCCGCGCGCCTCTGCCTCCAAAGTGCTGGGATTACAGGCCCGAGCCGCCGCACCCGGCCTGCAGGTGTTGTTCTGACCCCAGCTCCACTGTGCCAGCCCGACTTGAGATGCCAAGTATCTTGGGCCTGAGGGTGGGTAACAGGAAGCATCTCTCTCTCCTCAGCCCCTTCCTCCTACTAAGATACCCCATGTCTCCTACTTTCGTCTGAGCTGCAGATGGATGCGTTAATTCCCTTCCATAATCCTCCCAGGACCGAGAGGGTTTCAGATCGGTGCTGGGAGGGGCCCAGATAGTTCTCCCCAGGACCTCTTCCACCTTTGGAATGCCCATTACCTGGAGAAGGGGGGTGCCGCACATCCCCCAGACCAACCCTGCATCCCATTCTATCCAGATTGAGGCCTAGAGAGAGGCAGGCGTTCCTCAGAGTCACAGGGAATGGCGGCGCCTGGACTGGGACTCAGCCCAGCTGCTTGGCCTGACCCTCTCACAGCATAATTTCCCGGCACCTGGTAAGCAGTGGTGGGGGGTGGTTTCCAGAAGAAACACAGAGGAAGCAGATAAAATCCTTGGAGATGGGAAAGGGCAAATCCTGGATTAGTTGTGGGGGTGGGGGAGATTAGCCTGGAGGTCACAGGCTGATCTGGCTGTGTCTAGGGAAGGAGGGTTGGGTGGTGGGACCGGGTTTTCTCCGGGTAGGGAAGGGTTAAGTCCTCCCAGGCTCCTAAACTTTCTCCTCCCCACCAGGAGGCCGCGCTTAGAAGCCGCCCAGTGCCCTGAGCGTCTCCATGGCCTGCCTGAGCCCCTCGCAGCTCCAGAAGGTAGGAGCCTGCAAGTCGGGGCCGGGAGGGTCATGGCGGGGGGGTCCCTGCCGGACCTTCAGTAGTCCCAGTGCCCAACCCACCCCCTGCCCCATTTTACCGAGGACGAAACTGAAGCCCAGAGGAGCGGGTTCCCAACCGCAACCCCTCCTGACTTCTTCACACATAGCCCTGGGTGTCTAGATCACAGGACCCAGGGTAGGGTGGGGTGGGGACGTGTGTGTTTGACCAAAAACGAGAATAAGGCCTCGGAACCCACCAGTTCAGCCCTGGGCGGGAGTCGGCAACGCTGTTGGGGGGCGCAGCGCCCAGGAGGGGGCGGGGCCTGCGAGGGGCCCAGGAGGGCCCATGTTCGTCCAATCACAAAAGGCTACCTCGTAGGAATTAGTGTGCAACAGCCTTTTAAAAAATCACTCATACATTCCTACGCTGAGACTTAATATTTTCGTATACAGCTCTAGAAGCTTTGTTTCAAAGTCTGTTACAACAGCTACCACGAATCAAGTGCTGGACAGGTTTTTTTGGGAGGGTAGGGAGGAGACGGGGTCTTGCCACAGGCACACGCCCCCATGCCCAGCTCTTTTTTTTTTTTTTTTTTTTTTTTTGAGACGGAGTTTTGCTCTTGTTGCCCAGGCTGGAGTGCAATGGCACAATCTTGGCTCACCACAACCTCTGACTCCCAGGTTCAAACGACTCTCCTACCTTAGCCTCCCGAATAGCTGGGATTACAGGCATGCGCCACCACACCTGGCTAATTTTGTATTTTTAGTAGAGACAGGATTTCACCATGTTGGCCAGACTGGTCTTGAACTCTTGACCTCAAGTGATCCGCCTGCCTTGGCCTCCCAAAGTGCTGGGATTACAGGCGTGAGCCACCGTGCCCGGTCCTATTTTTATTTTTGCAGAGATGGGGTCTCACTTTGTTGCCCAGGCTGGTCCAGAGCTCCTGGGCTAAAGCGATCCTCCTGCCTTGGCCTTCCAAAGTGCTGGGACAACAAGGCATGAGCCACCGCGCCCAGCCTGCCAGCTTCAATAAAGGAGGCTGTACTGCTATCCCCGTTTGGTAGCCCGAGGGCCAGAGAAAGGAGGGCACTTACTTGGTCAAGTTCTCACAATGGCCAGATAATCATGTATAGCCAATCTTTGAGAGGAAATATGTTTCTACATGATTTTTATCAGCTATACTGTGTTCCAGATAGATAAACTATACTTTGTTAAACTAATCCCCTTGCGCTGAGCATTTAGATTACTCCCCACTTGGTTCTGTCATGAAACAAGGCTCAGTGAATATCCCCATATGTATATGTATATCTTTGATCCCCTATTGCGTAATCCTCCTAAAACAATTCCTAGCTGTGGCTCACGTCTGTAATCCCAATCCACTTTGTGATGCCAAGGTGGGAGGATCGCTTGTGCACAGGAGTTCAAGACCAGCTTGGGCAATATAGCAAGACTCCTTCTCTAAAAAAAAATAAAACTGGCCAGGCGCGGTGGCTCACCTCTGTAATCCCAGCACTTTGGGAGGCCAAGGCAGGCGGATCACCTGAGGTCAGGAGTTGGAGACTAGCCTGGCCAACATGGCGGAACCCTGTCTCTACTAAAAATACAAAAATTTAGCTGGGCGTGGTGGCGCACACCTGTAATCCTAGCTACTCAGAAGGCTGAGGCTGGAGAATCACTTGAACCCCGAAGGCAGAGTTTGCAGTGAGCTGAGATCATGCCACTGCACTCCAGCCTGGTCAACAGAACAAGACTGCGTCTCAAAAATAAAATAAACAGGCCGGGCGCAGTGGCTCATGCCTGTAATCCTAGCACTTTGGGAGGCCGAAGTGGGCGGATCACAAGGTCAGGAGATCAAGACCATCCTGGCTAACATGGTGAAACCCCGTCTCTACTAAAAAACACAAAAAAATTAGCTGGGCATGGTGGCGGGCGCCTGTAGTCCAAGCTACTCGGGAGGCTGAGGCAGGAGAATGGTGTGAACCCGGGAGGCGGAGCTTGCAGTGAGCTGAGATCGCGCCACTGCGCTCCAACCTGGGCAACAGAGTGAGACTCTGTCTCAGAATAAAGTAAAATAAAATAAAATAAACAATAAAATAAATAAAATTAGCCAGGCGTGGTGGTGTGCACCTGCAGTCCCAGCTACTCGGGAGACTGAGGCAGGAGGATTGATTGAGCCCAGAAGTTCAAGGCTGCAATGAGCTATGATCACATCACTACTCTCCAGCCTGGGTGACAGAGAGAGACCCTGTCTCTTAAAAAAAAAAAAAAAGAAGAAGGAAAGAAAAGAGAAAAGGGCTGGGTGCGGTGGCTCATGCCTGTAATCCCAGCATTTTGGGAGTCCGAAGTGAGTGGATCACCTGAGGTCAGGAGTTCGAGACCAGCCTGGCCAACATAGTGAAACCCCATCTCTACTAAAAATACAAAAATTAGCCAGGTGTGGTGGTGCATTCCTGTAATTCCAACTACTCGGGAGGCTGAGGCAGGAGAATCACTTAACCCTGAGAGGTAGAGGTTGCGATGAGCTGAGATCATGCCATTGCACTCCAGCCTGGGCAACAAGAGTGAGACTCCGTCTCAAAAAGAAAAAAAAGGAAAAAAAGAATTCCTAGCTGTATTTGTGTATTTACTGGATCAAGGGTATGTTGCACAGGTTGCTGTGGTTGGCCCAATTCCCAAGGAGGCAATTTTCAGCTTGATACTGATGTGATTAATTCCTAACATGCAGAGCTGAGGGGCCCATGGTGGGTGGTCATGAGTGGTGTGTGGAAGCCAGAACTGAGCATCCCATGGTGGCGGAAGGGGTGTCCTTAACCGGAAACTAGGCTCTTTGTGGGTGTGTGCAGTAAGTGACTTTCTTTTCTTTTTCTTTCTTTTTTTTTTTTTTGAGATGAAGTCTTGCTTGGTCTTCTAGGCTAGAGCGCAGTGGCGTGATCTCAGCTCACTGCAACTTCTGCTTGCTGAGTTCAAATGATTCTCCTGCCTCAGCCTCCCGAGTAGCTGGGATTACAGGTGCCCGCCACCGCACCTGGCTAATTTTTGTATTTTTAGTAGAGACAGGGTTTCACCTTGCTGGCCAGGCTAGTCTCCGACTCCTGACCTCAAGCAATCCACCCAGCTTGACTTCCCAAACTGTTGGGATTATAGGTGTGAGCCACCATGCCCAGCAGTAGGTGACTTTCAGTGTCCCTGTTGGGGCTAAAACTTGGTAACGCTCTGCAGGCAAATGTGCAGATATTCATTCCCTCCCTTTCTCTCTCAAGAGCCTCAGAATAAGAGGACCAGAGGCAAATCAGAAGAAGCCATCTACTTCCCCTCCCTGGCTGCCACTGCGCTCAGGATAGAATATAGCTCCCAGCCTGGCCCAGCCCCTGCCACCCTCCTGCCTCCTCTTCCACCCCTCCCCTCACTCTGCCCTATCCATTCCCAATTCCTTATGTTCCTCCCAAATTCAGGGGCTTCCCATATCCTGCTCCCTCTGTCTGGAATGCCCTTCCCTTATCCTGCTGGTCCCCTCTTGAAATGTCACTCCCTCAGCGCTGCTGCTCCCAGACCCTTCTCCTTCCCAGCCAGCTTACGCTAGCTGCTTCTGCCTTCAGCACTCACACTCATCCTCTCTCTCTGGCACGAAGTTTGTGACAGTAAATTTACCTGTGTGGTTAGTGTAATGCCGGTCTCTTTCACTAGACTGTAGACACCATGAGGGCAGGCATCATGGCTGGCTTGCTTATAGCCATACTTTTAGCTCCTAAAACCGTGTCTCAGACACAGTAGATGCTCAATCAATATTGGCTGAATACATGAATAAGGTTGTGTTTCCAGGTGACCCAAGCCTGGAGGGGAAGGGCAGGGACAACTTTCCCTTGCCGCTCCTTTTTCTTTTCTTTTTTTGAGACGGAGTTTCGCTTTTGTTGCCCAGGCTGGAATGCAATGGCATGATCTCGGCTCACTGCAACCTCCACCTCCTGGGTTCAAGCTATTCTCCTGCCTCCAAGCTATTCTCCTGCCTCAGCCTCCCGAGGAGCTGGGATTACACAGGCATGCGCCACCACACCTGGCCAAGTTTTTGTATTTTTAGTAGAGATGGGGTTTCACCATGTTGGTCAGGCTGGTCTGGAACTCCCGACCTTAAGTGATCCTCCCAAAGTGCTGGGATTACAGGCGTGAGCCACTGTGCCCAGCTTCCTTTTTCTTTTTCTTTCTTTTTTTTTTTTTTTTTTCGAGGTGGAGTCTCATCTGTTGCTCAGGCTGGAGTGCAGTGGTGAGATCTCGGCTCACTGCAACCTCCGCCTCCTGGGTTCAAGTGATTCTCCTGCCTCAGCCTCCCAAGTAGCTGGGACTACAGGCATGCACCACCATGCCCAGCTAACCATGCCCTGGCTGGTTTGAGACCAGCCAGGATGGTCTCAAACTCATGACCTCAAGTTATTGCCCGCCTCAGCCTCTCAAAGTGCTGGGATTAGAGGCATGAGCCACTGCACCCGGCCTCACTACTTGTTCTTCCATTCAAGCAGCCAATATTGATTGCTCTTTGCTGGGTGCCAGACTCCATGCCTGGGGTTGGGGACAGGGCAGCAAACAAGATACCTGGTCCCACCTTCACACAGCTGCAAGGTTGAGGGAAGGGTCAGACAGGAGCATTTGCAGACTGGGGAAGCCTGAGTCTCAAGCCTGCCTGCAGTTCCAACAGGATGGATTCCTGGTGCTGGAAGGATTCTTGTCTGCGGAAGAGTGTGTGGCCATGCAACAAAGGATTGGCGAGATAGTGGCTGAAATGGATGTTCCTCTCCACTGCCGCACAGAATTCTCCACCCAGGAAGAGGAGCAGCTTCGAGCCCAGGTAGGTGTCTGGGGCACATGAGGATGGGATGTGGCTTTTGAGGGAGGGCTTGGTCCCCGGCCAGAGCAGCATCGTGGAAGGGAGGATCCCAAGGCTCCAGGGTGTCAGGCCAAGCCCCTTACACACCTTTCCCTCGCTCCTCACTGGGAAGTTATCAAGTAGGCTTTATTGTCCTTTTTTTTTTTCTTTTTTCTTTTAAAACAGAATCTCACTCTGTTGCTCAGTCTGGAATTCAGTGGCGCGATCTCAGCTCACTGCAACCTCCGCCTCCCGGGTTCAAGTGATTCTCCTGCCTCAGCCTCCTGAGTAGCTGCACTTACAGGCATGCGCCACCAGGCCCGGCTAATTTTTGTATTTTTAGTAGAGACAGGGTTTCATCATGTTGGTCAGGCTGGTCTTGAACTCCTGATCTCCAGGTGATCCACCAGCCTCAGTCTCCCAAAGTGCTGAAATTACAGGCTATTATTATCCCCCCATTAGACAGTTGGGGAAAATTAGGTTCAGATCACTTGCCCCAAGCCACACAGTTAGTAGTGGACAGAGTCAGGATTTCAACCCAGATCTGTCTGATACCAAGTCCCTGCTGTTCCCAGCTTGGCTTTACTTTCTGTTTTCCGGCTGTTCTCTGGTCACCGAAGGCCACTTTGTGGCCAGCCACCTGGAATGAGCACAGTGGTCTGGATGACCCCCACCTGTGTAACTATCCCCCATGAGACTAGGAACTCAGATTTTCTCCCCCCAGTGACCGAATAGGTCACATGATAGGACCCAGTACAGTTTGCAATGGGTAAATTGAAGACTCTGGGGTCTCCCACACCGTTCTCTTGACCCTTCCTAGTCAGAGTTTATTATGAGCCTGCTTGCGCCTGGGCCAGGTGAGATCCTGGCACTCACGCCGAGGAGCACCTGCCATCTGGTGGGCATTAGCAGAAATACAACAGCCGGAAGCCATCCCAGGGAATGGGAAGAATGGGGTCTTGAGAAGGAAAAAGAACCAGTTAAGGAATGACAGTTTCTTCCAAAAAGCTGGTCTCATTTGCTGCACAGCTGCCTTCCATTCGGGGGGATACTGGGGGAAGCAGAGACAGCTCCTGCAGCCAGAGACAGGCAGGCCACTCAAGGGTTCCTAGGAGTAAGAAGGGCCGAATCCTGTGCCCTCCAAGCTGCCTTCAGAGACTAATGGGTTGTGGGGTGGGAAGAAAGTGAGAATAAAGCTGATATATTGGCCGGGCGCAGTGACTCACGCCTGTAATCCCAGCACTTTGGGAGGCCGAGGTGGGTGGATCATCTGAGGTCAGGAGTTTGAGACTAGCCTGGCCAACATGGTGAAACCCTGTTTCTACTAAAAATACAAAAATTAGCTGGGCCAGGTGATGCATACCTGTAATCCCAGCTACTTGGGAGGCTGAGACAGGAGAATCGCTTGAACCCAGGAAGTGGAGGTTGCAGTGGGCCAAGATCATGCCACTGCACTCCAGCCTGGGCAACAGAGCAAGAATCCTGTCTCAAAAAAAAACAAAAACAAAAACAAAAAACTGATATATCTTGGTTTATAATGCATGCAAAGAAAAGAGCTTGGCATGGTGCCCAGCACTCAGTAACATCCTCAATATTCACTCTTGATACTGTGAGAAAAAAAAAGATCAGTGGGCGTCCTGTTTCATTTTCTTGGGTTACCTCCAGCTTTCCTTGTTTGAGTTATTTTACAACACTGTAAGTTGGATAAAACTGATAATAATGCACATGATACTTGTCCAAGTAGGGGGTCAGTACCACTCTGTTCCAATCACGTTACCATGAACTGGGTCCTGGGGAATGCAATTATTGCCCTGTGGATAGAACAGTTGGGCAGCTGGGTGTGGTGGCTCATGCCTGTAATCCCAGCAGTTTGGGAGGCCAAGCAGGGAGGATCGCTTGAGCCCAGGAATTCGCAAACAGCCTGGTCAACAAAGTGAGACCTGTCTCTACAAAAAAATTTTTTTAAATTAGCTGGGCATGGTGGTATATGCCTGTGGTCCCAGCTACATGGGAGGCTGAGGCAGAAGGATCACTTGGGGCCAGGAGGTTGAGGCTGCAGTGAGCTATAATCATGCCACTGCACTCCAGTCTGGGTGGGTGATAAAGAAAGACCCTGTCTCAAAAAAACAAAACAAAACAAAAAACAGTTTGCATCTATCTCTAAATTCATTTCAAGGGCCAGGAGTGGTGGCTTATACCTGTAATCCCAGCACTTTGGGAGGCTGAAACAGGCAGATCGCTGGAGGTCAAGGGTTCAAGACTAGCCTAGGGAACATGGTGAAACCCGGTCTCTACCAAAAATACAAAAATTAGCTGGGCATGGTGGCAGGCGCCGGCGGTCCCAGCTACTTGGGTGGCTGAGGCAGGAGAATCGCCTGAACCCTGAAGGGAGAGTTTGCAGTGAGCTGAGATTGTGCCACTGCACTCCAGCCTGGGTGACAGAGCGAGATTCTATCTCAAAAAAAAAAAAATTCATTTCAGTTTCCTTAGTATCTACATACGTGTGTGTGTAATTCTTGGAATTCTCCTTTGAACCAGTTGTAACATCTTACTGGTTCCCTCATGAAATAACGAATTCAGTAAAATATTTGACATATGCTTAGCATCATTACCTTTAATATTTTTACCATCCAGGCATGGTGGCTCAAGCCTATAATCCTAGCACTTTGCAAGGCCAAGGCAGTGGACAAATCACTTGAGCTCAGGAGTTTGAGACCAGCCTGGGCAACATGGTGAAACCCTGTCTCTACAAAAAATACAAAAAAAAAAAAAATTAGTCGTGGCCGGGCATGGTGGCTCATACCCGTAATCCCAGCACTTTGGGAGGCCAAGGCAGGCAGATCATTTGAGCCCAGGAGTTCAACACCAGCCTGAGCAACATGGCAAAACCCCATCTCTACCAAAAATCCAAGAAAATTAGTTGAGAGTGGTGATGCACGTGTGTAATCCTGGCTACTTGGGAGGCTGAGACAGGAGGATAGCTTGAACCCAGGAGATGGAGGTTGCAGTGAGCCAAGATTGCGCCACTGGACTCCAGCCTGGGGGACAGAGTGAAACCCTGTCTCAAAAAAAAAAAAAAAATTAGGCATGGTGGTGTGAACTTGTAGTTCTAGCTACTTAGGAGGCTGAGGTGGAAGGATCACCTGAGCTCAGGAAGTCAAGGCTACAGTGAGCCGTGATCCCATTGCACCATTCACTCCAGCCTGGCCAACAAAATGAGACACTGTCTTTTTAAAAAAAAAAAAACAAACCCTGGCATGGTGGCTCATGCCTGTAATCCCAGCACTTTGGGAGGCTGAGGTGGGCAGATCACCTGAGGTCAGGAGTTCAAGACCAGCCTGACCAACATGGAGGTTGAGGTGAGCCAAGATCGCGCTAATGCACTCCAGCCTGGGCAAGAGTGAACCTCCGTCTCAAAAAAAAAAAGAAAAAAACAAACAAAAAAAGCACCTCGGCCGGGTGCAGTGGCTTACGCCTGTAACCCCAGCACTTTGGGAGGCCGAGGCGGGGGGATCACAAGGTCAGGAGATCGAGACCATCCTGGCTAACACAGTGAAACCCCATCTCTACTAAAAATACAAAAAATTAGCTGGGTGTGGTGGCGGGCACCTGTAGTCCCAGCTACTCGGGAGGCTGAGGCAGAAGAATGGCGTGAACCCGGGAGGCGGAGCTTGCAGTGAGCCGAGATTGGGTCACTGCACTCCAGCCTGGGCGACAGAGCGAGACTCTGTCTCAAAAAAAAAAAAAAAAAGGCACCTCAATTTCTTCTTCTATAAAATGGAGATTATAGTAGACCCTACCTCTCTGGGTTTTGGGAGGCTGAGTAAGATAACACATGTACAGGCATGTCTCAGAGATAATTCAGGTTTGGTTCCAGACCACTGCAATAGAGCCAGGATTTTTTTGTTTTGTTTGAGATATATTTTCGCTCCTGTCATGCAGGCTGGAGTGCAGTGGCGTGATCTCAGCTCACTGCAATCTCCACCTCCTGGATTCAAGTGATTCTCCTTCCTCAGCCTCCAGAGTAGCTGGGATTACAGGCGTGTGCCACCACGTCCTGCTAATTTTTGGATTTTTATTAGAGACGTGGTTTCACCATGTTGGCCAGGCTGTCTCGAACTCCTGACCTTAGGTGATCCACCCGCCTTGGCCTCCCAAAGTGCTAGGATTACAAGCATGAGCCACAGCACCCATCCTAGAGCCAGGATTTAAACCCAAGGATTTCAGCTCCAGAATCTGTGTCCTAACTGCTATAAGATTCAGCCTCTGGCTGAAGCCTCCAAGAATTGAGGAGGTCAGTTTTTTGTTTTTCTTTTTCTTTTTTTTTTGAGACGGAGTCTCGCTCTGTCACCCAAGCTGGAGTGCAGTGGCGCGATCTCGGCTCACTGCAAGCTCCGCCTCCTGGGCTCACGCCATTCTCCTGCCTCAGCCTCTGGAGTAGCTGAGACTACAGGCGCCCGCCACCACACCCGGCTAATTTTTTGTATTTTGTTTAGTAGAGACAGGGTTTCACCGTGTTAGCCAAGATGGTCTCGATCTCCTGACCTCGTGATCCGTCCGCCTCAGCCTCCCAAAGTGCTGGGATTACAGGCGTGAGCCACCTCGCCCGGCCTTTCTTTCTTTCTTTCTTTCTTTTTGAGATGGAGTTTTGCTCTTGTTGCCCAGACTGGAGTGCAATGGTGCGATCTTGGCTCATTGCAACCTCCACCTCCTGGGTTCAAGCAATTCTCCCATCTCAGCCTCCCAAGTAGCTGGGATTACAGGTGCATGCTACCACGCCCGGCTAATTTTTGCATTTTTAGTAGAGATGGGGTCTCATCATATTGGTCAGGCTGGTCTCAAACTCCTGACCTCGGGTGATCTGCCCACCTCAGCCTCCCAGAGTGCTGAGATTAAAGGCATGAGCCACCGCACCCGGCCTGGGGAAGTCAGTTCTATTATTATTATTATTATTGTTATTATTATTATTATTTTTTTTTTTTGAGATGGAGTCTCGCACTGTCACCCGGGTTGGAGTGCAATGGCACAATCTCAGCTCACTGCAACCTCTGCCTCCTGGGTTCAAGCGATTCTCCTGCCTCAGCCTCCTGAGTAGTTGGGATTACAACAGGTGCCCACCACCACACTCGGCTAATTTTTTGTACTTTTGTTTTTATTTTTATTTTTTCTTGAGATGGAATTTCGCTCTTGTTGCCCAGGGTGGAGTGCAATGGCACGATCTTGGCTCACCGCAACCTCCGCCTCCCAGGTTCAAGCAATTCTCCTACCTCAGCCTCCCGAGTAACTGGGATTACAGGCATGCGCCACCATGCCCGGCTAATTTTGTAATTTTAGTAGAAATGGGGTTTCTCCACGTAGGTCAGGCTGCTCTTGAACTCCTGACCTCAGGTGGTCTGCCCTCCTTGGCCTCCCAAAGTGCTGGGATTACAGGTGTGAGCCACTGCACCCAGCAATTTTTTGTATTTTTAGTAGAGACGGGGTTTCACTATGTTTGCCAGGTTGGTCTTGAACTCCTGATCTCGTGATCCGCCTGCCTCAGCCTCCCAAAGTGCTGGGATTACAGGTGTGAGCCACAGTGCCTGGTTGGTCAGTTCTATTATTATTCCTTATTTATTTATTTATTTATTTATTTATTTATTTATTTATTTTTTGAGACAGAGTCTTGCTCTGTTGCCTAGGCCAGAGTGCAGTGGCCCAATCTTGGCTCACTGCAAGCTCTGCCTCCCGGGTTCACGCCATTCTCCTGTCTCAGCCTCCGGAGTAGCTGGGACTACAGGTGCCTGCCACCATGCCCGGCTAATTTTTTGTATTTTTTTTAGTAGAGACGGGGATTTCACCATGTTAGCCAGGATGGTCTCGATCTCCTGACCTCGTGATCCGCCCACCTCGGCCTCCCAAAGTGCTGGGATTACAGGCATGAGCCACTGCACCCAGACTTTTTTTTTTTTTTTTTTTTTTGAGACAGAGTCTCACTCTGTCGCCCAGGCTGGAGTGCATAGTGCAATCTCGGCTCACTGCAACCTCCGCCTCCCATGTTCAAGTTATTCTCCTGCCTCAGCCTCCCGGGTACCTGGGACTACAGGTGCCTACCACGCCCAGCTGTTTTTTGTATTTTTAGTAGAGACAAAGTTTCACCATGTTGGCCAGGCTGGTCTCGAACTCCTGGCCTCAAGTGATCTGCCTCAATATGCTGGGATTACAGGTGTGAGTCGTTACTCCCAGCCATTATTATTCCTTTTTTTACAGATGAGAAAATGAAGTCTTGGTGACATAAAACCAGGGGCCCAAGGCTGCTAGGGAACCAGCCCTATTCGACTCTAGCATCCATGTTCTGAATCACAGTATAGTGAGGTGTCCAAGAAATTCCATGTTTGCATCTTTGGGGTGTGCTTCCAGGCACTTGAAGTTCTGGCTCACTGTCTGTGCCTCAGTGGACAAGTCTGAGAAGCCCCCAGGGTGTCTGTAACCCTGTGAGGGTGGGAAGCTTCTGAATCCGCCTCCCTCTTTGCCAGGCCCAGCTCTGACCCCAGGATGCTGTCTCAGTCCTCTGATGTCCCCTTTCCACAGGGCAGCACAGACTATTTCTTGAGCAGTGGTGACAAGATTCGATTCTTCTTTGAGAAAGGCGTTTTTGATGAGAAAGGTTTGGAGCTGGGGCCCTAGAGCTGGGGAGGAGCCATGGTGAGGGTAGGCTGGACCTGGGAATCTGCCCCCTGGGCTGGAAGCATGCTGAAGCCAGCTGCCCATGGAAGGCTGGACACCAGTTCTCTGCCTTTATCTGTTCTTTGTGCCACAGGAAATTTCCTGGTCCCTCCGGAGAAATCCATCAACAAAATTGGCCACGGTGAGCAGGGGCTTGGGGGTACAGGAAAGAAGATCGGGGAACAGGCTGGGAGTGGTGGCTTACACTTGTAATCCTAACTAACACTTTGAGAAGTCAAGGTGGGCAGATCACTTGAAGTCAGGAGTTCAAGACCAGTCTGGCCAACATGGTGAAACCCCATCTCTACTAAAAATAGAAAAAATTAGGTGAGTGTAGTGGTGCACACCTGTAGTCCCAGCTACTCAGGAGGCTGAGGCAGGAGAATTGCTTGAACCTGGGAGGCGGATGTTGCAGTGAGCTGAGATGTGCCATTGCACTCCAGCCTGCCTGGGTGACAGAGACAGAGTGAAACCCTGTTAAAAAAAAAAAAAAAAGAAAAGGAAAAAGCATGGGGAAACTGGGGAAACTGAAGCCTGAAGAGTTTAGGAGCTTTAATGAAAGCCCATAGTGGCTGGGCGTGGTCGTTCACGTCTGTAATCCCAGGACTTTGGGAGGCCAAGGTGGGTGGATCACCTGAGGTCGGGAGTTCAAGACCAGCCTGACCAATGTGGAGAAACCCTGTCTCTACTAAAAATACAAAATTAGCTGAATATGGTTGCGCATGCCTGTAATCCCAGCTACTTGGGAGGCTGAAGCGGGAGAATAGCTTGAACCCGAGAGGCTGAGGCTGCAGTGAGCCGATATCATGCCATTGCACTCCAGCCTGGGCAACAAGAGTGAAACTCCGTCTCAAAAAAAAAAAAAAGCAAACAAGAAAGAAAGCCCATAGTAAATTAGTGGTCGGGTAAATGGCATTTGTGGCTTCAGGCTCCCCTCTGGTCTTGGGCCCCTCTGCTAATCATGACACTGCTGCCACAGCACTGGGGATAGGGGGTCCACCTGATCCCCCCTAACAGGTGGGCATGTGCAGGCTCTCTACTGCCTGGCCTGGGGGAGCTCCTGGGTCCAGTGCTCCCTAGAGCCACCCTAAGGGGCACCTGACCTGCTGACAGGGTCCCTATTCTGACACCCCAAAGTCAAGTAAGAAAACCCTCACTTTTTTTCTTTAGGATCATACATTATAATTTGTTTTATAGGCTATTTATTTTTTTAAATAAAATTGAGAGGAGGTCTCGTTATGTTGCCTAGGCTGATCTTCAACTACCGGGCTCAAGTGATCCTCCTGCCTTGGCCTCTCAAAATGCTGGGATTATAGGCATAAGCCACTGCACTTGGCCTAGAATGCTTATTGTTAAGCCTGAAGTTATATCATGGTAAGCTTGTAGACAAGTTGTGGTAAAATACACGTAAGATTTACCATATCATTGCCGGGCGTGGTGGCTCACGCCTGTAATCCCAGCACTTTGGGAGGCTGAGGTGGGCGGATCACGAGGTCAGGAGATCGAGACCATCCTGGCTAACACAGTGAAACCCTGTCTCTACTAAAAACACAAAAAATTAGCCGGACCTTGTTGTGGGCGCCTGTAGTCCCAGCTACTGCCACTGCACTCCAGCCTGGGCAACAGAGCGAAACTCTGTCTCAAAAAAAAAAAAAAAAAGAAAAGATTTACCATATCATCATAACCCTTTTAAAGTACGTAGCTTGGCCGGGCGCGGTGGTTCACGCCTGTAATCCCAGCACTTTGGGAGGCCGAGGCGGGTGGATCACGAGGTCAGGAGTTCAAGACCAGCCTGGCCAATATGGTGAAAAACCATTTCTACTAAAAATACAATAATTAGCTGGGCGTGGTGGCACATGCCTGTAGTCCCAGCTGCTCAGGAGGCTGAGGCAGGAGAATCGCTTGAACTAGGGAGGTGGAGGTTGCAGTGAGCCGAGATTGTGCCACTGCACTCCAGCCTGGGCGACAGAGTGAGACTCCATCTCAAAACTAAATAAATAAATAAAAATAAAAAGTACATAGCTCAGTGGTATTAAATGCATTCAATCTTATGTTTATGACAATGAGGGACTATCCCATGCCAGGCCCTGGGCTGTCCCTGCACATTCATTAGCCCATCGAGTCCCACACCAGTCCTGCCTCCCAGGTTCTTCTAATCCTCATTTGACAGAAGAGGAAACTGAGGCTTACAGGAGAGAAATGGTTACCCGAGGCCACACAGAGCAAATGGTGGTACCGAGATTGCTCCGCATGATTGGTGCCTTGGAGCCCTTAGTCGTCTGTGAGGGGTGGGGAGTCGGGGCTGGACTGAGCTTCCCAGAAGGTCAAGAATAAGGGCATGGGTGGCATAGGGCCTGGGGTGGGGGCAAGGCTCCTGTGGAGCCCATTACTCAGTTGTAAACAAGCAGAAGGGTTAATGCCTACAAAGTAAGTGAGAATGTCAAAGTAAGCCTGAGTGTGGGTGCCCAGAGCTGGGTGTGGAGGGACACGTGGGCCTGAGATGGGGCCGACAGCTTCCTTCTGTCCCATAGCTCTGCACGCCCACGACCCCGTCTTCAAGAGCATCACACACTCCTTCAAGGTGCAGGTGAGCAGAGGTGGGGGTGAGGGCCAGGAGGGTGGGCCATGTGTGGCAGGCTGGCAGCATGACCTTTGCCCCCCTCCAGACCTTGGCCAGAAGTCTGGGCCTCCAGATGCCCGTGGTGGTGCAGAGCATGTACATCTTTAAGGTGAGCTCCTTGTCCTTGCCTCAGTTTACCATCTGTAAAATGGGCAGACTGCTCATACCAAGCCCTTCCTTACAATGGGCCAAAAGTTGCTGGAATTATTATGTTGGTGGGAGAACATGGAAAATCGGTCTCCTCTGGCTAAAGCACCTGGAACTTAGTTGATCCTCAGTTAAAATTTGGTGGTAGGGGCCGGGCGTGGTGGCTCATGCCTGTAATCCCAGCACTTTGGGAGGCTGAAGCGGGCAGATCACCTGAAGTCAGGAGTTCGAGATCAGCCTGGCCAACATGGAGAAACCCCATCTCTACTAAAAATACAAAAATTAGCCGGGCGTGATGGCACACACCTGTAGTCCCAGCTACTCGGGAGGCTGAGGCAGGATAATTGCTTGAACCCAGGAGGTGGAGGTTACAGTGAGTGGAGATCACGCCAATGTACTCTAGCCTGGGGGATAGAGCAAGGCTCCGTCTCAAAAAAAAGAAAAATTTGGCCAGGCGCAGTGGCTCACGCTTGTAATCCCAGCTCTCAGGGAGGCAGAGGTGGGAGGGTAGCTTGAACCCAGGAGTTTGAGACCTGCCTGGGCAATATAGCGAGACCCCATTCTCCACAAAAAGGAAGAAAAAAAAAAAGAAAAAAAAATTTGGTGGTAGGAGGGAGGGTCATCCCCAGGCCTCCCTCGGCCTTCCTCCTCCCTTCTTTGGCAATTGAAATGCTGTGCTCCCAGCTTTCAAGGGCCAGCTCAGTGCCACCTCTTCTAAGAAGCCTTCCAGAACCCCTGAGGAAAGAAGGACCCATCTGACTCTGGGGCTGGAAGGCTCAACTGCTGGCCTGTGTCCTAGCCTCTCCCTCCAGTCCTTGCCCTGCTCTGCTCTGTGATCTTGTTAGGCATGTGTGTGCTTGCACATGCTAGGAGCTTGTTGGGCAGGGGTGGGGGTTTTCTCTTTGCATCCCTCCTGGGGCTGGCATATGGTAGGTGCTCAGTAGCTGGGTGTTGATGTGGAATCCTGAGAGGAAAATGCCTGTGGCCAGAGCAATAGCATCCTGGGAGTCTCAGCAAGCCCAGCTCCTCTCTGCTCTCTTCTGTCCTCACCAGGCTTTTCCTCTCTCTTGCAGCAACCTCACTTTGGCGGTGAAGGTGAGCTGAGAGCTGTGGGCCCCTGAAAAGGCCATGGGTGGGACATCTAAGACAGCAATGGTTCTCAGATCTTCAGAAGGAGGGAAAGCGCTTGCTCCTGTCTGTTGTAGGAGCCTGGCCCGGAGAGGAGGAGCCACCTTCCATTCCTTCCCCTGATAGTGGATTGGTAGGGAAACCTTGCGTCCTTGGCATAGTGGGTCCTGAGCCTGCCAGCAACCCCAGCTGGTTAAAAATATAGATTTCCTAGGACAGGCGTGGTGGCTCATGCCTGTAATCCCAGCAATTTGGAAGGCAGAGGCGAGCGGATCACCTGAGGTCAGGAATTCGAGACCAGCCTGGCCAACATGCTGAAGCCCCATCTCTACTAAAAATACAAAAATTTTGGTGGGTGTAGTATCGCACACCCGTAGTCCTAGCTACTCAGGCGGCTGAGGCAGGAGAATCGCTTGAACCCAGGAGGCAGAGGTTGCAGTGAGCCAAGATCACACCACTGCACTCCAGCCTGGGTGACAGAGTGAGACTCTGTCTCAAAACCAAACAAACAAAAAAACCAAACCAAACCAAGCAAACAAAAAAAACAGATTCCTGGGCCCTAGTCCCTGAGATCTTGAGCCAGTAGGGCTGCATGGGCCTGGGAATCTGTTTTTTGGGTTTTTTTTTGAGACAGAGTTTCATTCTTGTCACCCAAGGTGGAGTACAATGGCACAATTTCGGCTCACTACAACTTCCGCCTCTCCGGTCCAAGTGATTCTCCTGCCTCAGCTTCCCAAGTAGCTGGGATTACAGGTGCCTGCCACCACGCCCAGCTAATTTTTTGTATTTTTAGTAGAGACGGGGTTCCACCATGTTGGCCAGGCTGGTCTCGAACTCCTGACCTCAGGTGATCCACCCGCCTCAGCCTCCCAAAGTGCTGGGATTACAGGGATGAGCCACCGCGCCCGGCCCTGGAATCTGTATTTTTAACAAGTTTCCTGGAGGACGAATTCAGCATAGAAATTGCTGATCTAGTTCCACACCCTACACCATGCAGCCACCCTTTACAGCCTCCCTAGTAGGTGATTATCTACTTCTGCTCAAATACCTCTGGTGACAGGGAGCTCATCCCCTCCCAGGAAGCCCTTTCCTTCCTTGCATGAGCCCAAGTCAGCCTCCTTGTGACCACCTTCTTCCACCATTCAGCCTGTACGAAGTTCCCCAAAGGGATGACCATCCCCACCCTTAGCCTGAGTCCAGTTCCCCAAAGGGATGACCATCCCCACTCTCTGCCTGAGTCCAGTTCTCCCAGTTCCTTCCACCATTCCTCTCCCAAATGTTTCAAAGCCCCTTCCATTTCAAATGTTCCTTTGGAGGTCTGTCTTAAAGTTCAGTATTCAGAAAACACGCAGTTGCCCGGGAAGGAAGGAGGTGAGACAGCAACCTGTTTGTTCTGTTGCTGAGGACCATGTTCCTTTGTTCGGTGGTTCCGCATCCTAACTGTGCCCCAGCATCGTGTGGGGAGGTTTTTAAAAATGTGGATGCTGGCCAGGAGTGGTGGCTCACGCTTGTAATCCCAGCACTTTGGGAGGCCGAGGGGGTAGATCACCTAAGGTCAGGAGTTTGAGACCAGCCTGGCTAACATGGTGAAACCCCATCTCTACTAAAAATATGAAAATTAGCTGGGCGTGGTGTCAGGCACCTGTAATCCCAGCTACTAGGGAGGCTGAAGCAGGAGAATCACTTGAATCCGGGAGGCGGAGGTTGCAGTGAGCCAAGATCGTGCCACTGCACTCCAGCCTGGGCGACAGAGCCAGACTCCGTCTCAAAAAAAAAAAAAATAATAATAATAATAAAGAAATGTGGATGCCTGATCATAGCATCTCCCTGCTTCGCACCCAACTTCCCAATTTTTTTTTTTGAGAGGGAGTCTTGCTCTGTCACCCAGACTGGAGTGAGGTGGCACAGTCTCGGCTCACTGCAAGTTCTGCCTCCCGAGTTCAAGCAATTCTTCTGTCTCAGCCTCCCAAGTAGCTGGGATTACAGGCGCCTGCCACCACACATGGCTAATTTTTGTGTTTTTAGTAGAGACAGGGTTTCACCATGTTGGCCAGGCTGGTCTCAAATTCCTGACCTCAGGTGATCCACCCGCCTTGGCCTCCCAAAGTGCTGAGATTATAGGTGTGAGCCACCGCGCCAAGCCCCAACCTCCCAAACTTAGGCCACTGGGTGAACCATCTGGTGGCTGGGGGCCGCTTGTCCCTGGTTAAGAAGGGTGGCTTGAGTTATCTCACTGGAATTAAACAGTAGTGCTACTTTATATCAAGCAGTTACATTGTTGGGCCCTAAGCACTTTTCATACATCATCTCATAGAATCCTCCAGCACCCTGTGAGGTAGGTTGTTGTTGGAGCCACTTCACGGTTTAGGAAATTGAGGCTTTGAGAGGTGAAATCGCTTGCCTTAGAGTCCTGGGCCAGGAAGTGATGAGATTCTAACTGATCATGGGAAGGCTGGCCCTGGAGAGCACCCAGAGGACTGAGGAATAGGTAATGAGGCCAAGGTGAGGTGGAAACAGGCAAAAGGATGAGCTCCTCACCCCCCGTGGGCCTGCTTAGTCTCCCCTCATCAGGACGCCTCCTTCCTGTACACGGAGCCCCTGGGCCGGGTGCTGGGCGTGTGGATCGCAGTGGAGGATGCCACGCTGGAGAACGGCTGTCTCTGGTTCATCCCTGGCTCCCACACCAGTGAGGAACCCTGTCTCTTCTGCCCACTTGGGACTCCCCACCCCCTAGGGAGAGGGACCTTGAGAAAGGAGGAGTTTAAGGCTCTCCATCTTGGCCTGCAGGTGGTGTGTCAAGAAGGATGGTCCGGGCCCCTGTTGGCTCAGCGCCTGGTACCAGCTTCCTTGGGTCAGAGCCAGCCCGGGATAACAGCCTCTTTGTGCCCACCCCAGTGCAGAGAGGTAGGCAGATGCAGAGGGCAGAGAGGCAGGGGGCTGAGTCCATCAGTCTGTGCTTGCTCGACTACCCAGCGTCCAAGAGGTTGCCCTCGGGGTCATCTGAGGGCAGTGAAGTCACAGAAAGAGAAGGAGGGGCTGGATGGGCGCTGGGAAGTCAGGAAGCAGCATGTTTTCCTGCAGGCTGATCCAGATCACCCTGGAATCCACACTCTGCTACTTATGGGCTGTTTCTCTGGGCAAATGACTGACTCCCTGAGCCTTAATTTCCCCAAACGTAAAGTGGAAAGTCAGTGAGATGATAAATATGTTGATATAGAGTCTGCCTAGTGCATAGCCACTGCTCAACAAATGTTGGCTGTTGGGCGGCCCTTTTTCTTATGAAAAGGGAAAACCAATGTCTAACTCAGCATCACCGGAGAGGTCCCAGTGGACTGGCACAGGACAGAGGGCTTCTGCCTGATCCTGCAAAGACCTCGGGAGGGGAGGCCCTTCCTAAGGCTTGCCAAGGCCACAGTCCACAGCAGAGGGGACTTGATCCCAGAGGAACATGCATCTCAATAGCTTAGCTTTTGTCCCTGAGGGAGGCTGCAGATGCCTGAGCTTTCAGGGAAGGGAATGGGGATGGATGGGGGCCACAAAACCACTGGAAGGAGGAGGGCCCATGTCCCTTCCTGCTCTGGGGAGGGGGGATGTGGGGCTGGTAGGTTCCTGACCTGCTTGTGTCTCTGCCAGGGGCCCTGGTCCTCATCCATGGAGAAGTGGTACACAAGAGCAAGCAGAACCTCTCTGACCGCTCGCGCCAGGCCTACACTTTCCACCTCATGGAGGCCTCTGGCACCACCTGGAGCCCGGAGAACTGGTAGGTGACAGGGTGGGTGTGTGTGCCCGACAGTCCCCTGGAGGCTGGGAACAGTGACCCTGCACCTCAAGGTTGTTTCTCCTCTATCCTCTGCAGGCTCCAGCCAACAGCTGAACTGCCCTTTCCCCAACTGTACACCTAAAGGCTCTCGCAGGGCAGGAGCCCTCGCCCCTCCCGGGTGAAGCTGTGGGCTGTAAACACCAGTGCCTTGCTCAGCCTCCTGGTTGCAACAGGGAGGTCTTGTCTCCCCTCCTGGGCTTTCCTCCTGCCCTGTGGGCAGCAGCCTAGGCTGGGTCAGGGGCTTCCCTAAGATCTTCACCTCTCTGCCTCCCTACTGCCCCAACATAGCCTTGAGGAGGCTTCTCAGCCACCAAAGGGTTCTGGCCCCTTCTCACTCTCCTCTCCTCTCAGATGGAACTCTGGTTATTATGGTGTTAGTTATCGAATAAAAACGACTTCAGAATGCAGCTTCCCTACTGAGCCTTCTTTCCCAAGCAGCATTGCTTTCCAGAGAAGAAAACTGCTTTCCAGGCCAGGTGCAGTGGCTCACGCCTGTAATCCTAGCACTTTGGGAGGCCGAGGTGGGCGGATGACCTGAGGTTGGCAGTTCTAGACCAGTTTGACCAACATGGAGAAACCCTGTCTCTACTAAAAATACAAAAAATTAGCTGGGCGTGGTGGTGCGTGCCTGTAATCCCAGCTACTCGGGAGGCTGAGGCAGGAGAATAGCTTGAACCCGGGAGGTAGAGATTGCGGTGAGTCGAGATCACACCATTGCACTCCAGCCTGGGCAACACAAGCAAAACTCCATCTCAAAAAAAAAAAAAAAAATTGCTTTCCAGACAAGATGCTAAAATGCATCCCAGGTACCCCAGCCCTGCTTGGCGTGGCTTGCATGATTTTAATAAGTAACATTTAGTGGGCAGTGACCGTGTGCCCTGCTCTGTGCTGAGACCTTCACAGGCTTTATCTCATGGAATCCTCACTCGGAGAGGTAAGTGCCATTATCTGTACTTACAGAAGACGACGCTGAGCCAAGGAGGGGGTAAATGACCTGCCCAAGTCACGTGGCTGCTCGGTTGTTCAGCAGGGTCAGCCTCATGCAGAGCCCGTGCTCCTAACCTTGACACTGCCTCGTCTTCTCTTCTTGGGGAGCAGAGATGCCCAGAGCTAGGAATCCAGAGTTCCAGGTTCTGGTCCTGGCTCTGTGAGCAACTTGCTCTCTGGTCTCAGGCCAGGGCCTTTCCTTCCTCTGGGCCTGTTTCCTCCCATGTCCAGTAAGGGGGCCAGACTAGGGCCTTCAGGGGCCCTTCCTGTTTGGGCATGCTTGGCAGGCACTCAGACCTTCAGAACAACTGCCAAATCTAAAACCTTAGCTGAGGTTTGGCCCAGAGGCTACAAACTGGGGAACACAGGCTGATTCTAGCCCACAGACGCATTTTGTCTGGGCCTCAGCATTTTTTTTTTTTTTTTGAGACAGAGTCTCACTCTGTCACCCAGGCTGGAGTGCAGTGGCAAGATCTCAGCTCATTGCGACCTCCGCCTCCCGGGTTCAAGCAATTCTCTCCCTCAGTATCCAGAGTAGCTGGGATTACAGGCGCCTGCCACCACACCCGGCTAATTTTTGTATTTTTAGTAGAGACAGGGTTTCACCATCTTTGCCAGGCTGGTCTTGAACTCCTGACCTAGTGATCCACCCGCCTTGGCCTCCCATAGTGCTGGGATTACAGGCGTGAGCCACCGCGCCTGGCCAGGCCTCAGCATTTAAGAAAAAACTTGAAGATTCCACATAATAATCCAGGTTCCTAAGCTTCCTCGAATGAGCATGCAATTGACAACACGGGGCCTACACTCTAGCATGGTGGCTACTGGCTGGAGCTCCCTTAGAGGCTCAGTGTGGTCCCCTGTTGTCGTTCACTGCGTTACCTGATTGGCCTTGGCAGTCATTTGAGTTTGTGACCCTGATGTAGCCTATCCCCCAACTATATACATGGACAACCCAAGGCCCAGAGGATAGAGCCCTTTCCCAAGGCCACCCTGGGAGTCCGTGGGGCAAAGCTGGTGCTCTTTCACCAACATTTTGCTGCTTCCTTTTGCAAGCAATAGGAGGGAGCCTAAGAGAAGGGAAGCGTCTCCATTGAGTCCCAAAGAAATGTCTCAATACTCTCCTCTGAGGGAAAGGACATGGCAGTGATTCTCAAGCAGAAGCTTCGCTCCCTGGAGCTCTGCTCCCGGCTTCTGGCCTTGGTGGACCAAAGCTCTCACCTCCTCTGATGTCCTCCCAAGCTTGGGGAGAAAGGGAGAACCTTGTCCAGCCTCAGGAATCTTGCTGTGCTATCTTCCTAGTGACGGAAAATGTTTATCCATTCACTATCTGTGTAGTGTACAATTCTGGGAGGGACACAGTGCAGATGGACTCCCAAATCTACTGATTTCCTGCTCCTTGTCAGTGCCCTGTGCTAGCCTTGGGGGATGGGGTGGGGAGTGAGGCAGTGCCGGAGCCTGTCTTCCCAGCCAGAGAGCAAGGCTGCAGCGTGGGCCCCTCATACAGTCATTTTACCTCTCAGGAAACTCCCCCAGCCCCTGTGGATCTTTCCTACCTTAGGAAAAGACAAACACAGGTTTGGATAGGATTAGAACATGGAAAGGTCTTAAGAAGGGCCCCTTGATGAGGTCCTGGTGCTGTTCAGCCCATCTTTCTCTATGGACACCACTCAGTGGGACACCAGAGGCGGGGTGGGGTTGGCTAAAACAAGATCCAGCCCAAGCAGGATCTGATCCTCCCTCAACCCTGCCAAAGTTGACCCACCTCTCCCTTCAGTAATTCCTAGCCCTCTGCTCTTTCCCTCAGGAGTTCTCCACCTCCAAGTGAAGCCAGGAGAGCAAAGGTCACTCTGGTTTCCAAGTGGTTTGCCCAGCTTTTCGGCTTTTCACTAAGATGAGGACTGGTCTTTGGTAAAAATGACTCCCTTTCTGACTGCTTATCAAGGGTGGGCTCTAGGCTGGACCCTCACAACACCCCGCGAGGTGTGGGCTGTCATTACTCCCATCTGCAAGAGAATTGAGGTTCAGCCTGGCTAAGTGACTCACCCAAGGTCACAAAGTTGTTTTTTTGTTTTGTTTTGTTTTGTTTTGAGACGGAGTTTCGCTCTTGTTGCCCAGACTGGAGTGCAATGGCGCGATCTCAGCTCACTTCAACCTCCGTCTCCCAGGTTCAAGTGATTCTCCTGCCTCAGCCTCTCTAGTAGGTGGGATTACAGGCATATGCCACCACGCCTGGCTAATTTTGTATTTTTAGTAGAGACAGTGTTTCTCCATGTTGGTCAGGCTGGTCTCGATCTCCCGACCTCAGGTGATCCACCTGCCTCGGCCTCCCAAAGTGCTGGGATTACAGGCATGAGCCACCACGCCTGGCCATTCAAGGTCACAAAGTTAGTAAGAAGCTGTGCAGCCAAGGATTCTGACCAGATTAGTTTGACCCAGAGACTAAAGTGTTAACCATTATGCTTTACTCCCTCCAGTGTCCACTCTGGCCTCCTCCGAGGCTGCAGGGCGAAAGAGGGGGCTCTATAGCACACTCAGGTTCTTTGAGTTGCTGGACTATCCCTTAAGACTCTTTTCTTTTTAAATATCAGCAAGGCTGGGATGGTGGCTCACGCCTGTAATCTCAACACTTTGGGAGGCCAAGGTGGGCAGATCACCTGAGGTCGGGAGATCGAGACCAGCCTGACCAACATGGAGAAACCCTGTCTCTACTCAAAATACAAAATTAGCTGGGCATGGTGGCGCATGCCTGTAATCCCAGCTACTCAGGAGGCTGGGACAGGAGAATCGCTTGAACCTGGGAGGTGGAGGTTGCGGTGAGCCGAGATCGCGCCATTGCACTCCAACCTGGGCAACAAGAGCAAAACTGTCTCAAAAAAAAATAAAAAAAAAAATATATCAGCAAAACTAGAACTAGGAGAGCTTTGCTTTTTATTTTAAATCTGAATCAACTGAAAAATCAAATCTGCTTTTCACACCTTGGCTCTTCATGCCCAAGTAGCTGTCTGCTGTGGGGACTGTTCACCCTCCCCATGTCTGTTTCCTCCGTCACTGCTGCTGCACTGTAACAGCTAGGCCATCAGCAATATCAGGAGGTAGAGAGGCAGAAGGAGATTGTCTATCTGTGTAGTGTATGCTTCCAGGAGGGACACAGTGCTGATGGACCCCAAAATCCAAGCATAACTGTAGTTTAGGTCCACTCCACTGTCAAAGATTAAGATCAGAGCTACAGAAATGATCTGCGCAAATATAGATGTCATGGTCCCCTCAAAAGTCTTTTTGGTTCCAGGCCAGCGGATCTCCCCCATGGTGCTACCGAAGATGGAGGCCACAGTATCACCCACACCCACAGCCAGGACACCGGCATAGGGGACGAGGGCCCTGGCTCCTCCCAGGCTACCCTTCTGTGTGCAGGGTCTGGGGATCAGCCAGATGGGAAGAGACATGCCCAGGAGCAGGTAGATGTGTGTCAGAATGAGTGGTCCACTGTCTCGTTCATCCAGAAAAAGGGACAGGAAGCTCCGTAGAGTGTGACCCAAAGGCTTGATGCGGAAGTAGCGCACATACTCCAGGAAGATGAAGACCGCCAGGCATACAGTGGCGGCTACATAGAGCAGTGGCCGGTCAAAGATGATACCTGGGATGTAGGTGGCTACCACAATGAGGTGGAAATACTTTCGGGCGATGGTGGGGGCCTGGTGCTTCTTGGACTCGGAAGATGACCGCTTGGCATTCTGGTACAGCACCACCAGGCAGGCCAAGGTGGCCAGCAGAGACCAATAGGCTAGGAGGTAGATGCGGGTGTCTGTCTGGAAGAGAAACTGAAGAAGCCAGAGCAGGGGATTCCTGCGGATGAGCCGGTGCAGCCAGGGTAGGACCACACCAAGGCTCAGCACACAGGTCATGAGGTGGAAGAAGATGGAGGAGGCCCAGGTGCCTGAGTCCATGAAGACAAACAGAGTGCTGAAGAAAATGCCCATGAGTACCATCCCTACTACCACCACCAGCAGGAAGAAGTCCACTGGGTCCCCCTGACTTTCCACCAGTGTCAGAGAGCGCTTGATGAGCTGGTTGAGGACAAAGCTAATGCCACCCAATACCAGCAGTGCCTCACCAGGGGTGAAGCAGCGGGGCAGCAGGTACAGCAGGATCATGTTGAGATAAACGAAGATCAGAAGGACTTCCAGGACTTCGATCACCTCCCCCACGCTCAACGAGTGCTTCATGATATAAATGATAACACCTCCAGCCAAGCCCAAGATGACACAAGTGTTGGTTGGCACTGGGCGAGTGATGCCGAGCGCCAACACTGATGAGAAGAGGGCCACTGCCATGCCAGTGGCTGCCACCACAATGCCAAAACGCTCAAAGAACGGGTTCCCAGCAGTCTGGCACCGCTCCTTCATGACTAGTCCAAGCAAAGGCATGACCATGGAGGCGGGCAATAGGCCACTGTTTGCGGACATTCGGAACTGGAAGACGGCGCTTCCCTGCTGTAGCAGCCGGTCCCACTTGTATTGGACGTAGAAGGCCTGCACTGCGAGGGCCACGGCGCACCACGAGTATCGGTCCCATACGGTTGCGTGGATGCTCAGCACCACTGCAAACACTACTGCCGCCTCTGCCAGCACCGATCCACTCAGCGGAGCCCCAGGCCCCGGGGCCGGAGATGGGCACTCTCGGGTCATATCTCTAGACCTGGGGCTTCACGGAGGCCGGGGCGACTACGGACGCCCTAGACTTCGGGCCCCTCAGCCCCGTCAAGCAGAGGGAGGCACTTTCACCCGGCCAGCAACCTTCTCCCTCCGTTCTCCAGCAGCGAGGAGGGAACTCCACCGCAGGTCACTTCTGCGGCCTGGGAGCTGGCGCCCGGCCACCCCCCACAGCCTCCAACCTACGGCGTAGACGTCGCCACTCTGCAGCCTTCCTCACAGTTACAGCCGCCCCCGCTGCCGGCTCCTCACCTCTTTGGGCCTCGCCATCTTGGCACCGCCCCGCGGCAACGTCACGTGACGAAATCCCCGCCCACGCTCCGGGTCCGGGGGCGAGCGGTCACGTGGGCATGGCGTCTGGGGGCGGGGTTAGGGCGAGCGGGCGCGCGAAGATGGCGGCGGCCGCCGGCGGGCCGTGTGTGAGGTGCGGAGCGGGTCGAATGGACCGGGGTGGCTGTGAAGCGCGGTGTCAAAGCCGAGCGGAAGCGGGGCGGGAATTGGAGGCGGGATGTGGCGACAGTGGCAGGGCCAACCCCGGCTGGATGGACGGGCACCGAGACGGGAGGCGGTTACGTCCAAACGGTCCCCGCGCGCGGGGATCTGAAGAGTCTTCTTCAGGAGGGGGGCCGGCTCTTCACCCCTTCCCTCCGCGCTCGGCCTCCCATCTCCTCACCCAGGGCCCTTTGCCTTCCTCCTCTCTCACCTCCGACGCGTCTCTTGGCGCCCCACCCGCGCTTCCTTCTCCGGCCGTGACGCTCCCTCGAGCCACGGGGAGCTTTGCGGTCTCCTGGGGTACCCCCCACCCACGTCCCTGCTGCAGGCTCCCAGTGTCCTGCCCCGGCGTCGAGTGCGCCCTGCTGGCTCCCCGACCTCTCCCGCGATCTGTTCTTGTTAGGATTTTGTTTCGCGTTGAGCGGAGCCACGCTTGCGGCTTCTGTCCTCTCCGCGCCTCGTATCGTTCTTTTCTTGCACTGAATCAAGTCAGCCAGCATGTCCAAATCCTCCAAGAGATTTCAGGGATTGAACTAGGCTTTAGGGACAAGAAGATGAAATATTATATACGAAAACTACAATTCTGACAAAGTGCTTTCTAGCGTCAGACCCTGGTGGAGCGCTTCCCAGGAGTTATCTCATTCAATTCTCGCAACTCCGAGAGGCGCCTTCTATTTCACAGATGACTCAGAAGTCCGGCTCAGAGCTAGCCAAGTGATAAAGAGAGCCTTCAAGCTGAAGTCTGCGTACCTCCAGTGCTATAACCAGACCACCACGCCTCCTTCTGTCTTCCACATTGCAGCTCGAAGGTCTTCGTTCTTCCCACCACCCTCCCTCAAAGTTAAACATCCCCGTCTCTTATCCTTCCCTGTGCCAGCAGTGTTTTCCCCACTTTTTTTTTTTTTTTTTTTTTTTTTTTTTTTTGAGACGGAGTCTCGCTCTGTCGCCCAGGCTGGAGTGCAATGGCACGATCTCGGCTCACTGCAAGCTCTGTCTCCCGGGTTCATGCCATTCTCCTGCCTCAGCCTCCCAAGTAGCTGGGGATACAGGCACCCGCCACAACGCCTGGCTAATTTTTTGTATTTTCAGTAGAGACAGGGTTTCACTGTGTTAGCCAGGATGGTCTCGATCTTCTGACCTCATGATCCGCCCGCCTCGACCTCCCAAAGTGCTGGGATTACAGGCATGAGCCACCGTGCCCGGCCCTAACAATATTATTATATAACAAGATTACTTTCCAAAAATTTAACAAATCGTTTTGTATATTGAGATTTTTTGCTTTTAGAGAGCAGACAAAATGGCTATGAGGCAGTGTACAAGTTTGTATGATCAGAAAGAGCAAAATTACCTCTGTTCTCTCATTTTGCAGGAGCAGTAGAGAACTGTGGACTATTCTGCTTGGAAGGTCAGCTCTGAGAGAGCTGGTAAGTGGTGGTGTTCTTGAGTGGGTTCTCTGGGTTCTTTGTGTAGCTTTTGTTACCAAAAAAAACCTTTTTTTAAATGTAGGAAGTAAACACATTTATTTATTTAGAGACAGAGTTTCGCTCTTGTTTCCCAGGCTGGAGTGCAATGGCGTGATCTCGGCTCACCGCAACCTCCGCCTCCCAGGTTCAAGCGATTCTCCTGCCTCAGCTTCTCGAGTAGCTGGGATTACAGGCATGCACCACCACGCCCGACTAATTTTGTATTTTTAGTAGAGATGGGGTTTTTCCATTTTGGTCAGGCTGGTCTCCAACTCCCGACCTTAGGTGATCTGCCCTCCTTGGCCTCCCAAATTGCTGTGATTATAGGCGTGAGCCACCACACCTGGCCTATTTATTTATTTTGAGATGGAGTTTCACTCTTGTTACCCAGGCTGGAGTGTAACAGCATGATCCCAGCTCACTGCAACCTCCGCCTCCCGAGTTCAAGCGATTTTCCTGCCACAGCCTCCCGAGTAGCTGAGATTACAGGTGCATGCCACCACACCTGGCTAATTTTTGTATTTTTAGTGGAGACAGGGTTTCACCATGTTGGCCAGGCTGGTGTTGAACTCCTGACCTCAGGTGATCTACTTGCCTTGGCATCTCAAAGTCCTGGGATAACAGGCGTGACGGCCACTTTTTTTTTTTTTTTTTTTTTTTTTGAGGGGGGTGTCTTGCTCCCAGGCTGGAGTGTAAGTAGCTCGATCTTGGCTCACTTCAACCTCTGCCACCTGGGTTCAAGTGATTCTCCTGCCTCAGCCTCCCCAGTAGCTGGGATTAGAGGTGCCCACCACCACGCCCTGCTGATTTTTATATTTTTAGTAGAGACAGGGTTTTGCCATGTTGGCCAGGTCGGTCTTGAACTCCCGACCTCAGGTGATCTGCCTGCCTCAGCCTCCCAAAGTGCTGGGATTACAGGCATGAGCCACCACACCCGGCTACGTTTTTTTGTTGTTGTTGAGACAGAGTCTGGCTCTCGCCCAGGTTGGAGTGCAGTGGCACGATCTTGGCTCACTGCAACCTCTGTCTCCTGGGTTCAAGTGATTCCTGCCTTAGCCTCTCAAGGAGCTGGGGATTACAGATGCATGCCACCACGCCCGGCTAATTTTTGTATTTTTAGTAGAGATGGGGTTTCACCATGTTGGCCAGGCTGGTCTTGAATTCCTGGCCTCAGGTGATCTGCCCACCTCAGTCTCCCAAAGTGCTTGGATTGCAGGCATGAGCCACTGTGCCTGGTATAAACACTTTTTTTTTGTTCCTAAAACTTTATAAACGTGGTCAGATGCAGTGGCTCATGCCTGTAACCCCAGCACTTTGGAAGGCCAAGGCAGAAGGATCAATTGAGTGCACAAGCTCAAGGCCAACCCTGGCAAGATAGCAAGACCCCGTCTCTACAAAAAATTTTTTAAAAAATTAGCCAGGCATGGTGGTGCATGTCTGTAGTCCCAGCTACTTAGGAGTCCAAGGTGGGAGGATTGCTTGATCCTGGGAGGTTGAGGCTGCAGTGAACTCTAGCCTGGGAGACACATCGAGACCCCAGCTCAAAAAAGCAAAAAGCTTTATAAACATTACGCATTCCCTACTTCTTTGCTGAAATGAGACTACCTAGCCTAGCTGCTGAAGTCTTTTAAATCTACCTTTGTATTTCATTGATTCCTTTTATGAAAAGATACCTGTGTTCATTGCTTGGCTGCTGAGAGTAGGGGTGCAAATACCATTCTTCTACCTCAACCTAAGAAAGATTCTTGGCCAGGCATGGTGGCTCACGCCTGTAATCCCAGCACTTTGGGAGGCCGAGGCGGGCGGATCACCTGAGGTCAGGAGTTCGTGACCAGCCTCAACATGGAGAAACCCCGTCTCTACTAAAAATACAAAATTAGCCCGGTGTGGTGGTGCATGCCTGTAATCCCAGCTACTCGGGAGGCTGAGGCAGGAGATTCGCTTGAACCCGGAAGTGGAGGTTGCAGTGAGTCGAGATCGCGCAACTGTACTCCAGCCTGGGTGACAAAGCGAGACTCCATCTCAAAAAAAAAAAAAAAAAAAAGTCAGGCTTGGTGGCATATGCTTGTATTAGTAGTTCCAGCTACTCAGGAGGCTGTGGTGGAAAGATCGCTTAAGCTCAGGATATCAAGCCTGCAGTGAGCCATGATTGCATCACTGCACTCCAGCCTGGGTGACAGAACAGGACCCTGTCTCAAAAAACAACAAAGAAAACTTCACCACAACATCATTTATATTATTAAATAATTACAGTCAGCTTAAGTATATCAAACATTAGAGGAATGGTAAATGAATTATGATCTACCAACTTGATACAAGTATTATGCAGCAACTTGAAAGTATGTTTATCAAGACTTTCATAATAAGGTTAAGTCATTATGTTATAATGTTAAGCAAAGAAAAGAAGGTTACAGAATTCTGTATTCAAAATGATTTCAACTCTGGGGAAAAATGCATATTAAAAACACTCAAAGGAATGTGTAATACTTAGTGTGATTCTGGAATCTGATTTTTTTTTTTTTTTTTTGAGACGGAGTTTCGTGCTTGTTGTCCTGGCTAGAGTGCATTGGTGCAATCTCGGCTCACCACAACCTCTGCCTCCCAGGTTCAAGTGATTCTCCTGCCTCAGCCTCCCGAGTAGCTGGGATTACAGGCATACACCACCACGCCCAGCTAATTTTGTATTTTTTAGTAGAGACAGGGTTTCTCCATGTTGGTCAGGCTGGTCTCCAACTCCCAACCCTAGGGGATCCGCCCGCTTCGGCCTCCCAAAGTGCTAGGATTACAGGCCTGAGCCACCATGCCTGGCCGAGTCTGATTATTAATAAAACTGCATTTGGGCCGGGCGCAGTGGCTCACACCTGTAATCCCTGCACTTTGCTGACATGGGCAGATCACGAGTTCAGGAGTTCAAGACCAGCTTGGACAATATGGTGAAACCCCATCTCTACTAAAAATACAAAAAAAACTGACTGGCATGGTGGCGTGCGCCTGTAGTCCCATCTGCTCAGGAGGCTGAGGTAGGAGAATTGCTTGAACCCAGGAGGCGGAGGTTGCAGTGAGCCAAGATTGCGCCACTGCACTCCATCCTGGGTAACAGAGTGAGACTCCGTCTCAAAAAAAAAAAAAAAAAAGAAAGCACAAAAAACTGCATTTGCGGTCGGGTGCCTTGGCTCACGCCTGTAATCCCAGCACTTTGGGAGGCCAAGGCAGGCAGATCACTTGAGGTGGGGAGTTCGAGATCAGCCTAGCCAACATGGTGAAACTCCATCTCTACTAAAAATACAATAATTAGCTGGGTGTGGTGGCTGGCACCTGTAATTCCAGCTACTCGGGAGGCTGAGGCTCGAGAATCACTTGAACCTGGGAGGCGGAGGTTGCAGTCAGCCAAGTTGGTGCCACTGCACTCCAGCCTGGGTGATAGAGTGAGACTCTGTCTCAAAAAAAAAAAAAAATACTGCATTTGTATAATTACCTTGTTCTTTTCCAGAGTCAGATTGAGGCAGAACTGAATAAACATTGGCGGCGATTGTTAGAGGGGCTTTCTTACTACAAACCTCCCAGGTATGGCAGTTCCGGGTGTCTGGTTAAAGTAATTGTCCTAAGGAAGCTGACATGGATAAAACCATCCTTCTATGTGCTTTGATGATATTGTAGGGTTATGTATACCAGAGATAATACAATTTAGTTTACCAGTGGAAAACAGTAGGGTACATTTGTTTTTTTGTTGACCGAAAGAAAAGGAAATTCCTTCTAGAAATACAGTATTGTAGAATATAATTATGACCTATGTGTGGGGATGAGAATTTATTAAACATTCAACGAATTTTCTAATATTTATTCAGAGTCCACAGTGTCTGTGTGAGTACTAATTGGTGGGAGATAGCAGTGAAGGATGATGCTAACAACTGACACTTGTGTAGTGTTAACTATGTAACAATTAATACTCTAAGCACCTGACTTATCAAAAGTTATTTAATCCCCACAACACCCCTTTGAGATAGTTACTACTTTTATTCTTTGGGTGAATATATAGATCTTTTTATTGGGTAGTGGAAAACATAGTAATAAAATATAAAGTAGTTGCAAATAAAGAGAATGCAGCTTGTAGGGCTGGGCTTATTTGATCTTGATTCCTAGTCCAGATCTCATTCTATTATGCGTTATAGTCTAAGTCACCCTCATTTCCCTTCTACTTTTGTACTGCTTTTGAATGTATTACATCTTTACCTTCCATTTTCATTCTCTTAGGTTAACGATGAACTTTTCCTTGTTATTCATCTGTCTGTTAATTCTTCCCCTGTAATTACCTTAAAGTAAATCCCAGATACCTTGTTATTTTATCTGCAAATACTTGACTATGTATCTAAAATACATGGACTTTTTAAAAAGATAATCTCTATATTATCACATTTAGGTACCCTTATCATTGTTTCCATTTTACCAGTGGGGAAACTGAGGCACAAAGAGGTTAAGCAACTTGTCATGGTCACACAGCTACTAAGTGATAGAACCAGGATTTGACCCTGGTGGTCTCATTCCAGTGTCTGTTCTTTTTTTTTTTTTGAGATGGGGTTTTGCTCTGTCGCCCAGACTGGAGTGCAGTGTCACATCTCAGCTTACTGCAACCTCCACCTCCCGGGTTCAAGTGATTCGCTTGCCTTGGCCTCCCGAGTGGCTGGGATTACAGGTGCCCGCCACCACGCCCAGCTAATTTTTGTATTTTTAGTAGAGATGGGGTTTCACCATGTTGGCCAGGCTGGCCTTGAACTCCTGATCTCAAGTGATCTGCTCACCTCGGCCTCCCAAAGTGCTGAGATTACAGGCGTGAGCCGTCATACCCAGCCTATTGTTTTCTTTACTATCTTTTTTCTGTTCCAGGATCCAACCTAGTTGTCAAGTGCCTGTAGTCTCCTCTTAGCTGTGACAATGTCTTAGTCTTTTTTTTTTGAGATGGAGTCTCGCTTTGTGGCCCAGGCTGGAGTGCAGTGGCACGATCTCGGCTCACTGCAAGCTCTGCCTCCCGGGTTCACGCCATTCTCCTGCCTCAGCCTCCCGAGTAGCTGGGACTACAGGCGCCCGCTGTGACAATGTCTTAGTCTTTTTTTTTTTTTTTTTTTGAGATGGAGTCTCGCTCTGTGGCCCAGGCTGGAGTGCAGTGGCACGATCTCGGCTCACTGCAAGCTCTGCCTCCCGGGTTCACGCCATTCTCCTGCCTCAGCCTCCCGAGTAGCAGGGACTACAGGCGCCCGCCACCACGCCTGGCTAATTTTTTGTATTTTTAGTAGAGACAGGGTTTCACTGTGTTCGCCAGGATGGTCTCAATCTCCTGACCTCATGATCCGCCCGCCTCGGCCTCCCAAAGTGCTGGGATTACAGGCGTGAGCCACCGCGGCCGGTGACAATGTCGACAATGTCTTAGTCTTACCTTGATTTTCATGACCTTGAACAAGTTTGAGGACTGGTCAGTTATTTTGTAGTATGCCCCCAATTTGGGTTTGTCTGATGTTTTCCTTATTATTAGACTGGGGTTGTGAGTTTTTGGGAAAAATACACAGAGGTGAGGTGCTCTTCTTTTTTTTTTTTTTGAGATGGAGTTTCGCTCTTGTTGCCCATGCTCGCGTGCAATGGTGCGATTTCAGCTCACTGCAACCTTTGCCTCCTGGGTTCAAGCAATTCTGTCTCAGCCTCCCGAGTAGCTGGGACTACAGGTGCATGCCACCATGCCTGGCTAATTTTTGTATTTTTAGTAGAGACAGGGTTTCACCATATTGGTCAGGCTGGTCTTGAACTCCTGACCTCAGGTGATCCGCCCGCCTCAGCCTCCCAAAGTGCTGGGATTACAGGCGTGAGCCACCACGCCTGGCCAAGCTACCCTTCTTACCACATCATAGCAGAGAGTACATGCTGTCCACATGAAATCACTGGTAATGTTAATCTTGGTCACTCAGTTAAGGAGGCATTTGCCAAGTTTCTCCTCTGTAAAGTTACTTTTTTCTCTTTTCCTATTTTATTTTTTGGAAGTGAGTACTAAATATAGCCATGTCCAGCTAATTTTTTTCACTTTTGGTGGAGATGAGGGTCTCACTTTGTTGTCTAGGCTGGTCTCAAACTCCTGGCCTCAAGCTACACTCCTGCCTTGGCCTCCCAAAGTGCTGGGATTACAGGCATGAGCCATTGTTCTGGCCCCTCCCTATCCTATTTATTTATTCATTAGTTTATATCAGTATAGACTCAAATATATTTATTTTATTTATCTTATACTTTGTTTATACCTTGTTTCAGCTTTGGCTATTGGGCATTCTTTTAGGTTGGCCTCTGTCCTTTGGGCGTGTCCTTCCTTTTTTCTTTTTTTCTTTTCTTTTTTTTCTATTATGTCATCTCCTACCGAAAGGACTTTGGTTTCTTAAGCCCTTTTGTACTTCTTTTCACTATAAGATGCTTCAAGATTTTCTTGTATTTTCCTTGCCCTGACTCTAGAATCAACCAATTCTCCAAGGAATCCTGTTATTAGAGAATGGTATTATAAAGCAGGATCTGGGTGCTGCATGTACCTCCTGCTGTTGGAGTATTATAAATTCTAGGCCTTCTCGGTGGACAGAGCTATTACAGATAATATATTAATATATGTATGTATGCCACAGACCTGGTTTTAAATTTTAGCAACTGTTTATGAGCTGTGGGATTTTTGGTAAGTTATTTACCCTAAGTGCTGGCAATTCCATTTGTAAAAGGAGAATAGTAATATTTGCCTTTTAGGGCAGTAGTAAGGATCAAAAATAATGTAACTTAATGTGTTTACAAATAACATTGTTATAACTGTAATTTAACCACTTTTTTTTTGTTTTGTTTTGTTAGGCATAACCAGTTCTGCGTTATGAAGTTTGTAGAGGTGAATGGGTGTGTGTGTGTGTGTGTGTGTGTGTGTGCGTGTGTGTGTTTGTGTGTGTGTTTATAGGCATCTGAAGGGCAGAAAATAGTCTGTAGGAAAAATATTTTAAAATATTTTTATTTTAAACTCAGTGGGCTATTGAGAATGAAGAAATGATTCACTGTTCTTTTTGTAGTCCAAGTTCAGCTGAAAAAGTGAAAGCTAATAAAGATGTAGCTTCACCATTGAAGGAACTGGGTTTAAGAATCAGCAAGTTTTTGGTGAGTAAAAATTAGCACTCGCTCAATTTATTACTTGCAGTGTGGATGTGCGTGGTTATATTGCTAGTGATAGTGAAAATTCAGTTTCTTTTTGTTTTGGGGATTAAATTGTTTTATAAATACCCAGGTTGCAACTCTTCTCCCTAAAAGTTACAAGTCAAAGTTGCCTGATCCATTCACTGCATATCATAGGGTTTTCTTCACCAGACATGTGGTGGTCTTTAAGGTGACTAAGTTTGTCATTTTGGAAGCTCACATCATGCCTACTGCTGTATTAATGTGCTTAGTGAATAAGCATCGTTGTTTCTGGCATGTACATTTAATTGTAATAAAAATTGTATGTCAGTGACTGGCTCTTGTCTTCTATTAGAGTCAGAATTGTTATGTTTTATGAATCTTTGAGAAGCATTTTTGTTTATTCAAGTCCTGTGTTCATTGTAGAAGACAAATCTTTAAATTCTCTGCATCCTGTGTGCGATTTCTGAGCTGTTCCTTACTTAAAATCTCTGTGTTTCAGGGTCTTGATGAAGAACAGAGTGTGCAGTTACTCCAGTGTTACCTGCAAGAGGACTACAGGGGTACTCGGGACTCAGTAAAGGTTTGTGGTTTATGTCAGCTCCTTTCTTCTGCCTTTATCCTTTTTCCCTGTTGGTTTTAGATAATGTAGGATTTTGGCACCAATTCTTTTATCGGTGGTAGGTGATCAGGTACCGTCATCTTCAGGGAAGACCTACTAAAGGCTTTAAAAAAAACATGACCTGGGTGCAATGGCTTGTGCCTGTACTCCCAGCTTCTTGGGAGGCTGAGGCAGGAGGATCACTTGAGTCCAGGAGTTTGAGGCTGCAGTGAACTGTGATCGCACTACTGCACTCCAGCCTAGGCAAAAGAGTGAGACCCTATCTCTTTAAAAAGTAAAGAATATATATGCATATAAGCTGAGATCTGTCTTCATACTTGGAGGAGTGGAGAGGTCAAAGACTGACATGTTAATCATAGAATCTTGGGCTATTAGAGGTGATAAGGATTTGGTAGAGTTTCTTTTTTTTTTGAGATGGAGTTTCGCTCTGTCTCCCAGGCTGGAGTGCAATGGCGTGATCTTGGCTCACTGGAAGCTCTGTCTCCCGGGTTCACGCCATTCTCCTGCCTCAGCCTCCCAAGTAGCTGGGACTATAGGCGCCTGCCACCACGCCCGGCTAATTTTTTGTGTTTTTAGTAGAGACAGGATTTCACCGTGTTAGCCAGGATGGTCTCAATCTCCTGACCTCGTGATCCCCCCGCCTCAGCCTCCCAAAGTACTTGGATTACAGGCGTGAGCCACCGCACCCGGCCAGGATTTGGTAGAATTTCTAGCCTGCCCAGCCCCTCATTTTACATAAGAGGATTGAGGCCAGAGGAGAAGGGGAGGGATTTGAGCACAGGTTTGGGTACATTTGGGTAAAAAGTAAGGTGGAAAGTATATGTAGAAACAAATGTGCAATTATAATCTTGAAGGATGAAGTGAAGGTATCTATCTTTTTTTATTACTTGAGTTTTGCCTAAAAGATGGCCTCTTAACTGCTCTGTTTTTCTTTTCAGACAGTACTGCAAGATGAGAGGCAGAGCCAGGCCTTAATCCTGAAGGTCAGTAGTAGTCACCATTTCTATTCTTTGATGTAAAATTGAGTGACAGCTTCTTGACCTCATTTTCCTGAGCATTGCTGGCTTTTGACTCTTTGTTGGGTAAGCATGGAGGTCTTTATGAAGAAGCATATTAACTCATTTATGAAAAGATGCTTTTATCCACTGGACCCAGTAGAGAAGTTTCTCCCAAGGAGATTCTTCAGCTACTGGTGGTGAGAACAAGTTCATGGATATTTTTTCTTTAGGTGTAAGTCCAACAGGATTAATTTGTATTTCTTTATTTCTTTATTCTTCAGTCCCTTTCCAGCAACCTTCTCACTTAGGATCTCGTGTTAAAATGTAATTTGTGACTTCTGAAGAAGTTTCCTATTTTATATTTAGTGAGAATAAGTACATTAGTTACAAGCAATTAGGACCTATATCAGTGGAATTTGTTTTTATGTGTTTGGCCTGCCTGTTGATAGCATTGTGTGCTACATGAATGCTCTGAGAAATCATGCTAGAAAACATTTTTGGAAACTTGTGTATATTGTTAAACAATTAATTCCTTTCATCCTGTATATTCTGGTTTATGAATGTCTTTTCCTTTATTTTGGCCTAATTCAGTATGTTTGCATTTCTGTGATTCCTTATTTATATAAATTGAACTTTTCCATCCACATCTTTAAGTGAAATTATCACTAAATTTAAACTTGAGTTTCCTATGTGCAAAGGTGAGTAACTGATTTTGAATTTTGGGTTCCTCAGATTGCAGATTATTATTATGAAGAAAGAACCTGTATTCTTCGTTGTGTCTTACACCTTCTCACTTACTTCCAAGATGAAAGACACCCCTATAGGGTAAGCTTGTTTAGTCCTCTTGCTTCTCTTTATACTGTATCATCTTAATAATTTTATTAATATTTATTTGAATATTTACCTTTTATTCTAGGTATAATTTACTCTTTTGATTTTTTAAAGGTTGAATATGCAGACTGTGTTGATAAATTGGAGAAGGAACTAGTTTCAAAATACAGACAGCAGTTCGAAGAGCTTTATAAAACTGAAGCACCAACTTGGGAGACACATGGAAATCTCATGGTATGTGGTTACTGTGCTCTCCTGTAACTTTTTTTTTTTAAGATGGAGTTTCCCTCTGTCACCCAGGCTGGAGTGCAGTGGCATGATCTCGGCTCACTGCAACCTCCATCTCCTGGTTTTAAGCAATTCTCCTACCTCAGTGGATTACAGGCACCCGTCGTCACGCCCAGCCAATTTTTGCATTTTTAGTAGAGACAGGGTTTCACCATGTTGGCCAGGCTGGTCTCGAACTCCTGACCTCAGGTGATCCGCCCACCTCAGCCTCCCAAAGTGCTGGGATTACAAGTGTGAGCGACTACACCTGGCCTATAACTCTTAGGAGAATTGTATACCCTTGCTTATAGAGCTGCAAGTTAAATTATTTATTCATTCATTTAAAACATACAGATTATCTTTTTTTTTTTTTTTTTTTTGGTGAGATGGAGTTTCCCTGTGTTGCTCAAGCTGGAGTGCAATGGCACAATCTCAGCTCACTGCAACCTCCACCTCCCGGGTTCAAGTGATTCTACTGCCCCAGCCTCCCAAGTAGCTGGGATTACAGGCACCTGCCACCACGCCCAGCTAATTTTTTGTATTTTTAGTAGAGATAGAGATAGGGTTTCACCATGTTGGCCAGGCTGGTCTCGAACTCCCGACCTCAGGTGATCCACCTGCTTTGGCCTCCAAGTGTTGGGGTTATGGGCATGAGCCACTGTGCCTGACCTAGGTTATCATTCTTGAGAAAAGTTTAAACATGTCATATAAATCAAAATATTGATGACATTAATTAATAGTACTTAATTCTGACTTTGACTTTTTTTCAATCCCATTAGTTTACTTTCATTTCTTACCTAAAATTTGTTTAGTGGTTAATAGAATTCTGAACCTAATATATCATCTTATTATTTTCTGCTCAATGTGTAACACTAGTCTGATTATTTTATTCTTTTTTTTTTTTTTTTTTTTTTGAGACAGAGTCTCACTCTGTTGCACAGGCTGGAATGCAGTGGTGAGATCTCCACTCACTGCAGGCTCCACCTCCCGGGTTCACGCCATTCTCCTGCCTCAGCCTCCCGAGTAGCTGGGACTACAGGTGCCCGCCACCACGCCCAGCTAATTTTTTGTTTTTGTTTTTTTTGTTTTTTGTTTTTTTTTAGTAGAGACAGGGTTTCACCGTGTTAGCCAGGATGGTCTCTATCTCCCCGCCTCAGCCTCCCAAAGTGCTGGGATTACAGGCGTGAGCCACCGCGCCTGGCTATTTTATCCTAATTTCTAAACCAATTTGCATCTATCGATTATAGCATGACCTTGTTTGTTTTAAAAATAATACATTCTTATTAAAACACATCAAAAACACAGCTACTTAAAAAATATTTAATAGATGAAAAGGGCCTATTTATACATATGACATTTCTGTCTCAGAAAGTTTGCAGTCAGAAGCATGAAATAGCAATAAAAGCATAAAATTCCCAGGAATAAGTTTAGGACAATATAAAATTTAAGTGAAGAGAACTTTAAAAATGCTATAAAAGGTGTAAAAGAAGACATAACTGAGGCTGGGCACAGTGGCTCATGCCTGTAATCCTAGCACGGTGGGAGGCCAAGGCAGGCAGATTACTTTAGGTCAGGAGTTCGAGACAAGCCTGGCCAATATGGTAAAACCCTGTTTCTACTAAAAATACAAAAATTGGTGGGGCACGGTGGCTCAGGCCTATAATCCCAGCACTTTGGGAGGCCAAGGTGGGCGGATCGCTTGAGGTCAGGAGTTCAAAACCAGCCTGGCCAACATGGTGAAACCTCGTCTCTACTAAAAATACAAAAATTAGGCGAGTGTGGTGGCACCCATCTGTAGTCTCAGCTACTCAGGAGGCTGGAGTGGGAGATTCACTTGAGCCTAGGAGGCAGAGGTTGCAGTGAGCCAAGATTGCGCCACTGTACTCCAGCCTGGGGTGACAGAGCAAGACTCCGTCTCAAAAAAAAAAAAAAAAAACCATAAAAAATGAAAATGCAAGTCTGGCCAATATGGTGAAGCCCTGTCTCTAGTAAAAAAATATACAAAAAAAAAAATTAGCTGAGCATGGTGGTGCGTGCCTGTAATCCCAGCTACTCGGGAGGCTAAGGCAGGAGAATTGCTTGAATCCAGGAGGCAGAGGTTGCAGTGAGCCGAGATTGCACCACTGCACTCCAGCCTAGGCGACAGAGCAAGACTCTGTCTCAGAAAAATAAAAATAAAAATAAAAATATAAAAGTTAGCTGAGCGTGGTGGCACGTGCCTGTACTCCCAGCTACTCAGGAGGCTGAGGCAGGAGAAATGCTTGAATCCAGGTGGTGGAGGTTGCAGTGAGCCGAGATGACGCCAGTGCACTCTGGCCTGTGCAACAGAGCAATCTCTGTCTCAAAAATAAATAAATAAATAAATAAATAACCAAAGGGAAAGACACACTATATATATCTATATCTATATCTATCTATCTATCTAGATAGATAGATAGATAGATAGATAGATAGATTTTTTTTTTTTTTTTGAGACGGAGTTTCGCTCTTGTTGCCCAGGCTGGAGTTCGATGGCGTGATCTTGGCTCACCACAACCTCCGCCTCCCAGGTTCAAGTGATTCTCCTGCCTCAGCTTCCTGAGTAGCTGGGATTACAGGCATGTGCTACCACGCCCGGCTAATTTTGTATTTTTAGTAGATACAGGGTTTCTCCATGTTGGTCAGGCTGGTCTAGAACTCCCGACCTCAGGTGATCTGCCTGCCTTGGCCTCCAAAGCGCTGGGATTACAGGCGTGAGCCAGCCACCATGCCCGGCCTAGGACATACCATACTCTTTTTTTTTTTTTTGGACGGAGTTTTACTCTTGTTGCCCAGGCTGGAGTGCAATGGCATGATCTTGGCTCACCACAGTCTCCACCTCCTGGGTCAAGCAATTCTCCTGCCTCAGCCTCCTGAGTAGGTGGGATTAAAGGCATGCGCCACCACACCCAGCTAATTTTGTATTTTGAGTAGAGATGGGGTTTCTCCATGTTGGTCAGGCTGGTCTGGAACTCCTGACCTCAGGTGATCTGCCTACCTCAACCCATCAAAGTGCTGGGATTACGGTGGTGAGCCATTGCACCTGACCAACACACCATACTCTTTTTTTTTTTTTTTTTTGAGACGGAGTCTCGCTCTGTCACCCAGGCTAGAGTGCAGTGGCACGATCTCGGCTCTCTGCAAGCTCCACCTCTCGGGTTCACGCCGTTCTCCTGCCTCAGTCTCCCAAGTAGCTGGGACTGCAGGCGCCCACCACCACGCCCAATTAATTTTTTTGTATTTTTAGTAGAGACAGGGTTTCACCGTGTTAGCCAGGATGGTGTTGGTCTCCTGACCTCCTGACCCACCCACCTCTGCCTCCCAAAGTGCTGGGACTACAGGCGTGAGCCACTGTGCCCGGCACACCATATTCTTGAGTATAAAAACTTACACCGGGATGGGCATGGAGGTTGTGGTGAGCCAAGATCACACCACTTGCACCCCATCCTGGGCCACAGAGCGAGACTCTGTCTCAAAAAAAATTCATATGCAAAATAAGAATAGCCGGCTGGGCTCAAGCAGTCCTCCCGCCTCAGCCTCTCAAAGTGCTGGGATTATAGGTGTGAGCCATTATTCGCAACTAAATTGATATACTTTTTAATGGGAAGCATTTTGATAATATCTAAAAATTTACAAAGTACATATTTCTTGATTCAGCAGTTTTTTGTTTAATTATGATTTTTTAAATTGTGATAAAATAGACATAGCATAAAATTTACCATTTTAACTATTTTTAAGTAACTGTGACTATACTTTTACTTTTTCTGGAATTACATATAAATAGAACCACACAATATGTAGAATTTTCTGTTTGGCTTCTTTCAGTTAATGTCATGTTTTTGAGATTCATCCATGTTATATCATATACTAGTACTTCATTCTTATTTATGGTTGAGTAGTAAACATTCCATTGTGTGGATATACCATATTTTGTTTATCCATTTCTCAGTTGATAGCCAGCCATTTGTCATTTTTGTTTTTTGACTATTAGGAATAATGTGCTATGAACATTAGCATATGGGTTTTTTGACATAAGTTTTCATTTATCCTGGGTAAATAAATACCTGAGAGTGAGATTGCTGAGTCGTAAATGTAAATTTTTTTTTTTTTTTTTTTTTGAGACGGAGTCTCGCTCTGTCGCCCAGGCTGGAGTTCAGTGGCGCGATTTCGACTCACTGCAACCTCTGCCTCCTGAGTTCAAGCGATTGTCCTGCCTCAGCCTCCTGAGTAGCTGGGATTACAGGCATGCATCACCACACCTGGCTAATTTTTGTATTTTTAATACTGGGATTACAGGCATGAGCCACCATGCCCAGCCGTAAATGAAATTTTTATAAAGAATTGATAAATTGTTTATCCATAGTGGCTATACCGTTTTGCATTCCCACCAGAAATGTATGAGAATTCTTTTTGTTTGACATTGTCACCAACACTTGGTATGGCTGTTAATTTTAAACATCCTAAATAAGTATATAGTAATATCTCATTGTGGTTTGTTTGTTTTGAGATAGGGTCTTGCTATTTTGCCCAAATTGGCCTTGAACTCCTGGATTCAAGTGATCCTTCTGCTTGGCCTCTTGAGTAGGCTGGGATTACAGGCATATGCCACCATGCCTGTCTTATTGTGGGTTTTTTTTTTTTTTATTTTTGAGACGGAGTCTCACACTGTCGCCCAGGGTGGAGTGCAGTGGCACGATCTTGGCTCACTGCAACCTCTGCCTCCTGAGTTCAAGCGATTCTCCTGCCTCAGCCTCCCGAGTAGCTGGGACTACAGGCATGCCACCACGTCCGGCTAATTTTTTGTATTTTTAGTAGAGACAGGGTTTCACCGTGTTAGCCAGGATGGTCTCAATCTCCTGACCTTGTGATCCACCCGCCTAGGCCTCCCAAAGTGCTGGGATTACTGGTGTGAGCCACCACACCTGGTCTCACTGTGGTTTTAATTTGCATTTCCCTGATGACTAGTGATGTTGAACATCTTTTCACGTGCTTATTTACTTACACCTTCTTCAGTCAAGTGTCTGTTCACATTTTTATCCCATTGTTTTTTGTGGATGTTTGTCTTATCAAATTGTCAGAGTTCTTTATATACAGTATTGTAAATATAAGCTATTTACCAGATAGATGTTTTACAACTTTTTTCTTCCACCTAGTGGCTTGTCTTTTCCCACCTTAATTCTTTTTTTTTTTTTTTGAGACAAGGTCTCGGTTTGTCACTCAGACTGGAATCCAGTGGTGGGAACATGGTTCACTGCAGCCTCGACCTCCCTGACTCAAGTGACCCTCCTGTCACAGCCCCACAAGTAGCTGGGACTACAAGCGGGTACCACCATACCTGGCTAATTTTTGTATTTTTTTTTTTTTTTTTGTAGAGATGGTTTTGCCATGTTGCCCAGGCTGGTCTTAAGCTCCTGAGCTCAAATGATTTATCTGCCTTGGCGCCTCCCAAAGTGCTGGGATGACAGGCATGAGCCACTGCTCCTAGACTGTATCTTTCCAAGAGCCAACATTTTAATTTTAATTTTTTTTTTTTTTTTTTTGAGACGCTCTCACTCAGTCACCCAGGCTGGAGTGCAGTGGCACGATGTTGGCTAAGTGTAATCTCTGCCTCCCGGGTTCAAGGGATTCTGCTGCCTCCAGCCTCCCGAGTAGCTGGGATTACAGGCATGTGCCACCACGCCTTCCTAATTTGTGTTATTTTTAGTAGAGATGGGGTTTCGCCATGTTGGCCAGGCTAGTCTCACTCCTGACCTCAGGTCATCCACCCGTCTCGGCCTCCCAGAGTGCTAGGATTACAGGCATGAGCCTCCTCACCCGGCCAAAATTTTAAGTTTTGATAAATGTTTTTGTCAGTTTTGTCTATTATGGCTCCTGCCTTTTGGAGCTTGTCCTTAAATGTTTGATAGAATTTACCAGTGAAGCCATCTGGGTCTGGAGTTTTCTTTGTGGGAAGGTTTTTAATTCTTTTATTTATTGATTAAAATTTTTTTATCTCTTTTTAAAATTTTCATCAAGTTTCTAACAAAGTTTTAAATACTGAATTGTTTTCCTTGATTGATACAGAGCTATTCAAGTTTCCTGTTTCTATTTGGGACAGTTTTGGTAATTTGTATCTTTTAAGGAATTTGTTCATTTCATTTCATTGGTGAAATCTATTTACATAAGGCTGTTCATATTATTTTCTTATGCTTTTACTCTCTTTAGAGTCTAGTGCTGTGCTCTTACTCATTTCTGATAATGGTAGTTTTTGTCTTCAATTTTCTTTATTAAAAAAAATTTTTTTTTGAGACAGAGTCTCACTCTATAGCCCAAACTGGAGTGCAGTGGCGCATTCTTGGCTCACTGCAACATCCACTTCTAGGGCTCAAGTGATTCTTGTGCCTCAGCATCCCAAGTAGATGGGAGTACAGGTGTGCACTATTAAGCTCAGCTAATTTTTTGTATTTTAGTAGAGACAGGGTTTCACCATGTTGCCCAGGGTGGTCTCGAACTCCTGAGCTCAGGTGATCCGGCCCCCTCAGCCTCCCAAAGTGCTGGGATTATAGACGTGAGCCACCACGTCTGGCCAGTTTTCTTTATTGTAATGTCTGTTTTATATTTAATTGATTTCTGTTGTGTATTTTTTTTTTTTTTTAAATTTTCACTCTTGTTGCCCAGGCTGGAGTGCAATGGTGTGATCTTGGCTCACCGCAACCTCTGCCTCCTGGGTTCAAATGATTCTCCTGCCTCAGCCTCCCAAATAGCTGGGATTACAGGCGCCCACCACCACGCCCAGCTTTTTTTGTATTTTTAGTAGAGATGGGGTCTCACCATGTTGGCCAGGCTGGTCTCGAACTCCTGACCTCATGATCTGCCTGCCTCGGCCTCCTAAAGTGCTGAGATTACAGGCGTGAACCACCGCGCCCGGACTCTCTCTCTTTTTTTAAAATAGATTTCTGCCTCCGTGTGTGTGTGTGTGTGTGTGTGTGTGTGTGTGTGTGTGTGCGTGTGCCCAGCCTTGTTCTTTAGTTTTTATATATGTATATGTTTTTTCTCCCTTTTTAAATGGATTTCTGTCTCTGTCTGTCTCTGTGTCTGTGTGTGTGTGTGTGTGTGTGTGTGTTTGTGTGTGTGTATGTGTTAGAAGTCTCACTGTCACGCAGAGTGAGACTCTCTGGATTTAATGTCCAAATATTGGATGTTTTTTGTAAATATCTGGGTTTTTTTTTTGAGACAGGTTCTTTCTCTGTTGCCCAGGCTGGAGTTTAGTGGCACAATCACGGCTCACTGCAGCCTTGACCTCCTGGGCTCAGGTAATCCTCCTACCTCAGCCTCCCAACTAGCTAGGACTACAAGATGCTGCAGGTTTTGCCATGTTGCCCAGGCTAGTCTTGGACTCCCGGGCTGAAGGGATCTGACCACCTTGGCCTCCCAAAGTGCTGGGATTACAGGTGTGAAGTACTATAGCAGACGAAACATCTTATTGTTCTCAATGTTTTTATTTGATTCTGTTATCAGAGAACACATTCTTTGTCATTTTAGTCTTCTAAAATTTACTGTCTCATGTTTTATGGCCTACCTTATGATCTTTCTTGGTGATTGTACCTGTACACCTGGAAAGAATGTCTAGTTGTTTTTTCAGTTGAATAGTATGAGTTTATTAGCAAGGGATTGGTAGTAACCTAAATGCTCATCCATCCAAGTGAGCAGGTAAAATCAATGATGGCATTTATGTGCAGTGGAATACTATGTAGTGTTAAAAATATTGAGTGTATTGGTTGAATAATCTATGGCATATCCACATAATGAATTATTATGCAAATAAAAGGATTAAAAATAGGGAGGGTTTTTGTGTGTGTGTGTGACAGAGTCTCACTGTGTCACCCAGGCTGGGGTACAGGGGCATGATTGTAGCCTACTGCAGCCTCAACCTCCCCAGCTCAAGTGACTCTCCTGCCTTAGGCTCCAGTGTAGCTGGGACTACAGGCATGCACCTCTATGCCTGGCTCATTTTTAAAAACTTTTTCTAGAGATGGAGTCTCACTGTGTTTCCCAGACTAGTCTTGAACTCCAGGCCTCAAACAGTCCTCCCACTTTGGCCTCCCAAAGTATTCAAGTATTAGGCTTATAGACGTGAGCCACCCTGCTAGTCCAGAAAATTTTTACTATACCTTTATAGGAGATAATTTTTAAGATACATTGTTGCAGCTGGGTGTATGGTGGCTCAGGCCTGTAATCCCACCACTTTGTGAGGTGAAGGTGGGAAGATTGGTTGAGCCCAGGAATTCAAGACCAGCCCTGGCAACATAGCAAGACCTTGCTTCTACAAAAAATTTAAAAAATTGGCTGGGCGCGGTGGCTCACGCCTGTAATCCCAGCACTCGGGAGGCCAAGGTGGGCGGATCACCTGAGGTCAGGAGTTTGAAACCAGTCTGGCCAACATAGTGAAACCCTGTCTCTACTAAAAAGAAAAAAATCAGCCGGGCGTGGTGGCAGGCGCCTGTAATCCCAGCTACTCGGGAGGCTGAGGCAGGAGAATTGCTTGAACCTGGGAGGCGGAGGTTGCAGTGAGCCAAGATCGCGCCATTGCACTCCAGCCTGGGGGATAAGAGTGAGACTTCGTCTCAAAAAAAAAAAAAAATTAAAAGAATTAGCTAGACATGGTGCTAACCTGTAGTTCCAGCTACTTGGGTGGCTGAGGCAGGAGGATTGCTTGAGCCCGGTGGGTCAAAGCTGCAGTGAGCTGTGGGTGTACTCTGGGTGTACTCTGGGTGACAGAGCGAGACCCTCTCTCAAAAGAAAAGATACATTGGTTGGCTGGGCACAGTGGCTTACGCCTTTAATCCCAGTGCTTTGGCCTCCCAGGAGGATCGATTGAGGCTAGGAATTCAAAACCAGCCTGTGCAACATAGCAAGACCTGTTCTCTTCCAAAAATTTAAAAAAAGAAAAAATGAGCTGGGCATGTTTGTGCTCACTTTTAGTCCTAACTACTCGAGAGGCTCAGGTGAGAGGGCAGCTGCCATAAGCTATAATTGTACTGCTGCACTCCAGCCTGGGTGATAGAGTCAGACCCTGTCTCTTAAAAAAAAAGCAAAAAATCTGTCTCTTAAAAAAAAAAATTAAATACGGACCAGGTGCAGTGGCTTGCGCCTGTAGTCTCAGCTATTTAGGAGGCTGAGGTAGGAGGATCAGTTGCGTGTAGCAGTTTGAGCAGCCATAATCTGCCACTGCACTGTATCCTGGGTGACAGATTGAGACCCTTTCTTTAAAAAATGTTCTTTAAGTACTGTTTTTAATCTCATGTTATTTCTCTCCCATTTTGTTTTCATTGGTTGTACAGACAGAGCGCCAAGTGTCTCGCTGGTTTGTTCAGTGCCTTCGGGAACAGTCCATGCTGCTAGAAATTATTTTCCTTTATTATGCATACTTTGAGATGGCACCCAGTGACTTACTTGTATTAACCAAGATGTTTAAAGAGCAAGGATTTGGTAGTAGGCAGACCAATAGGCACCTGGTGGATGAGACTATGGATCCTTTTGTAGATCGGATTGGGTAAGTCAGTGAATTGAACATCATGGAACTTGCAGTGTTTAGAGCATTGATACTATAGTGGTATGTAAGCAGGTAGGGGGTAGGTGTACTTTTCACTTAATCGGTGGGGAAATAGGTCTACTGCCACGTTCCCTTTCATGCAGGGAGTAAAGACTGGGATTGAGAGAGGACTCTCAAAATGAGTATTGTAATCTGCTCTTTTACTTACTGTCTTCATTTAAGGGGTTCATTCATTCATTGAACAAAAATTCGTTGAACAACTATTGTAGGCCAAGCACTATGCAAATGCTAACAAGATAGTGATAAATAAGGCATATATGCTTGCTCTTCTCTTTCAGGTGATAGTCTATGGACTTTAAATTTCTTGTTTTTTCTCTATTTATGACCGTGGATATATCCATAACTGGGGGCCTGGTCACTCTGTGAGCAAAGATATATACCAGTTAATTTTGTGTGTGTGTGGTATAGATGGGGTGTCACTTTGTTGTCCAAGATAGTCTTGAACTCCTGGCCTCAAGTGATCCTCCCACCTCTGCCTCTCAAAGTGTTAGGATTATAGGCGTTAGCCACTATGCCTGGCCCAATAGGTTTTTTTGATATCGCAGTGTCTTATATCTCACCTTTGTCTCTAGTGAGTTTCAGAACGGGATATATAACATGGTGATACTATTTTTCTTTCTAGCTACTTCAGTGCCCTCATCCTGGTGGAGGGCATGGATATCGAGTCCTTGCATAAGTGTGCTTTGGATGACAGAAGAGAACTGCATCAGTTTGCGCAGGATGGGCTTATTTGTCAGGTGACTTGGAATAGCCTCTTTTTTTTCAGAGGGTTTATAAGTTAGTAGTAGCTTTCAATTATTGAACTGCTGCATAAAATTTTCAGTGTTGTGGAACTACATTGTTCAGTGATGCAGAGGTTCTACAATGTTTTCGTTTTGTTTTGTTTTGGTTTTTTGAGATGAAGTCTAGCTCTGTCACCATGCTGGAATGCAGTGGCGTGGTCTTGGCTCACTGCAACTTCCACCTCCTGGGTTCAAGTGATTCTTCTGCCTCAGCCTCCCAAGTAGCTGGGATCACAGCTAATTTTTGTATTTTTAGTAGAGACTGGGTTTCACCATTTTGGCCAAGAGGTCTCAATCTCCTGACTTCGTGATCCTCCCGCCTAAGCCTCCTAAAGTGCTGGGACTACAGGCGTGAGCCACCATGCCCAGTCTGTTTTGTTTTTTTTGAGACAGAGTCTTCCTCTATCACCCAGGCTGGAGTGCAGTGGTGCCATCTCGGCTCACTGCAACCTCCACCTCCTGGGTTCAAGAGATTCTTGTGCCTCAGCCTCTGGAATAGCTGGGATTACAGGCACATGCCACCACGTCCAGTTAATTTTTATATTTTTAATAGAGATGGGGTTTCACTATGTTGGCCAGGCTAGTCTTGAACCCCTGACCTCAAGTGATCCACCTGCCTCAGCCTCCCAAAGTGCTGGAATTACAGGCTTGAGCCACCGTGCCCGGCCTCTACAATGTTAAACAGTTGATTAGACCTGGAGGAAATCTCAGGTTCGTCAGTCATCTATACCAAGGTGATAATTGAGTCTGTGAGAGTGATTCATTCATGGAGATGGTACAAGGACAAAAGAGGCCCAAGGAGAAAACCCTGGGGATTGACTGCATTTAAGGAGCCTGTGAAAGAAGAGGAAAGGGGAAAAACATTGAGATGAGATGGTTAGGAAGATAGAAAATGAAGATAGAGCATAGAAAGTTTGAGAAGGATCAGGATAAAATTTCTAAGGAATGTATCGTAACATGCATTTTATAATCTTAAGACTACATAAAATTAGTAGACAAATTTTGTGGGTAAAGGAAGAGTAATTGTAATTGAGGGGTTTATTAGTGAGGTGACTGGGGGTTTGAGAAGAGTGAAATATCAGAATGAGAGAGTGAGGCCACTCTTTATGGCTTGCTTATTGAGCGTGATGAAGAATCTGGTCGAGGGATATTAACACTTTCTGTTCGGAGATGTAGATGTGTTTTCTTCTCTCACTAGGATATGGACTGTTTAATGTTGACCTTTGGGGACATTCCACATCATGCCCCAGTGCTTTTGGCCTGGGCTCTCCTCCGTCACACTCTGAACCCAGAAGAGACAAGCAGTGTGGTCCGGAAGATAGGTGGCACAGCCATCCAGCTGAATGTGTTTCAGTACTTGACCCGATTGCTCCAGTCCCTTGCCAGTGGGGGAAATGATGTGAGTTTAAGGCTCTGGGTGGTGAGCATGGGAGTGAGCCGGCAGAAGCATTATAATAATGTAATAGTTATAATGGTGGTGTGGATAATGGGATCATGTTGTAACTAACCTTTTGAGAGCATTTAGACATCATCAGGCATTATTTATAATGTTTATGAACATTATCTTTTTGAATCCTTGTAACACTTCTTCGTGTTAAAGATTATCATTCTGTTTTATACATTAGGAAATTGAGACTCAGAGAGATGTAATTTGCCCAAAGCAACAAAAATGCCAGTAAATGGTAGATAACGGTTTGAACTCTTTGCCAGTAAAGTATGTCTTAAGAAGATAGCTTTGGCCATATTGACTGGAGAAGTCACTTTCAGGGGACTTAATCAACTGTAACAAGATGAATTAGAAATTCTCTTGAGTCTTATGTTGGGGTTTGAGTGGCATGGTTTAGAGAGCTTGTTTGTTTGTTTGTTTGTTTGTTTTTGAGACAGAGTCTTGCTCTGTCACCCAGGCTGGAGTGCAGTGGCACGATCTTGGCTCACTGCAACCTCTGCCTCCCAAGTTCAAGCGATTCTCCTGCCTCAGCCTCCCAAGTAGCTGGGACTACGGGTGCCTGCCACAACGCCTAGCTAATTTTTTGTATTTTTAGTAGAGACGGGGTTTTACCATCTTGGCCAAGCTAGTCTTGAACTCCTGACCTCGTGATCCACCCGCCTCGGCCTCCCAAAGTGCTGGGATTACAGGCGTGAGCCACCGTGCCCAGCTAGTGAGCTCGTTTTGACATGGTGAAATGAAACCTCAGGTTCAGCAATTATTTTTTCCTTTCCTTTTTCTTTTTTTTGAGACTGAGTCTTGCTCTATTGCCCAGGCTGGAGTACAGTGGATCTCAGCTCACTGCAACCTCTGCCTCCCGGGTTCAAGTGATTCTCGTGCCTCAGCCTCCCAAGTAGCTGGGATTACAGGCACCTGCCACCATGCCCGGCTATTTTTTGTATTTGTAGTAGGGATGGGGTTTCACCATGTTGGCAAGGCTGGTCTCAAACTACTGATCTCAAGTGATCTGCCCACCTCAGCCTCCCAAAGTTCTGGGATTACAGGTGTGAGCCACCGTGCCCGGCCAAATCAGCAATTATACTCCTTGGTTGGTACGCATTTGCCCAAAGGCGTTGAAAACATATCCACACAAAAACATACACACAGACCTTTATAGCAGCTTTATTCGTAATTACTAAAACTCGAAAGCAACTAAAAGGTCCTTCAGTAAGTATAACTAAACTGTTGTACATCTAGATGATGGAATATTTATATACTGCTAAATGAGCCATCAAACCATGAAAAGACATGGAGAAGACATTAAATGCATATTAGTAAATGAAGCCAATCTAAAAAGGCTTCATAGTATATGATTCCAACTACGTGACATTCTGGAGAAGGCAAAACCTTGGAGACATTAAAGAGAATAGTGGGTTGCCAACGGTCTAGTGGAGCAGGAGGTCTGAATTAGGTAGAACACAGAGGATTTCACAGAGGATTTTTAGGGCAGTGAAGCTATTCCATGTGATACTACAATGGTGGATACATGTCATACTTGTCCAAAAATCCATACAATGTACAACACAAGAGTGACCCTTAGTGTAAACTGTGGACTTTGGGTGATAATAATAATGCCAATTGAAGTTATTCAGTTGTAACAATTGTACTGTTTTGGTGGGATGCTATTTATGTGTGGAGGCAGAGGATATATGGGAAATCTTTGTACTTTTCTGCTCAGTTTTGCTATGAACCTAAAACTGCTCTACAAAACAAAGCCTATTTAAAAGGAAGAAAACTCAGCCAGCAGGCCCTACTCGTTGTCACTGGTTGGCTTATCTTGGTGGCCATTCAGGTGCTATATCAATTCCCATTACCACATGCAGACTGTTTACTGTAGGCTGGATATGGTTTTCTTTTTCCCCACACAAACTTTGATGATTTTGGCAATAATTCCCTTCTGATTTTATTCTTGACTTTGTTGTAATATTTGTGGTTCCTGCTTTCTCTTTTCTCCCTTGGTCTTCCTGATCTTGTAACTAAATTAGGAAAATTATGAAGCTTCAGATTTCCTTCCCATTTGTTTACAAAGAATATATGAATGCGATAGGATTATGCCGAACCTGGGGAAGAGTTGTATTACTCAGAATGATTCACTGACTCCTTTGTCATTCCAGTGCACCACCAGCACTGCATGCATGTGTGTCTATGGACTGCTCTCTTTCGTTCTGACCTCGTTGGAGCTGCACACCCTGGGCAATCAGCAGGTCAGTGTCTGGCTTTCATGAAGCTGTCTCTACTGCCCAGCTTTGCAATCAAGTCCCAAAAATATACCCCCATTGGATCTGATATTATTTACCTCATGTGTTAATTTGTTTACTGGCACTCATTTTTTTATTTACTTTTTTCTTTTTTTTTGAGATGGAGTCCTGCTCTGTCCCCCAGGCTGGAGTGTGGTGGCACGATCTTGGCTCACTGCAGCGTCCGCCTCCTGGGTTCGAGCGATTCTCCTGTCTCAGTCTCCTAAGTAGCTGGAATTACAGGCGTCCGCCACCTTGCCCAGTTAATTTCTGTATTTTTGGTAGAGACGGGCTTTCACCATGTCGACCAGGCTGGTCTTAAACTCCTGACATCAGGCGATCCGCCTGCCTCGGCCTCCCAAAGTGCTGGGATAACAGGCATGAGCCACTGCACCCGGCCTTGTCTTCATTTACTGTTATATAGGTGATAAATGTTAATTGTAGAAAAAACAGAAAATGCTGTAAAAAGAAAAAAGTATAGTCCTATCACATAGATAACTTGATAACATTTTGATGTATTCCCTTCCATTTTCCAAATACGTATATACATGAAAATATAGTAATTCTTCTCTAGAAATTGAACAACAATGGATTTACTATTTTTAAAATTTCTGTTTATTTATTTATTTATGCATTTATTTTTTTTGAGGCGGAGTCTTGCTCTGTTGCTCAGGCTAGAGTGCAGTGACGCGATCTCGGCTCACTGCAACCTCTGCCTCCTGGGTTCAAGCGATTCTTCTGCCTCAGCCTCTTAAATAGCTGGGATTAGAGGTGCCTGCCACCGCGCCCGGCTAATTTTTTTATTTTTGGTAGAGACGGGGTTTCACCATCTTGGCCAGCTGGTCCCAAACTCCTGACCTCGTGATCCACCTGCCTTGGCTTCCCAAAATGCTGGGATTACAGGTGTGAGCCACTGCACCTGGCCCTGTTTGTTTATTTTTTAAGAAACCAGGTCTCAGTATATTGCCCAGGCTGGTCTCAAACTCCAGGACTTCTCACCTCGGCTTCCCAAATATATACCGTTTTGTAACCTCATTTTTTTTACTCTGTAGTACATCTGTCCCAGACATTTGTTGGTGCTAGTAAGTCTTCTGCAGCAGGTTGTTGTTTTTTTTTTTTTTTTTTTTGAGACAGGGTCTCACTGTGTTGCCCAGGCTGGTCTTGAACTCCTGGGCTTAAGCTGTCCATCCCTGTCAGCCTCCCACAGTGCTGGGATTACAGGTGTGAGCTATGGCACCTAGCCTAAAATGTTTTTTAAGATGAAACATTTCAAACTTATACCAGAGAAGACAAAATTACATAATGAACCCCATGAGCCCATCACCAGCTTCTACCAGTTATCATCTCATGGATAATCCTTTTTCTGCCCCTTCCCTCCTTGATTATTTCAAAGCAAATGTCAGATACTATTTAACTTAATCTACAGACATTTCAACAAAACTTAACATTACAACCGTTATCACACAAAAGCCCCCCAGAAAACATTGTCTCTTTTTTTTTTTTTTTGGAGACAGGCTGGAGTGCAGAATACAGTGGCGCGATCTCGTCCCACTTCAACCTGCACCCCCTGGGCTTAGATGATCCATTCACCTTAACCTCCTGAGTAGCTGGGACTACAGGCGTGTGCCACCATGCTCAGCTAATTTTTGTGTTTTTCTTGAAGAGATGGAGTTTTGCCATGTTGGCCAGGCTGGTCCCGAACTCCTGACCTCAGGTGATCCCACTGCCTCCACCTCCCAGAGTGCTGGGATTATAGGTGTGAGCCACTATGCCTGGCTGAAGTTATTTTTTTTATGCTCAGTCCCATATTTGGCCTGTAACAGCTTTCTAAATCTGTTTGACACTACCCTTATATATTTTGATAGCTCTGTTGCTTTCTTGTCTTTTTTATTTTCTCCGTTGCTTACTTTTTAAATTTAATTAATTAATTTCTTTTTCTTTTCCTTTTTTTTTTTTTTTTTGAGACGGAGTCTTGCCCTTGTCCAGGCTGGAGTGCGGTGGCATGATCTTGGCTCACTGCAAGCTCTGCCTCCTGAGTTCATGCCATTCTCCTGCCTCAGCCTCCCGAGTAGCTGGGACAACAGGCGCCTGCCACCATGCCTGGCTTTTTTTTGTATTTTTAGTAGAGATGGGGTTTCACCGTGTTAGCCAGGATGATCTCGATTTCCTGACCTCGTGATCCGCCCGCCTCAGCCTCCCAAAGTGCTAGGATTACAGGCGTGAGCCACCGCGCCTGGCCTTATTTATTTTTCTTTAAGACGGAGTCTCGCTCTGTCGCCCAGGCTGGAGAGTAAGTAGCGTGATCTCCACTCACTTCAAGTCTGCCTCCTGGGTTCAAGCAATTCTCCTGCCTCAGTCTCCTGAGTAACTGAGTTTACAGGTGTACGCCACCACGTCTGGCGAATTTTTGTATTTTCAGTAGACGGGGTTTTGCCATGTTGGCCAGGCTGGCCTCAAACTCCTGACCTCAAGTGATCCGCCTGCCTCAGCCTCCCAAAGTGCTGGGATTACAGGCATTAGCCACTGCACCAGGCCTATGTTTATTTTTTATTGTTTTGAAACGGAGTCTCACTCTGTCGCCCAGGCTGGAGTACAGTGGCGTGATTTCAGATCGCTGCAAACTCTTGTCTCCTGGGTTCAAGTGATTTTCCTGCCTCATCCCCTTGAGTAGCTGGGATTACAGGTGTGCGCCACCATGTCTGGCTAGTTTTTGTAATTTTAGTAGAGACAGTGTTTCCCCTTGTTGGCCAGGCTGATCTCAAACTACTGACCTCAAGTGATCTGCCTGCCTTGGCCTGTCAGAGTGCTTGGGTTATAGGTGTGAGCCACTGTGCCTTGCCTCTTTTCTCTGTTGCTTTCTGGTACAAGATGTTACAGGATTATCTTGTAAGATTCTTGTGTAAGACCTGAAATCTGCTTATTCTAATAGCCTTGGTTATTTTTAGTGGGAAATGATATTTGATGAGTATCCTGAAAACTAAATCACTCTGTTCATTTTTAGTGACTAGGAACTTGTTTTGTAAATTGACTAACTTGGTGAAAATTAAAATTTTTTATCATTAGAGAGAAATGAGTTTGTGTTGAATTGAAAGACTCAATTTCTAGAGGCTGGGTGTGGTGGCTTACTCCTGTAATCCCAGCACTTTGGGAGACCAAAGAGGGCAGATCATCTGAGGTCAGGAGTTTGAGATTAGCCTGGCCAACATGGTGAAACCCCATCTTTACTAAAAATACAAAAATTAGCTGGACATGGTGGCAGGCGCCTGTAATCCCAGCTACTTGGGAGGCTGAGGCAGGAGAATTGCTTGAACCCGGGGGGCGGAGGTTGCAGTGAGCTGAGACTGTGACATTGCACTCCAGCCTGGGCAACAAGAGCAAAACTTTGTCTCCAAAAAAAAAAAAGACTCAATTTCTAAAGGTCATGGGCATAGAACAAGGTTTGTGTACTTTGGGAGAATTCTGGTTACTTTTGACCTGACCTTACACCTGGAGGATTGGTATTAACATATTAGGGCCAAGCACTGTGGCCCACACCTGTAATCCCAGCACTTTCCGAGGCCAAGGTGGGTAGAACACCTGAGCTCAGGAGTTCAGGACCAGCCTGGGCAACATGATGAAGCCCTGTCTCTACCAAAAATACAAAAAGTTAACTGAGTGTGGTGGCGCGCACGTGTAGTCCCAGCTACTCAGGAGGCTGAGGTAGGATCACTTGCCTGGGAGACACAGGTTTCAGTGTGCTGAGATGGCGTCGCTGCACTCCAACCTGGGAGACAGAGTGAGACCCCATCTCAACAACAACCAAAAAAACAGAGTTGCAGGAGTCCTGGTACTTGGATTTTTTTTTTTTTTTTTTTTTAGACGGAGTCTCGCTCTGTCACCCAGGCTGGAGTGCAGTGGCGCGATCTCGGCTCACTGCAAGCTCCGCCTCCCGTGTTCACGCCATTCTCCTGCCTCAGCCTCCCCAGCAGCAGGGACTACAGGCGCCCGCCGCCATACCCAGCTAATTTTTTTGTATTTTTAGTAGAGACGGGTTTCACCATGGTAGCCAGGATGGTCTCGATCTCCTGACCTTGTGATCTGCCTGCCTCGGCCTCCCAAAGTGTTGGCATTATAGGCATGAGCCACCGTGCCCGACCAGGTACTTGGATTTTAAAGAAATCATTCAGTGAGCATTTATTAGATTCCCTGTGTATGCTAAGCTCTGTGCTAAGCGCTAAGGATAAAACAATTAAAGACATTGTTCTTGGCCAGGCACAGTGGCTCATGTCTGTAATCCCAGCACTTTGGGAGGCCAAGGCAGGCGGGCCACCTGAGGTCAGGAGTTTGAGACCAGCCCAGCCAACATGGTGAAACTAAAATGGCAGAGATGAGCTGGGCGTGGTGGTGGGCACCTATAATCCCAGTTACTCGGGATGCTGAGGCAGGAGAATTGCTTAAACCGGGGAGGCGGAGGTTGCAGTGAGCCGAGATTGTGCTATTACACTCCAGTCTGGGTGAAAGACCGAAACTTCATCTAAAAAAAAGAAAGACATTGTTTTTGCCCTCTAGGAGAGCAGTTTAGCTGAGCCTAGTAATAACTTACATTTATGTGGCATTTTTGAATTTACAGTCTACTTCCTCATACATTATCTCATTTAATCCTTATTTATAATCCTTACTTATAATCCTACTTTGAAGCAGAAATTACTGTCCCCATTTTACAGATAAAGCATTTCTGGCTCAGAGAGATGAATTTGTCTAACATTGTACAGCAGACACAACACACCCTGGACAGGATATAATCTTACTTTTTAAACCCAGAGTTCTTGGCTGGGCATGGTGGTACACTTCTGTAACCCAGTGCTTTGGGAGGCGGAGGCGAGAAGATCACTTAAACCCAGGAGTTAAAGGCTGCAGTGAGCTATGATGGTGCCACTGCACTCCAGTCTTGGCAACAGAGCAAGACCCTGTCTCTAAAAATAGATAACATACCTACTTACATACTTATATACAAAAACGGTAAAAAGAGGCTGGTCTCACACCTGTAATCCCAGCACTTTGGGAGGCTGAGGCGGGCGGATCACGAGGTCAGGAGATCGAGACCATCCTGGCTAACATGGTGAAACCCCGTCTCTACTAAAAATACAAAAAATTAGCTGGGCGTGGTGGCAGGCGCCTGTAGTCCCAGCTACTCAGGAGGCTGAGGCAGGAGAATGGCGTGAACCTGGGAGGCGGAGCTTGCAGTGAGCCAAGATCGCGCCACTGCACTCCAGCCTGGGCGACAGAGTGAGACTCAAAAAAAAAAAAAAAAAAAAAAAGGTAAAAAGGAAGAAACAAACCCACTCACCCAGAATTCTTGCACTCTAGTCTGGGTGATAGAGCATGACCTTGTCTTTAAATATAAATAAATAAATAAGTCAACCAACCCATCCACCCTTAAGCAGTTTTTTTGTTTGTTTGTTTTTTGAGACAGAGCCTCACTTTGTTGCCCAGGCTAGAGTACAGTGGCATGATCTCGGCTCACTGCTACCTCCATTGCCTGGGTTCAAGTGATTCTCATGCCTCAGCCACTCAAGTAGCTGGGATTATAAGGTGTGCGCCACCACACCTGGCTAACTTTCGTATTTTTAGTAGACATGGGGTTTCACCATGTTGGCCAGGCTGGTCTCGAACTCCTGACCTCAAGTGATCTGCCGGCCTTGCCTCCCAAAGTGTTAGGATTATAGGGGTGGCCCCCACACCCAGCCAACCAACCAATTCTTAACCAGTTTTTTCTGACTTTCTATATTAAGGTGTTTATTTTATTTTATTTATTTATTTGTTTTCAAGAAGAGGATTTACTATGTTCCCCAGGCTGCTCTGGAACTCCTGGATTGAAGTGGTCTTCCCACTTTAGTGTTTATTGGTGTTTTGGTGTTTTTATTTCAACAGAATACAATAATAAAGATAGACTGGTTCAGCTAGGGAAAATGATCCATTTTTCTTCCCTTCCTCAAACAGGATATAATTGATACAGCATGTGAAGTATTGGCCGACCCTTCTCTTCCGGAACTGTTCTGGGGAACAGTAAGTATGTCAGAGAGAGTCACTGCATAGCAAAAGAATTGTTCAAACACTTGTTTTCTTACAGGTTTTGTACTAAGCATTCATGTGCATTTTCTCATTTAATCTTCATAAAAACGTATGAAGTAGATACTATTACTGTCCCTCTTTTAATGTGATGACACATGACACTTAGAGATGTGAAGTGATTTGCTCAAAGTCACACATAGAAAGAGGCAGCCAGAACCCAGTTCTGTCTGACTTGAGTCTGCAGCCCACGTTATTACCAGTGTGCTGTCTCCAGCCCACCAGGTTTTTTTTTTTGTTTTGGTTTTGTCTTGTTTTTTGAGATGGAGTCTTGCTCTGTTGCCCAGGCTGGAGTGCAATGGCGCGATCTCGGCTCACTGCAACCTCTGCCTCCCGGGTTCAAGCAGTTCTCCTGCCTCAGCCTCCCAAGTAGCTGGGATTACAGGCGCCCGCCACCATGCCTGGCTAATTTTTTGTATTTCTAGTAGAGACGGGGTTTCACTATGTTGGCCAGGCTGGTCTCGATCTCCTGACCTCGTGATCTGCCAGCCTCGGCCTCCCAAAGTGCTGGGGTTACAGGCGTGAGCCACTGAGCCCGGCCTTCCAACCCACCAGTTTTTTGTTTTTATATATGGCAGTGTTTTAGACACCAGTGTTCCTGCAGCTCTTGAAAGTGCTTTTAGGAGATTGTAACCGTAGCCTATGAGTTGTCAGGGTATTGTAACTAGTTAGAGTGAGAATTTGGCTTTGAAAAGAACAATTTCTCACCAGTACTTGCTCTGAGCATTGACAACAGTCTCAAACCTCAAGATCCAACTGATGATCTACCTGTGTATTTTACCCTCTTTTTTGTAAGATGCTGTCTGATGTTATAGAACCACAGTGCTCCTGGGAGAAGGAGAAGCTGGTATGAAACAGTATCTAGAGTGAGGATCTGTGGTTGCTGTGTGGTAGCCAACTGCTGACATAGTTGGGTAATTTGCACTTTAGTGGAAACATGTAATGCACAGGTGAACAATACTGTCTTCCCATAGAAAGGATGGCTGGGAAGAGGTCACTGGATAGAATAGTAATCTTTTTTTAGGTCCCTCACTAAATCAATTATTTTATATCCTTTTTCAGTGGAAATATGAAAGTCTTAAATTATTAAGGAGGGATGATATCTGTCTAAAAGGAAGGATTAATTCTAAATTTTCTCATGATTGCTGGGAAATTTGGAGAGATGTTAATTTGTGGATAATGTGAAGATCAGTGATTTGTCCCCTTCCACCACAGGAGCCAACTTCTGGCCTTGGGATCATTCTGGACAGTGTGTGTGGAATGTTTCCCCACCTTCTCTCCCCACTCCTGCAACTGCTCCGAGCCCTGGTATCAGGGAAGTCCACAGCCAAAAAGGTAAGTTGCTTAGTCAGATAAGTAAAGAGAATGGGAGATTCTTTATGGAGACTTTATTAGGAATCTTTTTTGCTTTCCACATTGCAGTTCTACTGCCATGACAAAAGTTTGTCTGAAGGTGAATGAAAGATACCAAAGATAGCACCTCAATTCTAAAAAATTAAATAATCTTTTCATTAAGTACCTATTGTAGATACTGTGGGACTAAGACTAAGTATAAAGTTCCTTAATATCTAGTTGGAAGTTACTAGATATAAGAAATAAATAGCTAAGAGCCAGGTGGTACAGAGTAAATGTCATTTGAGCAATAAAGACCATACTGTTCAGGAGAGATAACTGCCCTTGTGGAGTGATGGGGACTTGAGTTGAGTGTTAAAGCCCAGTGAAGATTTGGCGAGGGGCGCAGAAGGCAGTTCCAAGAACAGTCACAGTGGTGGGCTTGCAAGAAGTTTGAGAGTCTGGTTGAAAGAGCAGACTGTGGGACCTCTCCTTGCTTATCCTGGAGGGAAATGTGTGATGGTTTTTTCTGTTTTGGCAGGTGTATAGCTTCTTGGATAAGATGTCTTTCTACAATGAACTTTATAAACACAAGCCTCATGATGTGATCTCCCATGAAGATGGAACTCTTTGGCGGAGACAAACACCCAAACTCCTTTATCCCCTTGGTGAGATAAAGAGATCCCCCTTTTATGACAGCTTTTTTTTTTTTTGATGTCTTGCTCTGTCACCCAAGCTGGAGTGCAGTGGCAAGATCATAGCTCACTGCAGCCTCAAATTCTTGGGCTCAAGTGATTCTCCCACCTTAGCCTCCCAAAGCACTGGGATTATAGACGTGAGCCAATGCATCCAGGCAGTTACACTCTGAGGCTCACATCTGTACCAGGTGCTCAAAGAGGAAAATATACAGGGAATAGCCTCACCGTTTTAATCCTGGCATCATCACCACTGACTTCTCCAGTCATCTAGGCACTAACAGTCCTATGAGGTACTGTTGTTATCATCATTTGAATGGAAAACTGTTCTTTGCACTCAAGTGATTTTCAGACATATAGAAAGAGTCACTTGTCGGCCAGGTGTAGTGGCTCACGCCTGTAATCCCAACACTGGGATTACAGGCCAAGGTGGGCGGATCACGTGAGGTCGGGAGTTCGAGACCAGCCTGACCAACATGGAGAAACCCCGTCTCTACTAAAAATATAAAATTAGTCGGGCGTGGTGGTGCATGCCTGTAATCCCAGCTACTCGGGAGGCTAAGACAGGAGAATCGTTTGAACTTGGGAGGCAGAGGTTGCAGTGAGTTGAGATCGCGCCATTGCACTCCAGCCTGGGCAGCAAGAGCAAAACTCCATCTCAAAAAAAAAAAGACACTTGTCTACATGACAAGAACTTTTTTGTGTATTTTAGTTGAAAAAGCTTTAGGAATGTTAGCTACTAAGAAGAAAGCCTGTGAATCCCAGAACTTTGGGAGGCCAAGACAGGCAAATCACTTGAAGCCAGGAGCTCAAGACCAGCCTGGTCAACATGGAAAACCCCATCTCTACTAAAAATACAAAAATTAGCCAGGAGTGGTGGTGCGCACCTGTAGTCCCAGCTACTTGGGAGGCTGAAGCACGAGAATCACTTGAACCCAGGAGGTGGAGGTTGCAGCGAGCCGAGATCGCGCCACTGCACTCCAGCCTGGGCAAGAGGGAGACTCTGTCTCAAAAAAAAAAAATGTCTGTGAGTTTGTGTATCTCTGTGTGTTTAAAATATTGATGTCTGGTAGAGGAGTTACATTTTTTATTTATCCTCAGATATTAGACTAATTTATCTTTCTCTCTCAGGGGGTCAAACCAACCTTCGCATACCTCAAGGCACTGTGGGCCAAGTAATGTTGGATGATAGGGCATACCTGGTACGCTGGGAATACTCCTATAGCAGCTGGACCCTCTTTACCTGCGAGATTGAAATGTTGCTTCATGTTGTTTCAACTGCAGGTAAGGTCAGCTTTCGGAAACATCACCTACGAGGAGGAAAAGTGGATATGCTTGGAGGATTTAGAAAATAGAATATCTACATAAAATTTAGAACCATCAAGATTGTGATTTGTCTGATTTGTGTATCTGGGTCTCAGAGACTGTTCAGTGATCTTAAAGGGGTTGTTTGCCGTGAGGTCACAGGCTGTCTTTCTTCTCAGATGTGATTCAGCACTGCCAGCGAGTCAAACCCATCATTGATCTCGTCCATAAGGTCATCAGTACAGACCTGTCGATAGCAGACTGTCTCCTGCCCATCACATCTCGCATCTACATGCTGCTGCAGCGGTGAGTCTGTCTTGGCTGACCCTCAGCTGCCCAGTAGAGATCTCAGCACTTGTGCCCTCAGTTTGCAGGAACCTGGACACATACCCACTGGGTTAAAGTTCGCGCATATTCCTTGGTTTTCCTGTTTTTATATCTGTGAGGGTTTTCCTGTTTTTATATGTCTGCTGAGGGGAGAGACTGGGGAGAGAGAAGTGGAAAAATGTTTGTGAGGGAACCAGTTGTATTATTTGCTTTATTGAGTATAGTGTATTGTTCTCCAACCAGGTTAACGACAGTGATCTCCCCACCTGTGGATGTCATTGCTTCTTGTGTCAACTGCTTAACTGTTTTGGCTGCCCGCAATCCAGCAAAGGTGAGATGCCAGATCTTCCCAAGAGCCAAAAATGTAGCACTTGGCACATACCTGAAGATATGTGGGCATTTAACTCTTCCTTTTCCTTCTCAGGTCTGGACTGATCTTCGTCACACAGGTTTTTTACCATTTGTGGCCCATCCTGTCTCCAGCCTGAGTCAGATGATTAGGTGAGCCAAGTCCTAGGGTGGTGGGCCATATTCCCTAGTGAGAACCACATATGTCTCAGATCTAGCCTAGGTTTATTAATTTTATTTTTATGTATTTGTTTGTTTATTTTTTTGAGATGGAGTCTCACTCTGTTGCCCAGGCTGGAGTGCAGTGGTGCAGCCTCCGCCTCCCATGTTCAAGCAGTTGTTGTGTTTCAGCCTCCCGAGTAGCTGGGATTATAGGCTCGAGCCACCACGCCCAGCTAATTTTTGTATTATTTATGTATTTATTTACTTTTTTTATTTTTTGAGATGGAGTTTCGCTCTGTTACCGAGGCCAGAGTGCAGTGGCACGATCTAAGCTCACTGCAGCCTCTGCCTCCCGGGTTCAAGCAATTCTCCCACCTCAGCCTCCCCGGTAGCCAGGATTACAGATGTGCGGCACCACGCCCGGCTAATTTTTTGTATTTTTAATAGAGACGAGGTCTTACCATGTTGGTCTGACTCGTCTGGAACTCCTGGTCTCAAGTGATCTGCCCGCCTTAGCCTCTCAAAGTGCTGGGATTATAGGCGTGAGCCACCGCGCCTGGCCTGATTTTTTTTTTTTTTTTTTTGAGATGGAGTTGCGCTCTTGTTGCCCCGGCTGGAGTGCAATGGCGTGATCTTGGCTCACCACAACCTCCGCCTCCCAGGTTCAAGTGATTCTCCTGCCTCAGCCTCCCAAGTAGCTGGGATTACAGGCATTCACCACCACGCCCCGGTAATTTTGCATTTTTGGTAGAGATAGTGTTTCACCGTGTTGGCCAGGCTGGTCTCGAACTCCTGACCTCAACTGATCCGCCTGCCTTGGCCTCCCAAAGTGCTGGGATTACAGGCATGAGCCATGGTGCCCGGCCGAGAGCAAGAGAGATTTCTTATCCAACATCAATCACGTTAGTATGTGAGCATTTACTTTCCAGCCCAGAAAATCCAGAGGTTTCTAGATTCAGGGACTTGGTGTCCCGTTATTAAGCCACAATCACTCTGTACTTTTTCTCATTTCATGGGTTCTCGAGCTCAGCCAGTAGACCACTTACCAGTACACAGGCTCCATCTTACTACCTGAGCATTCTCGCCTTGCTGTCTCTTGACAAAAATGTTTCCCTGATGTTCCTTTGATTTTTTTACTTTCAATCTAGGTTTTACATCAATAAAACATGTTCTTAATGTTTACCCTGGGTACAGAACTGTCTTGATTGGATTATTTCCACTGGAGAGCTTTTCTATTTTATATTCAAGTCATCTAGACTATAACAAGAATGCTCTATGATTAGTTTCTTGAAACCTTGAAATTTCCCTATCATTTTTTTTCCCTCTACTTCTTTTTCCAGTGCGGAAGGGATGAATGCTGGAGGGTACGGAAACCTCTTGATGAACAGTGAACAGCCTCAGGGCGAGTATGGGGTTACTATTGCCTTTCTGCGCTTGATCACCACCCTTGTCAAGGTACAGTCTGATTTTGTTCACAAAGGGCAGAAAAAGAAAAGGTCCAGTCTTGTCAGATGACTCTGAAATAGTTTCCCTGGCCCCTGGTGCTGTAATCTTCTTGTCTGTAGGCAGAATAGTCATCTTGAAGTTACAGTGACAACAGTTTCTATGTATTGAGTACCTAGTATGTGCCAGTTATGTACTCTATTAGGTGCTTAATTATGTGAATTTATTTAATGATTGGAAGGTTTATGAAGTAGAATGGAAGAGGCCAAAAGGGTATTGCAGTTACTATCAAGCTATTTTGACAGTAACCTGGGATAATATCATATCCCAGTATATATACATGTGTGTATATTCCTGAAGCAAAATTTCACAGTTTATTTCACAACATTTATTCTTACCACACAAGTTGTACCCTGATATTTTCTATTCAGTCTCCTCCCTATTTAAGTGAATTTTGACCATAGACTGATCTCATAATCTACTAATGGGTTACAACTCGGTTTGAAAAATACTGACATAGAGCATAAATAATGACATAGAGCATAAATTTTGGAGTCAGAATTAGGTTTACATTCAGGTTGACAGCTTACTAGCTGCATGACCTTGAGCAAGTAAAGAATATCTTAAGAGTCTCTAAAACAGAATGCTATATGGTCTCTACCTCATGGGATTGAGAAGAGGGTCATGCATGAAAAAAACTATACTTCCTGCCTGCAGGAATCAATGAATGCTTAAAAAGAAATGATTGTAGGCTGGGTGCAGTGATTCATGCCTGTAATCCCAGCACTTTGGGAGGCCGAGGCGGATGGATCACCTGAGGCTGATCAGGAGTTTGAGACCAGCCTGGCCAACATGGTGAAACCTCATCTCTACTAAAAATACAAAAATTAGCTGGGCGTGGTGGTGGACGCCTGTAATCCCAGCTACTCAGTGGGCTGAGGCAGGAGAATTGCTTGAACCTGGGAGGCGGAGGTTGCAGCGAGTCGAGATCACGCCATTGCACTCCAGCCTAGGTGCCAAGAGTGAAACTCCATCTTGGGGGCGAAAAAAAAGATTGCATATAGAGATAGGAATATATAGATATTTATATATAACTAAAGAGTCCCCATTTTTAGTAGAAGGATGCTACAGTTAACAGATATCATTGGGTATCAGATTTTTGCATATCAGATCTCCTTTCTAGTATTTCAGTGATGGGATTGAGGTTAGGGACGGCTGGCAATCATGATAGTGAAGTGGCATTGTTCATCATCAGCAATCCTCTATCCTTTATGTTTAAGGTGCCTCCCTTCTGTCCAGATTTAGCCTGCATCCCTTTTCTTCGTGTTGGTGCCTTTTGTGACATTCTCTTTCATCACTTTTTCTATTCTAGAAAAGACCCACAACTTGGGCTCAACTATAAAGTAGGACTTTTGATGTTTCTTTTTTTTCATTGATGACCAAGGTTTGCCTAGATTTCCTTTGGACCTATCTATGGTTTTGGAATTAAATCTCTAGGTAACTAAATGACTTTTCCTTAAATGTGCGGAAGTCCTCACTGCATGGTTTCTTGTAGGGGCAACTTGGTAGTACCCAGAGCCAAGGACTTGTACCCTGTGTAATGTTTGTGCTGAAGGAGATGCTTCCCAGCTACCATAAGTGGCGCTACAACTCTCATGGAGTGAGGGAACAGATTGGTAAGGACAGCATGGGCAGGGAAGACCTGGGGATTTCTGGCCCCACTGGAGAGCTTTTTTCTTTCCCTTTCTTGAGATAAGGGGTCATTTCACAAGGCCACATCATTCCTCTGTCTTTTCTGGAGTCCAGGTTGCCTGATCTTGGAGCTGATTCATGCGATACTGAACCTGTGCCACGAGACAGACCTGCACAGCAGGTAATGAAGGGTTGATTACTAGAGCTTGGTGCTCGCCAAGGCAAGACACGGGCTTTTGCTGTGCAAAGCCGTCTCAGTTCTTCCAGAGAATTTACCTTGCTTGAGCCCAGAACTCAGTAATCTTGAGGTTGTTAGTTGCTTTCCATTGGCCTGTTTATCATTTCTCACTGTGGACAGAGAAGTAGGAATGAGAGAGAGAGAGAGAGAGAGAGAGTGTGTGTGTGTGTGTGTGTGTGTGTGTGTGTGTGTGTGTGTGTATGTGTATACATACACTAATATATTAATCATTCTTTATGATCGTTACAAAAGTTCATTCCTGACGAGACACTCTTCATATATATCTGCATCCCAGGGCCAGTTACTATGTATTCTTGGTTTTTTCCTCTTTCTGTATTGACTGTAACTTTCTTTCCATGCTACTGCTTATAGATGTCTTATTTTAATGGTTCTATGCATTCCATCATATGGATTAATTATGATCCTTTTCAGTAGCTGTATCTGTTACTTGATGGACATTTAGATTGCTTCTCAGGGTGATCTTTAGGTGATCAAGTCTGTTTCAGGAAAGTGATCAGAGTGCCTTCAGCTTGCAGAGAGCTGGTCTCCAGTGTCCAGTAGGTTAGGTTAGCCACCCTAGCCTAATTGGACAATGCCCTTCCTTCCAAGATACACTGAGTGGCTCCCTGGTAACTCAGAATACCTCTGTCTTCCAGTCATACTCCCAGCCTGCAGTTTCTCTGCATCTGCAGCCTGGCATACACAGAAGCAGGACAGACAGTTATCAATATCATGGGCATTGGCGTGGACACCATTGACATGGTGATGGCTGCTCAGCCTCGAAGGTAGGGCTCCTTCTCCACGTTCCCTTTGTCTGTCTTTATTGTGCCTGCATGTTACTAATAACTCCAGTTTAAGTTAACTTGCAGTAGCTTTTAGAAGACGACATTGTTCTTCCTAGGACATAGCCTTTACATACCCTAGTGGCTGCTGTATAGATTGGCGTATAGCAAAGGGAGTTGATTACTCCTCCTCTCTCCTAGTTTGGACTGGGGCCTCTAACAGAAGCTGTTGAACTCTGGGATTATTGTTGGAATCTAATTCATGAGAGCACATATATTGCGAATGAAGTCATACTGTCTGAATCATCTTTGGTTTCCATTTGGCACCCTAGTGATGGGGCAGAGGGCCAGGGGCAGGGCCAGCTGCTGATCAAGACAGTGAAACTGGCATTCTCCGTCACCAACAATGTTATTCGGCTGAAACCTCCTTCTAATGTGGTGTCCCCCCTGGAACAGGCTCTCTCACAACATGGTATGTATTTCTCTTCCAGTCACAACATGGTATGTATTTCTCTTCCAGTCATTTTTGCTCATAAATACGTATCTTAGGCAGTGTTTTTGGATGTCAACAGTATTTTCTGCTTCTTGAGGAAGTTTGGGAATGATTACCAGCTCCTTTCCTGAAATTGGAAACAAAAGGACTAGATGGTACTTTATTTCTGCCTCCTATTGATGATAGAATAATAGTTAAGAATGCAGATTTGAAGTCAGACTGCCTTGGTTCAAATTTTGTATCCAATCAACTGTGTGACCTTGGGTACGTTATTAAACAACTCTGCCTCTGATTTCTCATCTGTAAAATGGGGATAATGGTACAGGTTGAGTATCCCTTATCTGAAATGCTTGGGACCAGAAGTGTTTTGGGTTTCAGATTTTTTTTTCATATTTTGGAATAGTTGCAGTATACTTACCAGTTTAGCATAAATCCAAAATGTTCCAGTGAGCATTTCCTTTGAGCTATAGTTAGAGATTTTGACACATTCCAGATTTTTTTTAATTTTTTAATTTTTTTTTTTTTTTTTTTTTTTTTTTGAGACAGTCTAGCTCTGTTGCCCAGGCTGGAGTGCAGTGGCGCAATCTCGGCTTACTGCAGCATCTGCCTCCTGGGTTTAAGCAATCCTCCTGCCTCAGCTTCCCGAGTAGCTGGGATTACAGGCATCTGTCCCACGCCCGGCTAATTTTTGTTTTGTTTTGTTTTATTTTGTTGTTTTGTTCTGTTTGGTAGAGACGAGCTTTCGCTATGTTGGCCAGGCTGGTCTCGAACTCCTGACCTCAGGTGACTTGCCCTCTTTGGCCTCCCAAAGTGCTGGGATTACAGGCATGAGCCACCGTGCTCTAATTTGAGGTTTTCAGATTATGGATGCCTGTAGTATCTTCCTAATAAGATTATAATAAAGGGCTGGGCATGGTGGCTCACGTCTGTAATCCCAGCACTTTGGGACGGTGAGGCTGGGGAGGATACTTTGAGTCCAGGAGTTCGAGACCAGCTTGGGCAAAATAAGGAGACCTCCATCTATACCAAAACAAACAAAAAAAAGTAGCTGGGCCTGGTGGCATATGCCTGTGGTCCCAGCTACTCAGGAGGCTGAGGTTGGGGGATTGTTTGAAGCTTGGCAGGTCAAAGCTGCAGTGAGCCATGATTTTGCCACTGCACTCCAGCTTGGACAACATAGTGAAACCCTCTCTCAAAAAGAAAAAAAGATAGGCTGGGTGCAGTGGCTCACGCTTTTAATCCCAGCACTTTGGGAGGCCGAGGTGGGCGGATCACGAGGTCAGGAGTTTGAGACCAGCCTGGCCAACACAGTGAAACCCCATCTCTACTAAAAATACAAAAGTTAGCTGGGTATGGTGGTGGGTGCCTGTAATCCTAGCACTTTGGGAGGCCGAGGTGGGTGGATCACTTGAGGTCGGGTTCAAGACCAGCCTGGCCAACATGGTGAAACCCTGTCTCTATTAAAAATTTTAAAAATTAGCTGGACGTGGTGGTGCACGCCAGTAATCCCAGCTACTCAGGAGGCTGAGGCAGGAGAATTGCTTGAACCTGGGAGGTGGAGGTGCAGTGAGTCGAGATCGTGCCACTGCACTTCAGCCTGGGTGACTGAGTGAGACTCTGTCTCAAAAAAAATTAATAAATAAATAAAAATTAATAAAATAAGCACCTATTTTATTCAAAATGTATCTTTGCTGTCGATGAGTTGGGTTGAACTGTTTATCCCCAAATTCTGACTATTCTTTTGCTCCTCAATCAAGAGAAGGATACAGCCACCTAGGTTTGCTGTGGCCCTCCAAGTACTTGAGGGTAAATTCCTTCACATACACACTGTGGGTCTTTTTTGAACAGTCAGTGCTCTAAGGACTTGAATTAGGCACACTTGATATCTAAACTGTTTCCTGTGCTGCTTTAGGTGCTCATGGAAACAACCTCATTGCTGTTCTAGCCAAATACATCTACCACAAACATGACCCTGCTTTGCCACGTCTTGCCATTCAGCTGCTGAAACGTCTGGCCACGGTAGGATCGTACTTCATGCACACACACTGTTTATATGAGGGTGTTTTTTTCCCCCTGATTACAAAAGACATGCTCAGGCCACGTGCAGCGGCTTAACGCCTGTATATAATTCCAGCACTTTGGGAGGCCAAGGTGGGAGGATCATTTGAGCCCAGGAGTTCAAGACCAGCCTGGGCCACATAGTGAGACCCCATCTCTAATATAGAAAAAAGGAGAAAAGGCTGCGTGCGGTGGCTCATGCCTGTAATTCCAGCACTTTGGGAGGCTGAGGTGGGTAGATCACAAGGTCAGGAGTTCAAGACCAACCTGGCCAAGATGGTGAAACCCTATCTCTCCTAAAAATACAAAAATTAGGGGGCCGGGCATGGTGGCTCACGCCTGTAATCCCAGCACTTTGGGAGGCCGAGGCGGGTGTATCACAGAGTCAGGAGATCAAGACCATCCTGGCTAATACGGTGAAACCCCTTCTCTACTGAAAAATACAAAAAATTAGCCAGGCATTATGGCAGGCGCCTGTAGTCCCAGCTAATTGGGAGGCTGAGGCAGGAGAATGGCATGCACTAGGGAGGCGGAACTTGCAGTGAGCTGAGATCGCGCCACTGCACTCCAGCCTGGGTGACAGAGCAAGACTCCATCTCAAAAATTAGCCAGGCGTGGTGGCAGGTGCCTGTGATCCCAGCTACTTGGGAGCCTGAGGCAGAGAGTTGCTTGAACCCGGGAGGCAGAAGTTGCGGTGAGCTGTGATCACGCCACTGCACTCCAGCCTGGGCGACAGAGCGAGACTCCGTCTCAAGATAAAAGGAGAAAAAAGACATGCTTATTGTAAAATATTTATTTAAATGTTACAAATAGATGTAACAGAAAGTTAAGATGCCCTATGATCTCCTTATTCCAAGAATCCCTATGGGCAGGGGGATATGCCATGCTCCAGATTTCTTTTTTTTTTTTTTTTTTTTGAAATAGGGTCTGGCTATGTCTCCAAGGCTGTGCTCCACATTTCTTATCTGTGTTCTTGTATTTTAAAAAGTATCGGCTGGGCGCTGTGGCTCACACCTGTAATCCCAGTACTTTGGGAGGCTGAAGCAGGTGGATCATGAGGTCAGGGGTTCAAGACCAGCGTGGCCAAGATGGTGAAACCCCACCTCTACTAAAAATACCAAAATTAGCTGGGTGGCAGGTGCCTGTAATCCCAGCTACTCAGGAGGCTGAGGCAGGAGAATCGCTTGAAACTGGGCAACAGAGGTTGCAGTGAGCTGAGATCACATCACTGCACTCCAGCCTGGGCGACAGAGTGAGACACCGCCTCAAAAAATAAAATAATAAAGGTATTTAGGGCTGGGCGTGGTGGCTCATGCCTGTAATCCCAGGACTCTGGGAGGCCCAGGTGGGTGGCTTGCCTGAGCTCAGGAGTTTGAAACCATCCTGGGCAACACGGTGAAACCCCATCTCTACTAAAATACAAAAAAATTAGCCGGGTGTGGCTGCGTGTGCCTGTAGTCCCAGGTACTCAGTAGGCTGAGGCAGGAGAATTGCTTGAACCCGGGAGGTGGAGGTTGCAGTGAGCCGAGTTCACACCACTGTGCTCCAGCCTGGGCGACAGAGTCAAAAAAAAAAAAAAAAGTATTTGAGTGTGTACTTTTGTTCTTGATAAAAGCAGAATTCCTGGTACTGTTTTTCTTTCTTTTTTTTTTTTTTTTTTGAGACGGAGTCTCGCTCTGTTGCCTAGGCTGGAGTGCAGTGGCGCGATCTCGGCTCACTGCAAGCTCCGCCTCCTGGGTTCAGCCATTCTCCTGCCTTAGCCTCCCGAGTAGCTGGGACTACAGGCGCCTGCCACTGCACCCGGCTAATTTTTTGTATTTTTTTTAGTAGAGACGGGGTTTCACCGTGGTCTCGATTTCCTGACCTCGTGATCTGCCCGCTTGGCCTCCCAAAGTGCTGGGATTACAGGCATGAGCCACCGCGCCCAGCCCTTCCTGGTACTGTTTTTGTTTTGAGACAGTCCCACTCCATCACCCAGGCTGGAGTGCTGTGGCATGATCTCACTGCAGCCTCCACTCCCAGGTTCATGCGATTCTCCTGTCTAAGCCTCCCAGGTTGCTGGGATTACAGGCGCCCACTACAACACCCAGCTGATTTTTTTGTATTTTTAGTAGGGACGAAGTTTTGCCATGTTGGCCAGGCTAGTCTCGAACTCCTGATCTCAAGTGATCTGCCTGCCTCAGCCTCCCAACATGCTGGGATTACAGGCGTGAGCCACTGTGCCTGGCCCCTGGTACTGTTTTATGACTGGCTTCCTTTACTTGATACCATATCAGGCAGTCTTGATGTGCTTCATGCCACATAGGCACATTTGGACTTCCTTCATTCTTTTTTGTCTTTTTTCCTTTTTTTAATTTGGACTTCCTTCATTCTTTTTAATGTTTGCATATCACATCCTAGAATGGATGCATCCTGATTTATTTGCGCTACTTTCTGTCTTTCACTATTACAAGCAGTGCTGCAGTGAACATTATTATCCCTACCACCCTGTAAACATTTGTTTACAGTTCCAAAGATTTATGTAGGTATAAATGAACATGATATTTTTTATTAGATATTTCCAAATTACCTTCCAAAAAACATTGTAACAGTTTATACTTATAACACCAAGTATTCTATCGTTGCTGCAAGGTCTTCATCATTGTTTAGTCTTTGCCAATCTAATAAGCAAAAAAATGTTTCACTTTTCAGTTTGTATTTATTTAACCATGAGGGAAGTTGAGCATTTCTTTATACTGATTACTGTCTTTCCTGTGAATTTGCGGGCATCTCATGCTTGTTTGTGGTGATGTCCCTTTTAGCCCAGAGCTGTAGTCTGGATGCTTCCCTTTCTGCCAATTTTCTGGGAGCTCTTCAGTGCCCTTCTGTGGGAGCCCATTGAGGTTTTTGTGGAAGCAGAGCTCTAAGCCTGTGTGTTCCGGTCTCCACCAGGTGGCCCCAATGTCAGTGTATGCTTGTCTGGGCAATGATGCGGCTGCCATTCGTGATGCCTTCCTGACCCGATTGCAGAGCAAAATTGAGGACATGCGCATCAAAGTCATGATTCTAGAGTTCCTCACTGTTGCAGTAGAGACCCAGCCAGGCCTCATCGAACTGTTTCTGAACCTGGAAGTTAAGGATGGCAGTGATGGCTCAAAGGTAAGCCTGTAACCTGGGATGACACTGGGAGTTGGCTCACTGGGAGGCAGATGCTGGGCTCTGCAAGTACAGCTGCTGGCAGTGGCTGTGGAACTGAACTCTTACCTGTCCCTTCTTGCAGGAATTCAGCCTTGGGATGTGGAGCTGTCTCCATGCAGTGCTGGAGCTGATTGATTCCCAACAGCAAGATCGATACTGGTGCCCACCCCTGCTGCATCGTGCCGCCATTGCCTTTTTGCATGCTCTGTGGCAGGATCGGAGGGACAGTGCCATGCTGGTCCTCCGAACCAAGTAAGTCTGCCTCTGGGAGTAGTTTCATTGTTCTGGTCTATAAAATGGGAGTAATAATAGCTCTTATCCCAGAGGTTTGTTGTGACAGTTCACTGGGAATAAGAGTGCTTAGTCCTGGTTCAATACCTGGGAGTTTTACACTAATTCTCTTTCTAATGCTGCTGCAAGTATTAAGGATCTTTAAATATTAAGCACCTGGAAGGTTCAGTTGCTTTTGTGTTCCTGCCTTTTGCTAACTAGCTGCATCAAAACTCATTATTCTTGAGAAACAGTAGATTCAGGAGAGAGGCGCTTGCTCAAGTCACTGGATTGAATGAAACATTCCGTTCTATTGGACCTGCTGGCACAAAGGGAAGGAGTGTTAAAAGGCTAAATTTGGGAGTCTGCTGTCTTATTTCCCTCCCTCCTCTTCTGTGGGGCTTTTGGGAATCTACAGTGGAAGGAATCTTGAAGAGTTTTTATTGATCAACTCTATAATGCATAAGTGTGATTCATGAGAGGAAAATGTAATTTTATCTATGGAAACCTTTCATTTATACGGGAACAACTGACTTATCAGACACATATTAGGATTGAGACTGGTAAAATATGAAGTGACCACCAAAGGGAGCTTGAGAGAGGAGAAAATGACTGTGAGAGGGAAAAAGTTATGATTTCAAACATTTATTTCCTTTTTAGACCCAAGTTTTGGGAAAATTTAACCAGTCCGCTGTTTGGAACCCTTTCTCCTCCCTCTGAAACATCAGAGGTAAGCTGTGGCAGAGGGCAGGATGGTGGCTACAAGTCCCTTGGAGGAAAGGCTGTGGGCTGTGAGATGGGGCCGTAGACAATGATACCTCCCCTAATTAAACAACAGAATGTTCCCTTCACTAGAAACGTCTTTCTCAGGGAAGTGCCAGCTTTCTGTCCCTTTGATGTCTTGCTTTGGGAAGGAAAGTGGTTTGCGCTACTGTGTGTTGGTGGCTCTGTGGTCTTCTCCATTCAGTTGGAGACGTTGTGGACCTGACGCCTCTGCTCTTGCAAGTCAGGACATTCACATTCAACAGGGGTTGTGCTAACTTGTTCTGCAAGTGTTGGGCCCCTGCTCTGTTCCCTGTTTGATATACTGGGGGAGATCAGTGATCAGAGATGTGATAATTGCCTGTTCTGCTATCTCCACAGCCCAGCATCCTGGAAACCTGTGCCCTAATCATGAAGATAATTTGCTTGGAGATATACTATGTAGTAAAGTGAGTACTTTCCCCTCTTGAGATTTTAACTGAAGGTTGGGGGAGTGGGAGTTGGTGGCCTACCACTGGGTGCATGGCTGGAAGAGCCAAGGCAGAGGAGAGAACTGGTTTGGAACCATTCATGGAAGGCCAGTGAGCTGTGTTCCTGGCCAATCCACCGATGGCATTTATGATTGTCAGAAAGAGTTATTGTGAAGCAAACTCCATGCAACTGGGATTTTATGGAGGAGGAATCCTGGAAAGGCCTCAGCCTAACCCACACGTTGGAGGTGTCCTGGAGCCGTCTGCCTTTAAGCCCATGCAAGGTCGTTTTCTCTGCCTCAACAAGGGTCTGTACCCATTATATTCCCATCTGCTTTCAAAATCTAACTGGAGGTTTTTTCTTGACACTGTAGGGGTTCATTAGACCAGTCATTAAAGGATACACTGAAGAAATTTTCCATCGAGAAACGCTTTGCCTACTGGTCAGGGTATGTCAAGTCATTGGCAGTTCACGTGGCCGAAACAGAAGGCAGCAGCTGCACCTCCTTGTTAGAGTACCAGATGCTGGTGTCCGCCTGGAGGATGCTTCTCATCATTGCCACCACTCATGTAAGACCCTTTTGGGGAGAGTTTTCACTTTGGTACCTTAGCAATGATGTGTTGACATGAGCCTAGCAGATACAGCTCCTTGTGCGGAAGAATTAATCAGGGTTTATCCCTGAGAGCTAAACTGTAATAGGTTCTATGCTGAGAGATTGGGACTGTGGGGTATTTGAGGGTGTTGGGTCCAGGAGACCATTAAGAGGAATGCAGAGAAGTGATTTGAAATCCTTTCAGAGTTCCTAAAGCCTCCTGTACCTCCCTTAGGCCTTGGCTGGGTCTTAGCTGCTCCCTGGCTGCATCTGCCTCTTGTGCAAAGGCATAACTGTCTTCTCGTGCTGTGTACCTTGTAGATGCTAGGTCAATAAATACTTGTTGACTAGTCAGCAGGGAGCTGTGACAGCTGCAGCAGCACCCTCTCTAAAAAGCAGTTTGTCATTGGTTCTAGAAACTGCATTTCCTGGTCTTAGAAAAAGAACAGAGGCCATTGTCTCTGTACTCTGTCTACTGGGAGTTGGTTTTGAGAGAGAGAGATAACATCTGGAAGAAATGCATTGTTCTTGGCTTTTTTGTGGTTTGACTCCGTCACGCTGTATCATAAGGACTTGGTATTGAAGTGTTCTTTCTTGGGGTATCCAGATTAATTTTTTTTTTTTTTTCTTGAGACGGAGTCTTGCTCCGTCACCCAGGCTGGAATGCAGTGGTGCGATCTTGGCTTACTGCAACCTCCGCCTTCCGGGTTCAAGGAATTCTCCTGTCTCAGCCTCCCAGGTAGCTGGGATTATAGGTGCCTGCCACCACGCCCAGCTAATTTTTGTATTTTTCGTAGAGATGGGGTTTCACCTTGTTGGTCAGGCTGGTCTCGAACTCCTGACCTCAGGTGATCCACCCACCTCGGCCTCCCAAAGTGCTGGGATTACAGGTGTGAGCCACCACGCTTGGCCCAGATTAATCTTTTGACTTCATGAACAACTTCAGCTTGATAGATGCCTCCTTTTTCCAAGCACCTCCTACATCTGTGAAATTTGTTGCCTAGTGCCAGACTGCCCACATGCTTGGAGCTTTGAGCCTAGGAGGGGCAGGTTTGTGGCTACTCTTGCTGTGGCATGGTGGTTTTGGACCCCTAAGGCTCCAAACACACTTAAAGGCTCACCTGTCTTTGAGAATGGTTGATTCCCCAGGGTATAACCTTTATGTCACCTGCCTTTTAGGCCCTAGTTAGGCAGCAGTTCTTGAATTGTAGCTCTGAAAATCCCACCATCCTCTTTCCCCAAAGGAAACCTATCTGGCTCTCTGTCTCACCTGTCTACCTATACAAAAGAAAAGAAAAAAAAAGAGAAAGAAACCTAAGTCCAGGATGTTGGTCACCCATTCATTCTCTTAATGGCATTAGTGGAACGCTTCCAGGCATTGAGATGCAGCAGTGAATAAGGCAGATAAGATCTTTGATCGCATAGAGAGTGCCCTATGATGGAGGAGGTAAATTATAAACAAATTTAGCAATAAAAAATATGGTTTCAGATAGTGATAATTTGCTGTGAAGGAAATAATTAAAGTGCTGTGGTAATGAACACATGAGATAGAAGTAGTCAGGGTGGCCTTCTCTGAGTGGTGATGTCCCAGCTGAGAGCTGAATGTGTGAAGAAGCCTTCCAGGTGGAGCCCGTGGAGGAGAGAAGTCTAGGCAGATGGACTTGCAAGTGCAAAGTTCCAGCAGTGGAAAAGAGCTTGATATGTTCATGAAAGAGGCAAGCAGGGTTGGACTAGAGTGAGCACAGATGGGACTGATACTACATCAGTTGGACCAGATCCTGTGGGGTCTTTGGACCATGTTGAAGAGCTTGGTTTGCGTTTCCCGGGCACTGGGAAGCCTTTCAAGGATTCTAAGCAGAGGGAGGACAGAGTCTCAAAGAGGAGGTGAACCTGGGCTTGATTCTGACCATATCTAAGGGTTGACAGAAGAACAGCAGGGCCTTCAAGCCCTATTTTACTTTATTTTTTAGGGAACAGGATCTCACTATGTTGATCAGGTTGGAGTGCAGTGGTGCAATCATGGCTCACTGCAGCCTCAACCTCCAGGGCTCACGTGATCTTCCCACCTCAGCCTCCCAAGTAACTAGGACTACAGGCATGCACCACCATACCCAGCTAATTAAACATTTTTTGTTGTTGTTGAGATAGGGTCTCATCATGTTGCCCAGACTATAAGCCCTATTTTATTTTATTTATTTATTTAAGACGGAGTCTCTCTCTGTCGCCAGGCTGGAGTGCAGTGGTGCGATCTCGGCTCACTGCAGCCTCCGCTTCCTGGGTTCAAGCAATTCTCCTGCCTCAGCCTCCCGAGTAGCTGGGACTACAGGTGCGCGCCACCATGCCTGGCTAATTTTTGTATTTTTAGTAGAGACAGGGTTCCACCGTGTTGGCCAGGATGGTCTTGATCTCCTGACCTCGTGATCCGCCCACCTCAGCCTCCCAAAGTGTTAGGATTACAGGCATGAGCCACCACGCCCGGCCTATATAAGCCCTATTTTAAATCAGGGAGACTGTTTTACCAATGACTAATTGCCTAGCAGAGGACCCCATGTTTCTTGGCCTCTAAAATCTGGAAAATTTTCCCAGCTGAAACCTTTTTCTGTTCCTTTGCAGGCAGATATAATGCACCTGACTGACTCTGTGGTGCGTCGCCAGCTCTTTCTTGACGTGCTTGATGGAACCAAAGCATTAGTAAGTGTGTCTGGGAGATTTTACATTTCTCCCAGGGAGGTTGTCTTTGAAGTCAAATAGCAGAGGTCATGAGTCTGCCAGCCAGCCGCACAAATAGTCAGGTCACAGGGCTCACGTTGGCCTGGGAGGCCTGAGACTGTAGTGGGTCAGCAGAGCTCTGCTGCTGCCATGCCAACCCTGGCTTCTCCCCCTCCACTCCACTCCTGTGAGCTCACTGCTGGGGAAGAAAGGCAATGAGGCCGGAGGTGCCCTGTGGATGGCATGCGAATCTTTCCACTGACTTCTGACTGGTGTGCTGTCTCCTTTCAGCTCCTAGTTCCAGCCTCAGTGAACTGCCTTCGCCTTGGCTCCATGAAGTGCACTCTGCTGCTTATCCTCCTCCGGCAGTGGAAGAGGTGAGGCTGTGCCAGGAGAGGCAAGCCCGAGGCCAGAGCCTTCTTGTCAGTGCCTGCTTGCCTTCCTGAAAGGGAGAAATAGTGGGTGGAAGCTGGGCTGGTTTTCCATCTTGAGGAATGGGAGTGACATAGCAGATAGGAGGGTGAGGCAGACTGGTGGATATCCTGAGATGGAGCAGGGGCAGTGTGTGGCCTTTTATGAGGTATTTTGTCTCACTCCCCACCCCGTATTCTTTTTTTTTTTTTTTTTTGAGACGGAGTCTCACTCTGTCGCCCAGGCTGGAGTGCAGTGGCGCGATCTCGGCTCACTGCAACCTCCACCTCCCAGGTTCAAGTGATTCTCGTGCCTCAACCTCCCTAGTAGCTGGGATTACGGGTGCGCGCTACCATGCCTAATTTTTGTATTTTTAGTAGAGACAGGGTTTCACCATGTTGGCCAGGCTGGTCTCGAACTCCTGACCTCAGGTGATCCACCCGCCTTGGCCTCCCAAAGTGCTAGGATTACAGGCATGAGCCACCACGCCTGGCCCACCCAGTATTCTTTCTAGAGAGTTAGGTTCTGTGGATGAAATCCTTGGACCCTTGACGGAGATCCTGGAGGGAGTGCTGCAGGCCGACCAGCAACTCATGGAGAAGACCAAGGCCAAGGTGTTCTCAGCATTCATCACAGTGTTGCAAATGAAGGAGATGAAAGGTGAGGGGCAGAGGCAGGGGGAGCAGCAGCTGCAGTCTGCCCACTCCTGCTGACAGCCAGGCAGGGCTTCCTTCAGCTTAGGGCCACACATTTCTTCTGGGACTTTTGAGTTTCCAGTCATGGAATTCTTACCCCAAGAAAGCTATTTTTTTCCCTCATGTGTCTCTCCCTCCTCTCCCACTGGACAGATGCTGTCCCTCCTAGCGCCCTAGTACATCTCCAGCCCCTTCCTAGGAAGGAAACCTTGGTGTACAGTGAGAGTTGGCCTGGTGAGCATGACAGTGTCCCTCCCTGTCTATTCTACAGTAAGTGACATCCCCCAGTACTCCCAGCTGGTGCTGAATGTCTGTGAGACCCTCCAAGAGGAAGTGATTGCACTCTTCGACCAGACCCGCCACAGTCTGGCATTAGGCAGTGCCACAGAGGACAAGGACAGCATGGAGACTGACGACTGTTCTCGGTCCCGGCACAGGGACCAGCGTGATGGGGTGAGACAGTGCCCTAGAAGGCCATCCGTCCTTTCCACTGCCCGCCAGCTCTGTGCCTGACTCTGGGGATAAGTAGTGATCAAGACAGATAGTCGCTGCACTTCTGGAGTTCACGGCCTGGTGGGAAAGGTTAATAGATCAGACACTGCAGAAAAGCAGAAGCAGCCCATTGTACTGCAGGAGAGAAGTGCAGGGAGAACTTAGTCTCACTTCTGACTTGAACTGGGACTTAGGTGCCTTTTCAGCAATGACTTAGAGATTGTAGCCGCGGGCAAATGCAGGATCCGAAGTGAAATAGGAAATGATGTAAGGCTTTTAAGCAGGGGAAAAAGTTGATCTGATTTTTACTCTAGAAAGATCACTCTGGACTTAAACTCCAGGCCTCAAGCCATCCTCCCAGTTCAGCCTTCCAAAGTGTTGGGATTACAGGCGTGCCCAAGAAAGATCACTCTGGATGCAGTATTGAATAGTATTTTTCAAATTGTGGGATCATGACCTATTAGAGAGAGTCTTGAAATTAGCACATTTTGTTACAACCAGTCTCGCTCTGTCGCCCAGGGTGGAGTGCAGTGGTGCGATCTTGGCTCACTGCAAGCTCTGCTTCCCAGATTCACGCCATTCTCCCACCTCAGCCACCCGAGTAGCTGGGGCTACAGGTGTCTGCCACCACGCCCGGCTAACTTTTTGTATTTTTCATAGAGACGGGGTTTCACTGTGTTAGCCAGGATGGCCTCGATCTCCTGACCTCGTAATCCGCCCGCCTTGATCTCCCAAAGTGCTGGGATTACAGGCGTGAGCCACCACGCCTGGCCACAACCAGCATTTTTTTAAAATAAAGTAGAATAAAGTGTTTAAGAAAATATCACTGTGCTTTGTGTGACATTAGGGTAGGTATTATTAGTGAAAAACTGTAAACGTGTACATGAGGATACAGTCTAAAAAGTCTTTATGGGCCGGGCACGGTGGCTAACGCCTGTAATCCCAGCACTTTGGGAGGCCGAGGCGGGCAGATCATGAGGTCAGGAGATGGAGACCATCCTGGCTAACACGGTGAAACCCTGTCTCTATGAAAAATACAAAAAATTAGCCGGGCGTGGTGGCGGGCACCTGTAGTCCCAGCTACTCGGGAGGCTGAGGCAGGAGGATGGCGTGAACCCAGGAGCGGAGGTTGCAGTGAGCCGAGATCGCGCCGCTGCACTCCAGCCTGGGGGACAGAGCGAGGCTCCATCTCAAAAAAAATGTCTTTATGACTCTGGGTCATGGCCAAAAAGAAGGTTGAAAGGCCACTGGTACAAGGATAGATTAGAGAGGATGGAGCAGGATTATTTAGGAGATGGTTGCAGTAGCAGAGCAGGAGGTGGCATCGGGCAGGGTCGTAGGGGTCCCTCAGACTCCATGTGGCAGAGTTGGTTGGAGTGTCCAACATGAGACGAGGTGGCTCTGACAAGGGTGGTGGCAGTGTGGGAGGTGGGAGGGAAGAGGCGGGGGTAGCTCTGGTCAGTTTAGGGTTGCTCATTAGATTGGCTGGAGTTGCTGCTGTTCATTGAGAGCTGGACATAGGAGAGGGGCAGGGTGGGAGAGAGTGTGCATTCTGTGTTACTCAAGCTCACTTAGCAATGTGTGTAACCAAGCAGGTCTTGGGCAACCAGGCCCACCGCTGCCTGTCGTCCTCTTCCTCCTCCTCTTCTTCTTCCCCCTTTTACTCATCTTTGCCTCTGGGCAGGTGTGTGTCCTGGGCCTGCACCTGGCCAAGGAGCTGTGTGAGGTAGACGAGGATGGTGACTCCTGGCTGCAGGTAACCCGCAGGCTCCCCATCCTACCCACCCTCCTCACCACTCTAGAGGTGAGCCTTCGCATGAAGCAGAACCTGCATTTCACTGAGGCCACATTGCATCTGCTCCTCACCCTGGCTCGCACTCAGCAGGTAGGAGGCCAGCCCGAAGGCAGGAGGGAGCGTCCTTGCTTGCCTGGGTGGGTTCTGACAATCCCAGAAGCTGTGATCTAGCCTGAGAGCCCTACCTACCCTAGGCAGGGCAGGGGCAGGCTCCATCTCATTTCCTGTCTTTCCCTCCTCCCAGGGAGCCACAGCAGTGGCTGGAGCTGGCATCACCCAGAGCATTTGTTTGCCCCTTCTGAGTGTGTACCAGCTGAGCACCAACGGCACAGCACAGGTGAGTGTCAGGAGCTTGCCAGGAGGCCCAGCCTGACCACCCTACAGTTCCAGTTGAAAAGTGTCCTCCCCTACCTTTCCCCGGAAGTTGCTTTCCTCTAAATTGCCTAATACACTGATGGTGAGGAATCTTCCCTGCCCCCAGGCGGATCTCTAGCAAGAGAAACTCACCACTAAAAGGCACCGCCTGGCCTTTGTGCACTACCTCTGGGAGATGGGATGGATTCTTCCCATTGCAGGTGTGAGGAAGACTAAACCAGATTGATAACACATCCCTGGACCAGGCCTCTAGCCAAGGCAGCTGTCCTCTCCTGTCATTCCCAAAGACAGTGTGTCATTGTGACTTCTCCACCCCTGCACCACCAGACCAGGACTGGGAGAAGGGAAGTGGGTGGTCTGGGGGCTTGATGGGGCCTCAGCACCCTGCCCTCTGTGTCCCTTGGTTATTTCTAGTTTAACAGATACCTCCTAATTTCAAAAGAGTAGTCTTCACCTGAACCTCTCTCTCTCATGAGAGTCGTGAAGTATTTGGTCATCTAGCCCAGCTACCCCTTAGAGGAAGTATGTAGGGGCCAGAGCAGGGCAGTGACATGTCCAGGTTCGCATAGCTCGTCAGTGGCAGACCTGAGTCTGGAACCCTGGGTCTTGTGTCTCAGCCTGGTGCTCTTTCCTTGAATCTGCTGGTGTTGGCCCCTTTCTGGCCCTGGTGGCCAGACAGTGGCTGTGTCTATTCTGGGAGATCTTTTCCTTTCAGCGCAGCTGGGCTGCCTTAGTTGCTGTACTACAAGGAGGTCCTGCCTCTCAGCAGGGTTCCTGAGCTTGTCTGCTGTTTGTATCTTAGACACCTAGTGCCTCTCGGAAGTCCCTGGATGCCCCCTCTTGGCCAGGAGTCTACCGCCTGTCCATGTCCCTGATGGAGCAGCTGCTCAAAACTCTGCGCTACAACTTCCTGCCTGAGGCCCTGGACTTCGTGGGTGTCCACCAGGAGCGGACCTTACAGGTGAGGGGCTGCCTGCATTGCAGGGGTGGGAGTTTCAGGGTAAAAAAGGTACTGGGCCATTCATGGGGCAGGTGGGTGTGGAGCCTGGGCCTCAGTAGCGGAGGGTTGTCGATGCCTTCATTTTTGAGATGCTCTAAGTACTCTGCTGGCTCACTGGCCAGCTAGTCTGCTGAAGGACGGGAACGGTCTCGGGTCAGAATCCTGGTTGTACCACTAAGCCATTTCTTTGCCAACTCAGCATTTGGGGGCCTGGGACGTTGCCTCTCCACAGGAGGGTAGGTGTGGGTATGTCAGGTCCCTCAGCCATCCCCATCTTTCCCTGATGTGTGCTTTCCTCCCAGTGCCTCAACGCAGTGAGGACAGTGCAGAGTCTGGCCTGCCTGGAGGAGGCGGACCACACCGTGGGTTTTATTCTGCAGCTCTCTAACTTCATGAAGGAGTGGCACTTCCACCTGCCTCAGCTCATGCGTGATATCCAGGTGGGGGCCCAAGATGGTGTCTTGGAGTCTGGGGTAATGCTTGGAGACAGGGAGGCTGTGAGGTCTCACTGGGGCACTCCTAGTGAATTGCAGGATGTTCCTGAACGGGGGCTTTTCCCTTGGGGAGCACAGGGTTTGCTGTCATGTGCTTACTCTGGCTAAATGTTTCCTTCCATAGTCAAGGGCAGCCATGTAGGTTAAGAATTTGGACTTTTATCAGTTAGATCTTGGTTCAGATCCCTTAAGAATACACTTGGGGCCGGGCATGGTGGCTCACGCCTGTAATCCTAGCACTTTGGGAGGCAGTCAGGAGTTCGAGATCAGCCTGGCCAACATGGTGAAACCCTGTCTCTACTAAAAATACAAAAATTAGCTGGGCGTGGTGGCACGTGACTGTAATCCCAGCTACTCGGGAGGCTGAGTTGGGAGAATCGCTTGAACCTGGGAGGCGGAGGTTGCAGTGAGCTAGGATCGAACCATTACACTCCAGCCTGGGTGACAGAGCGAGACTCCGTCCCAAAAAGAAAAAAAAAAAAAAATGGCCGGGTGCAATAGGCTCACGCCTGTAATCCCAGCACTTTGGGAATTCAAGGCGGGAGGATCATGAGGTCAGGAGCTCGAGACCAGGCTGGCCAACATGGTGAAACCCCATCTCTACTAAAAATAACAAAAATTAGCTGGGTGTGGTGGCACACGCCTGTAGTCCCAGCTACTCAGGATCGGGAGGCTGAGGCAGGAGAATCGCTTGAACTCAGGAGGTGGAGGTTGCAGTGAGCCGAGGTCACGCCACTGCACTCCAGCCTGGTGACAAAGTGAGACTCCGTCTCAAAAAAAAAAAAAAAAAACTAAACTAAACAAAACCAAAAAAACACACACAACTGGAGCTGGGAACCAGCTGGAGAAGGGAGGGGTGAGGAAGGAACACAGGCTCCAGAGCCAGGCAGGCTTCTCTTATCTGCTGGTTGTATGACCTTGGCCAAGTCACTTGTTACTTGTAACCTTTTATTCTTTTCCTATAAAATGGAATCAGCCATAATCCTCATCTTATTTTATTTATTTATTTATTTTGAGACAGAGTTTTGCTCTGTCGCCCAGGCTGGAGTGCAGTGGTGCCATCTCGGCTCACTGCAAGCTCCGCCTCCCGGGTTCACGCCATTCTCCTGCCTCAGCCTCCCGAGTAGCTGGGACTACAGGCGCCCGCCACCACGCCCGGCTAATTTTTTGTATTTTTAGTAGAGACAGGGTTTCACCGTGTTAGCCAGGATGGTCTCGATCTGCTGACCTCGTGATGCGCCTGCCTCGACCTCAAAAGTGCTGGGATTACAGGCATGAGCCACCGCACCCGGCCTCATCTTCTTTACTTTAGGACCTTACAATATACCAGGCACCTAGCTGGGTCTCAGGGAGACAGTCCAGTCCTGAGCCCTGCTGGCCCAAGTTTGTAGCCCTGAGTACTTAGTGGCTATAGGGGCTTTAAGCTGGAAAGTGGCCAGGGGAGCATGAGGGAAGGAGGGAGAGAAGGGGAGCATGAGGGAAGGAGGGAGAGAAGGGGAGCATGAGGGAAGGAGGGAGAGAAGAGCAGCAGCGAGTGAGGAGCGCATGGGTGTTACATGGAGGGCTATTGGGTTGGTCTGGTTGGGTGACTGGGCTGCTGACAAGAGAATCCGCTCATCTCTCCTGTGTCTCTCCCAGGTCAACCTGGGTTACTTGTGCCAGGCATGTACCTCTCTCCTGCACAGTCGAAAGATGCTGCAGCATTACTTACAGGTAAGCGTCCTATGCCATGAGGTCCTGGAATACCTCACGCTAGCTTCCCAAGCTCCACCTTCATTTCTTGACTCTCCTTAGAACAAAAATGGGGATGGCCTCCCCTCAGCTGTTGCCCAGCGAGTCCAGAGGCCACCGTCTGCTGCTTCTGCTGCCCCCTCCTCCTCAAAGCAGCCCGCTGCTGACACAGAGGCATCAGAGCAGCAGGCCTTGCACACAGTCCAGTATGGCCTTCTCAAGATCCTCAGCAAGACGCTGGCAGCCCTGCGCCACTTCACCCCAGATGTCTGCCAGATTCTGCTGGATCAGGTACTGCCCATCATCTGTTCAGCACCACCTCCCCTAAAGGCTCTGCTCTGCTGTGTACCGAGAGCTACCTGGGGCCTTAATTGGGTCCTGGATGGCTCTTGTCTTTTCTCGCAGTCCCTGGACCTTGCTGAATACAACTTCCTGTTTGCCCTGAGCTTTACCACTCCCACCTTTGACTCCGAAGTGGCCCCCTCCTTCGGGACCCTTCTGGCCACAGTGAATGTGGCCCTCAACATGCTTGGAGAGGTAAGTTGGTTCTGTCAGACACTGTCCTCTCCCCCCGGCTCCTCCCCCTGCCTGCCACTTCCCAGCTGACCTTGGGCATGTTGGGCATGGTACCTAGCCTCCCAAGCCTGCTCCTCTCTGTAAACTGAACATGACAGCACCTCTGAGAATTACTGTGAGGATTAAATGAGGTAACTGATTAAATTTGCTTAGTGCAGGACATGCAAGTAGGAAGCTCTCAGTAAGTGGGAGCTGTTCCTGTTGTCTTAGTTTTTTACCCTTGCTTCTCTTCAGCTGGACAAGAAAAAGGAGCCCCTCACCCAGGCAGTGGGGCTCAGCACACAGGCAGAAGGGACCAGGACGTTAAAGTAAGTGCTCTTTCTGGGATTTGATAAGGGGCTGGGGCAGTCATGGGCCCACTGTTCTCAAGCTTGGCCAGCCTGGCCCTCTGCAGCAGTACCAAAAACCTGTGTCTCCTCCCAGGTCCCTCCTGATGTTTACCATGGAAAACTGCTTCTACCTGCTCATCTCTCAGGCGATGCGGTACCTTAGGGACCCGGCTGTGCACCCCCGGGACAAACAGCGGATGAAGCAGGAGCTCAGCTCTGAGTTGGTACGGATGGATAGGGATACGGAGGGCTGGACCAATAGGGCCAGAGCCCTGTGGGGTCCTGCCTGGCAACCCCCAAGGGTCAGAACAGTAGCCAGATGTGCTGAGCCTCACCAAGCCACTTTTTTTCTTGTAGAGCACGCTGCTGTCCAGCCTCTCGCGCTACTTCCGCCGGGGAGCCCCCAGCTCCCCTGCCACTGGTGTCCTCCCCTCGCCGCAGGGCAAGTCCACCTCTCTCTCCAAAGCCAGCCCTGAGAGTCAGGAGCCTCTGATCCAGTTGGTGCAGGCGTTTGTCCGGCATATGCAAAGATAGGGCAGTGCTGTTCTGCCCACCTACCCCTCTCCACCAGCCTACACTGCACCCTGGCTGGCAGGGGTGCTGCTGGCTGCTAGGGCCTATACAATGGAGGGCACCTCCTGTCACCCCCCTCCCGGAGTAGCCACGACTCCAGCCACCACCCACTGACGTTATTTTTATACTAGATGAAGAGGTCAACAGCAGGCATGGGGAGCCGAGTCTTCTGTGCTCAGGTCCTCACGCTGCAGACGCCCCCTAGAGGAACTTTCCTTCCTTTCCAGCATTCCCCACAGCACTGCCGGCCAGGGGAGAGGCGGCAGCCCAGCAGAGGGCTCTATGCACGGGTTTCAAACCTGTTTTCCACACTCTGTCTTTGCAGTTTTGGTAATTCTGTGGTCTATTTATACAGATATTAAAATCTTGTTTATAGACAGCTGTGTGATGTTTAACTTCAAAGCCCAGGGATGACAACGTGGCTCTCAGAACCTAGAAAACTCCCCTGGCCAGGCGCCTGGGAGTGGGGCTGCAGCCTCGGGGGAAGGCAGGTACTGATGGATGGCTAGTTCACCAGCATCTCCTCATTCCTGTCCTTGGGCTGAGGGTTTGGCTGGGTGGGCGCTGTCAGATATTCCCTTCCTTGGCCTGCGCTGGTCCTGTCCTTGACCCTGCTTTCATTGGCCCAGTGGGCTGAGCTCATCCCTGGGTGAGCCTTTCTTGAAGCTCTGTGCCTTCCTATTTATAGCCCCGTGCCCCCGTCATCCCCCGATCCCCTCTTCAGAAGCCCCAACAGTGGGGCCTACTGGCTGTTGGCCTTCTCAGGACTGAAGTCAGAATGCTAGGTCCTGCTAGGGGCCATCTAAAACACAGACATCACTTAGGGTTTCTAGAATCAGGCTGCCTGGGCTTCAGTCCCTGCTTGGCCACTTGCCAACTGTGGTCCCTTGAGGAGCTGACTGTCTTGCTGATCTCATCTGTGAAATGTGGACACTGAGGACGGCATGAGAACCCATGGCACGGGGGCACATGCTGGGTGAAACGCCCGACCTGCAGACAGCACTGACCGCTACCCACTTCTTGTGCTTGAACTGAACTGTCAGACGCATTCTACAGTCCGCTCCACAATCCAAATTTAGGAAACTTTTTCTTAGGAATAAAACGTTCCTTGTGCGGCTTCATGTCCAGGAACAGCACTGCCCTCTGAGAGGCACAGGCCCCGCAGAAGACAGGGAGGGCTGCACTTCTTCCCAACTAGAGAGCTGGGGGCCGGGGCAGCCACAGGGCCCCTGCTCACTCTGTGGAAGAGTGGGGCAGAGGGTGAGTCTACCTTTCCCTTTACCACCCTCAGGGCCAGGCCCTGACAGGAGCCCAGGTGACTCGCACACAAGGACGGTTTATTGGCTAGAGAGCAAACGCAGGCAGAAGTAAAAACACCAGATAAAAAGTGAGTGTGGAGAGGTGAAGACTGCGGCCGCTGGACTTGGCTTGAGCTGTGAGGGGTGGGAGGGGAGGATAGCACCGGAAGATGCTGCTCCGGGCCCAACACCAGCCCTGGCCAGGCTCTCCCCTCCCAGGGGCAGCGCCCAGTCCCCAGGGGCTGCCAGAGCCCTGTGTGCCTTGCCGCATTCCCCTGATGCAGCTTTTGGCAACTGAAAGGCAGGGCTCTCGCTGAGTGCACCTGGGGCTTCCTGAGCCCATCTGCGGCGGCCCCACCCTGGCCTAGGTGCTGAGTGCAGCTGCTGCAGACAGCCCCTCCCTCCTTAGTGGAGCCTGGAGGGTGGGGTGCTCGGGGATGCAGGCAGGGGCAGGGGCTCCAGAGCCACAGGTCAGAAGCAGGGCTGGGGGAGGGGTGGAGCCATTCAGCCTCAGGCACCCTCACAGCTAGGTGACTAGGGGCAGGGACAGAATGGGGTGAATTCTCCCCACTCTGAACAACTGTGTCACCAACAAACAAGTTAAGTGGCAGGGCTGCGCCCATCCTCTCCTGCCTAGGCCAGAATGCGGGGGGGATGGGGGCACCTGCCTAGCTGAGCAGTTCCAAGTAGGTGACAGGGACCTTGCCCTTCTTGTTGCCTCTCTCGCCAATGAGCCAGTCAGGGTCCATGCCAGGCAGGCTGTAGACAGTGATGAGCTGCAGAGATGGCAGTAGAGGACGGTCATGGCCTGGCCAAGGGTGGAACTGGCCCCAGGACTAAGTGGGGACAGAGCTGCCACCTCCCCATGGCCCGTGGCATGTGCTACACCTTCAGTGGCTGGCGCTCATCTCACTTGCTCCAGAGACCCAGCAGAGCAAGGATCCTTTCCTCAGAGCTGGATATGCCCTCTTTAACCTGCTGGTCCCCACTTTGCCAACAGGGCCCCTCCAGGCCCCATGTGCCTGATCCCAGTGCCCAGGCTGCTCCTCACCCAGCCCATTCCTGCCCCACCTTGCGGCACCGGGCCCACCTCATCAGCCAGCAGGGCCAGCTCACTGCTGTCGGCTGCCTCGTAGTCATAGAGCACCCGAGCTTTGCGGGTCCCACTGGCAGGGGGGGCCACCTCTTCCAGGCAGAGCGAGGCCTCCCCCGGAGGGGCCAGGCTGGCCACAGAGGGCACCACAGGCATAGTGGCCGCAGCAGTGGTGGGTGAGGTGCTGCTCAGGGGTGGGGAGGCGGGCTCTGTGGTGCCCACGAAGGTGCCGGGAAATCTGGAGAGGAGGGATACATCTTAGCAGGTGGGAGTCCCAGAAGGGACCCCAGAGGCAAACTCCCCTCCCCAGCCCCAGGAGCCCCACTCCAGCCCCGGCTACTCACATGGCACCCTGGGAGCTGGCAGCACAAAGGGAAAAGCAAAGCAAGGGAAGGGTGAGATGGCCCCACCCCCTGGTCCCTGCCATCCTCCCCACCCAGGCATTCCCTAGAAACCCTCAGGGGCTCCAGGGGACTTGGCCGTCAGTAAGGCCAGCCACTCCACCCTCATACACATGAGATGCCCGCACCCAGAGTGGGTTCCAGCAGAGCCCTCCAACCCAGCTTTGTGTCACAGGACTTGCCCAGAGGAGCTCATGCTGCCCACGGACAGGGTATGGGAGCCAGGGGGCCCCAGTGGGTTCAGCAGTGCTGGCCCCGCACCTGCCCAGCTGCTTCTGCAAGTCCAGCATGTGGCGGTAGCACTGTGCGTAGTAGGTTGTCTGAGACTTGACGAACTCGTGGAGGCAGCGCAGGTGGTTCACCTGCGGGGAAGAGGCCAGAGGCTGACTTCTAACCTCCCGCCCTCAGAACAAAAAATTCCGTCCCCATCCCCGTCCTCTACCAGACCTTGCTCCGGCATTCCAGGGTGCCCTGCCCCTGCGCCCACACCCTCCCCGGTGGGACTTGCTCTGTGAGGGCCATTCTGGGGCAGCCCTGCTGACCTTGTGGTTCAGGCACACCTGGTGCCTGCTGAGGGTTAGGTTTAGTGAGGGTGGGCAGTGGGACTCACGTGAGTGCTACTGATTCCCTCCAGCAAGAGACGGGTCACTTCTGCTTGCCGGTCAAACTCTGTCTGGGCCACGCGGAGCTCCTGCTCGGCCTGGGCAGGGCAGGGCAGCCATGAGCACCCACACACCACCCACCAGCTTCCCCGCAGTCTTCTCCTGGAGCCTACCTGGGAGCCGCCTGTCCCTTTCCCCTGGGAACACAGAGAGCCTTCTGGGTCTATGCCTGACTTCACACCTGGAGCCCCAACCCCAGAGAAGCTAGAGCCCCACTCAGGACCCCACAGGCAGCTGCAGTGACAGACCCTTCCTCCATCACCCATCGGAGAAATCCACCCAGCAAGTGCATCCTGAGGGCCTACTGTGTGCTACAGGGTACTGTGGAGAAAACATTTCCCCACAGAGGGGAAACTGAGGCCCAGGGAGGGAAAGCAGTAACCCCTCCCCAGTGGGTGTGGGGCAGAGTGAGAAACAGATCAGACCCCACAGCAGCAAGTGTGCCTGCACCCCGCCACCCCTTCTTCCTCGAGCCCAGCCCCCCAGGCCCCAACTTACCTTGTCCACTTCATCATTCCAGAGCTGTGGAGACGGCAGCAGGAGTGGCCAGCAGGGGAGGGGAGAGGAGGACAGCTGGACCCTAGAGCCTGTGCCCTGCCCCAGCTCCCAGACTCAACTTCTGCCCCCCTGCCCCTCTGCCCCCCCTCCCAAACAGGAGCTGAGACTGGGCCGAGGCCCGGCATGGGAGCTGGGGGCTGGCGGTCCCAGTCCCTCTAACATGCCTCATGCAGGAGGGGAGCAGCCAGCAGGAGTCCTGCTTATATTTCTCCTACAGTGTCAGCCCCATTCTCTGAGTGGGGTCTCAAGAGAGACGGAGTGTCCCCACCCCATCCTGACTGCTGGCTCAGGCTGCTGGGCTGGGCGGCAGAACTGTGTGACCCTGGGCCAGTCACTGAAGCTTTCTGTCCTCTGGCAGAGAAAGGTGGCCTCGTGCTTGAGTCACACTGGGACTCAATGGCAAAAGAAAAACAGGGCAGTCTCCACCCTCTAGGATGTTTCTCCTTCCACTGGGCACAGGGAGGAGGCGGGAAGTGGCATCCAGACCCTGAAGAAGAAAGACGCTGCCCGGCCACGACCAGGAGACCCAGCGCTCCTGCCGCTTCCGGAGATCTGACCCGAGACAACAGCCTGAAATAGGGAATGCGGACCCAGGCCAGTGTGCGTGGCCGGCCCGTGTGGCCCCCATGCTGCTTAGGAAGTCCCCGTCCAGGAGCACTGGAAGTTGCTGTGAGAGCCAACTAGGGTTGGCGGCCTGAGGGACAGTCACCCAGCCACAGAACGACGGCACGGAAGACATGAGGCAGCATGCTCACGAGAGAGGTGAGGGTCTCACCTCCAGGGGCGGGAAGGAGAGAAAGTGGGCAGACAAGGTGTAGCAGTGGTGACAAGCATGAGGGAGAGGTGTGGCCTAGTCCCCAAACTACATAGGAAACACCAGACTTCCCAAGAAAGCCTAAAAACCAACAGACACCATGACATGCGAAGCCTCCACGATCCTGTCCTCCCCACCTCCTGCCCCAACTCCCCTGGGGGCCCTGCCTAAGCCTCAGGACAAGACATGCCCTGCTCCAGGACCTCTGGGCCTTAAGCACAGCCTCAGGCCCTCCCGCCCCCCAGGCGCTCTCCAGGCCTACGACGCCATCCCTGCCTCCTGTCTTTAGGGGTCTGTGAACTCCAGAAAGGCACGGCCAGGCCTCCTCCTCTATCCTCAGGGCCTCCCCAGGGCCTGGCATTCAGAGACAGCAGGAGGTGGAGGGGCCCTGGGGATGGGACAGCTGCCGCCCTGAGTTCTCCACACTACTCAGTGTGGCTGGCCCTGCCGCCAGCTCCAGCGTTTTGCAGAGGGAAACAAGTCCAGCTCCATGGCCACAGGGCACCGGGGCCAGGCCGTGGACAGAGGTGGGGGCTGCTGCCCCTCCCCAGTGTCTCAGGACTGACCTGATCACATGGCAGTGCCCCCGCCTTACCCAAGCTGGCTTCTAGCTCCTGTGCAGTCAGAGGCAGTGGTGTGGGACGTGGGGAGAGAGGAGGACGAGGGGTGGGGTGGGGGTGGGGTGCGCTTACCGCGGAGGCGCTGGCCGAGAGAATGTAATTACGAGGTCTAGTCTCCTGAAAGTCAGGCACCGTCTGGCGGGGAACAGAGTTCATGTGGGGAGGGGGTCACCCTGGGCCAGGGCCAGGGTCGAGGTCAGGAGGCTACCCCAGAGTCTTGCACAAGGAGATGCCAAGAGGCCTGACCCCAGGGACGGGGATACAAACACAACACAAACCCCCTTCTCCCGACTCCAACCACCTGGAGATGAGGGGCCTAGGGACTTGGAGAGTCCAGACAAAGATCAAGTGGCTGCAGGCACTGGAGCTCAGGAGAGCAAATGCGGTGAGGAGATGGCCGAGGCTGCCTGAGCAAGTCACAGGCTGGGCTCTCCCCTGCCAGGGGCCACAGCCCCCTCCTCCCCAGACCAGTGGCACTCAGATGCCCCAGGGTCCCGCAAACACAGCCCACCCCCAACTGGGATGGCTTTTTCCATCCCAGAATCCGCACACCACATCTCTTGCTCCTGCATCAAGGGCCAGGCCCCTCCCGACAATGAAGGTGGACAGATGGATGCATGGGCAGACAGAGTGACAGGCGTCCAACATTTGCAAAAAGCTGACTCACAGGCCCCAACGCCTGGCATCCCCCCCTAAACCAGAGGCCCTGCACAGTAGAGGCTCTGGCGGGGAGACCAGCTGCTTGCAAAATGCCCCAAGGACGTGGGCTGGCCATGGCACCGTGGGTCCACGGGCAAGATGGGCAGACCGGAAGCAGCACAGCGCGTGGGACAGGTATACTCACATCTCCCTCACACTGAGCCAAGTTACCCAAAGCAGGACGGAAAGGAACAAAAACAAAGAGTTAGTGAGTCCACAGCGCAGGCAGGAGCAGGCCCCCCAGGCCCCAGTGGGAGGGGACACCAGGCGGTCGGGCGGAGGGAGGCACCACAGCCTGCCCTCCTGAAGAGTCCTAACGTGTGCGTGCTTATGGGGACAGAGCTGTGGAGCTTGAGTCCTCTGGAATGCTGTTCCTGGGGCTGCCCAAGTCCTAGCTCTGGAAAGGTGGCCTGGCCCAACCCCAGGATGTGAGGTTGTCCAGGCCCACCAGGTGAGGGAGAGGCCACACCACTGCAATGACAGGAAAGGCTCCTCTGGCCTGGCTGATGGAGAGAGTGTGTTCTGGCTGAGTTACTCCAGAGACGGTGTCTGGCCCGAAGTGACGGGGGAGACTGTCCTGTTCAGGTGCCTTAGAAGAGGTCATCCCAATAGGCACAGGTCACCCTAGCCAACCCCAAGATTGAAACAACTACACCCCTGCCTCTGATCTAGACCCCACACACTTGAGTGACCTGAGACGGTTCTCGCCAGGGGCAGTGCTGGCTCTGGGGCCACACTATGGGAGGGGAACGCAAGGTGCATGGGCAGCTGTGAGCCCAGGCTAGGCCTGGCCTCCCTCGGCTAATCAGCTGGCAGCCACAGGTAGCCATCTCCCTAGTAGGCCTGGGCCTGGGAGTTCCCTCTGCAAGGTATGAGGCAGCCTTTAGGCCTGGCAGCCCTGAGCAACCTCTTGTGCCAGGAGGGTGTTCACCCTTGGGCCCAGCTCCTCCAATCCTGGCCTCGCCCTGGGCACACTGTCCCAGGCTGCGTCCCATTGACCCAGCCAGGCTGAACAGGCCTCAGTGAGCTGGGAGTGAAGGGGGCGCCAGATGGCCCAGGCCCTATCCAATCTCATGGGACCCCTCGGACACGGCCCTGAGCAAGCGGGCGGTCCAGCTCCCAGGTTTTCCACACCATCGTGGGGGCGCCTGAGCACAGGGACCCTCGGCCTGACGTTCAAGCAGCAAGTAGTAGAGTTAGTAAGAAGGTGCCATGCCCGGGCAGAGCCGGGGACAGAGCCGAGCATCTAGGAGGGCAGGGCAGGGCATGCAGGAGACTCCAGCTGCCTGGCGGGGTGGTGCACCCAGCTGGGGGCACTGCTGGTCCGCCCACACCGTAGATATCTCCCTGGGAACCAGAGCTCGGGGGCCACCAAGGCTCCCTTGAGGGCAGGGACAGAGAGGCTCAGCCCAGCAGCCCCCAGCCAGGCATCTCCAGCCAGGGAGAGGGGAGAGAGGTCATGCCAAATACCAGGTCCCTTCATGCCACCACCCCTTGGCTCCAGCCAGAGCCTGGGCCAGGAGGCCAGCGGGGAGCGGGGACACCTACCGTGGCTTTGGCTTCTGCAGCCTTGGCCTTCTTCAGCCTCGCTTTGCAGGCATCCAAGTCCAGACGCCGGTTTTGGAGGAGCCGCCTCTCCTTCTACAGGGCAGGGCATGGGGACAGTGAGACCCTGGGCTGCCCTGGGAGACCCTGAGCCATGCATGGCAAGATTGGTGCCGGGGACGATCAAGTCAAGATAGGGAAACTGAGGCCCAGAGATAGGAGGTCACTCAGTCCAAAGGAGCCCTCTCTGGGGAGGCCTCAGGAGTTTTGTAGCCCCAGCACTGGAAGAGAGCCTGTACTCAAAGGCTCTGAGGAGGGAACTGCCATGGTTACCAGGAAGCGGAATAGTCCCAGGGCCCTCACCGAGATGGTCTTCCAGTCCCCCTCCAGGAAGTTGCGCAAGGGTGTGAGGAAGCTGATGGAGGCCGTGTGGATAAAATCCCTCTCCGCGGCTCCCAGTTGCTTTTCAGCTTCTGCCACCTTGATCAGTGTCTTCCCTGAGAAAACAGAGTTGAAGCGTGAGGAAGAAGGTCAGGCTCAGGCTACTCTGATCTACAGGAGAGGGCTCAGGAAGAGCTTGCTGAAGAGCAAGGGCCGGGGTGCTCAGTGCAGAATGCTTTGCCTGGGAAAAAGCAGAAGCAACCTACACTACACCATCAACTGGGAACTAACAAATAAACAATGGGACAGCCAAAATATGGAACACAATGCAGCCATTATAAAGATCGGGGTTAGACTTCCAGAATGTCAGAGAAAGGAGCTCAACAAATCCCCTCCCAAAAAAAGTAACAATAAAACTGGACACCACGCCAGGTGCGGTGGCTCACACCTATAATCCTAGCACTCTGGGAGGCCGAGACGGGAGGATCACTTGAGCTCGGCAGTTCCAGACCACCCTGGGCAACATAGGGAGACCTTATCTCTTTGAAAATAAAACAAATTGAAAGAAAACTGGACACAATTGTCAAAAACATCCATTTCTGGACTCTGCAAATTGACCAAGGCAAAAAACAAATTGAAAAGCATTTAATCAAGAAAAACTACTGGGCTGGATGCTGTGGCTCACACCTGTAATCTCAGCACTTTGGAAAACCAAGGTGGGCAGACTGCTTGAACCCAGCTGTTCAAGACCAGCCCGGGCAACATGGCAAAACCTTGTCTTTATAAAAAATAAATAGAAAATCATAAGAAAAATGAGCAGCGCCTCAGCACCTACGGGGCACTGTCAAGTGAACCAACATATGACTAACAAGAGTCCCAGAAGAGGAGGAGAAAATAAGGCAGAAAAAATATGTGAAGAAACAATAAGAGGCTGGGCGCGCTGGCTCACACCTGTAATCCCAATACTCTGGGAGGCCCAGGCGGAAGGATCATTTGAACCCAGGAGTTTGAGGCTATAGTAGTAAGCTATGATTGCACCACTGCACTCCAGTCTGGGTGACACAGCAAGATCCTGTCTTTAAAAAAAAGAAAAGAAAAGAAAAAACATGGTTTGATTCATCACATACAAGAGAGCTAAAATAAGATGAATTGTCTTCTCATTAGAAACAATAGAAGCCAGACAGCAGTAAGATAATATATTCAAAGTAAAGAAAAAATTGTTCATCCAGGAATTCTATATATAGCAAAACAATCCTTCAAAAGTGAAGGCAAGGCCGGGCGCAGTGGCTCACGCCTGTAATTCTAGCACTTTGGGAGGCTAAAGTGGGTGGGTCACTTGAGGTCAGGAGTTCGAGACCAACCTGGACAACATGGCAAAACCTCGTCTCTACTAAAAATACAAAAATTAGCTGGGTGTGGTGGTGTGCATCTGTAATTCCAGCTACTTGGGAGACTGAGGCAGGAGAATTGCTTGAACCCAGGAGGCAGAGGTTGCAGTGAGCCAACGTCACACCACTGTACTCCAGCCTGGGCAACAAGAGCAAGACTGTCTTTAAAAAAAAAAAAAAAAAAAAAAAAAAAAAAAGATACGGCCGGGTGCGGTGGCTCACACCTGTAATCCCAGCACTTTGGAAGGCTGAGGCAGGCGGATCATGAGGTCAGGAGTTCAAGACCAGCCTAACCAACTTGGTGAAACCTGTCTCTACTAAAAATACAAAAATTAGCCAGGCGTGGTGGCAAGCACCTGTAATCCCAGCTACTCAGGAGGCTGAGGTAGGATAATCGCTTGAAACCGGGAGGTGGAGGTCGCAGTGAACCAAGATCGCACCACTGCACTCCCGCCTGGGTGACAGAAAAAAAAAAAAATCCAAAGATACACTTTAAATTTAAAGACATGAATGGGCTGAAAAAAGTACACCATGTATGCAGTAACCACGAGAGAGTTAACGTGGCTATACTACTACCAGACAAAATAGACTTTAACACAAAATAGTACTAGAGACAAAGAATAGTATTTTATAATGAAAGAGTCAATTCATCAGGAAGATGCACAAATATAAACATACAGACCTAAGACAGTTCCAAAATACATAAGGCAAACACTGACAAAGAGAGAAATAAGATAATTCAACAGTAATAGTTGGAAACTTGAATACTCTGCTCTTTTTTTTTTTTTTTTTTTTTGGTCTCACTCTGTCTCCCAGGCTGGAGTGCAGTGGCGCGCTCTTGGCTCGCTGCAACCTACGCCTCCCGGGTTCCAGCAATTCTCCTGCCTCAGCCTCCCAAGTAGCTGGGACTATAGGCGCGCACCAGCATGCCCAGCTAATTTTTTTGTATTTTTAGTAGAGACAGGATTTCACCATGTTGGCCAGGCTGGTCTTGAACTCCTGACCTCAGGTGATCCAACCACTTTGACCTCCCAAAGTGGCGGGATTACAGGTGTGAGCCACCATGCCCAGCCTCAATAGTCTACTCTTGATAATGAATAGGACAAGACAAAATCAGCAAGGACATACAAGCCTTGAACACTATTAACCGATGTGGCCTCGCTGACACCTATACAGCACTGCACCCTCAACAGCATAATATCACATCTTCTCAAGTGAACCTAGGACATTCCCCAGATAGACCATATACTAGGTCATGAAACAAGTCTCAATAAATTTAAAAGGATTAAAACAATAAAAATATGAGGCTGGGTGTGCTGGCTCATGCCTGTAATCCCAGCACTTTGGGAGGCTAAGGCAGGCGGATCACTTGAGATCAGGAGTTTGAGACCAGCCTGGCCAACATGGTGAGACCCCCATCTCTATTAAAAATACAAAAAATACGCCGGGTGTGATGGCTCACACCTGTAATCCCAGCACTCTGGGAGGCCAAGGTGGGTGGATCACGAGGTCAGGAGATCGACTATCCTGGCTAACACGGTGAAATCCCGTCTCCACTGAAAAAAAAAAAAATTAGCCTGGCATGGTGGCAGGTGCCTGTAGTCCCAGCTACTTGGGAGGCTGAGGCAGGAGAATGGCATGAACACGAGAGGCGGAGGTTGCAGTGAGCCGAGATCGTGCCACTGCACTCCAGCCTGGGCGACAGAGCGAGATTCCGTCTCAAACAAAAAAAAAAAAAAAAAAAATTAGCTGGGTGTGATTATAGGTGCGTGATGGTGCGTGCCTGTAATCTCAGCTACTCAGAAGGCTGAGAGGCTGAGGTGGAGGATCCCTTGAACCTGGGAAGTGGAGCTTGCAGTGAGCCCAGATGGCACCATTGCACTCCAGCCTGGGCGACAGAGCGAGACTCCATCTCAAAATAATAATAATACTAACATAGCACGACATGTTCATACATTCTCTGATCGCAGTGGAATTAAGTTAAAAGCAACAATAGAAGAAAACCCAGAAAATCCACAAATATCTGAAAATGAAACAACACACTACTGACAGGAATAAAAAAATCATACAGCTACTTTGGAAAACAGTTTGGCAACTTCTTAAAAAGTTAAATTAAATTGGCTGGGCGCAGTGGCTCACGCCTGTAATCCCAGCACTTTGGGAGGCCAAGGCGGGCGGATCACAAGGTCAGGAGTTCAAGACCAGCCTGGCCAACATGGTGAGACCCCGTCTCTACTAAAAACACAAAAAATTAGCTGGGCATGGTGGCGGGTGCCTGTAATCCCAGCGACTTGGAAGGCTGAGGCAAGAGAATTGCTTGAACCCAGGAGGCGGAGGTTGCAGTGAGCCAAGATTGCGCCACTGCACTCCAGCCTAGGTGACAGAGAGAGACTCCGTCTCAAAAAAAAAAAAAAGAGTTAAGTTAAATTTACCTGAGGCCAGGCACAGTGGCTATGCCTGTAATCCCAGCACTTTGGGAGGCCGAGGCGGGTGGATCACGAGGTCAGGAGTTCAAGACCAGCCTGGCCAAGATGGTGAAACCTCATCTCTACTAAAAATACAAAAAATTAGCCGAGCGTGGTGGCAGGCGCCTGTAGTCCAGCTACTCGGGAGGCTGAGGCAGGAGAATGGCATGAACCCGGGAGGAGGAGCTTGCAGTGAGTCGAGATTGTGCCACTGCACTCCAGCCTGGGTGACAGAGTGAGACTCCATCTCAAAAAAAAAAAAAAAATTATGTTAGGTAAAAGCAGCTAAATGCAAGAAACAACATGTCATATGATTCCATTTATATAAAATGTTCAGAAAAAATGAACTTATAGGGACCGAAAACACGTTAGTGGTTGGCTGGCTGGAGGTGAAAATGGGGCTTGACAATAGACATGAAGGACTTTTGGGGTGTGATGGAAATGTTCTTTAAATTAGACTGTGGGCCGGGCACGGTGGCACACTCCTGTAATCCCAGCACTTTGGGAGGCCAAGGTGGGAGGTCACTTCAGCTTAGGAGTTTGAGATCAGCCTGGGCAACATAGCGAGATCCCCATCTCTACAGAAAAATATAAAAATTAGAAGGGCATGGTGGTGGACACCTGTAATCCCAGCTAATCAGGAGGCTGAGGTGGAAGGATGCCTTCAGCCCAAAAGGCAGAGGTTGCAGTGAGCTGAGATTGCACCACTGCAATCCAGCCTGGGGGACAGAGCCAGACCCTGTCTCAAAAAAGGTAACAGAAAATAAAAAATAAATAAGTTTGGCTGGGCGCAGTTGCTCACGCCTGTTATCCCAGCACTTTGGGAGGCTGAGGCGGGTGGATCACCGGAGGTCAGGAGATCGAGACCTGCCTGGATAACATGGTGAAACCCGGTCTCTGCTAAAAATACAAAAATTAGCTGGGAGTGGTGGTGGGCGTGTGCAATCCTAGCTCCTTGGGTAGCTGAGGGAGGACCCGGGATGCTTGAACCCAGGAGGCAGAGGTTGCAGTGAGCTGAGATTGCGCCACCGCACTCCAGCCTGGGTGACAGAGTGAGACTCTGCCTCAAAAAAAAAAAAAAAAAAAAAGTTAGATTGTGGAGATGTTTGTACAACTCTGTAAATTTACTAAAAATCATTGAATTATACACTTAAACACATAATATATAGCTTATACTTGGATAAAATTTTAAAATGAAAAAAAAAAGATGGATATGGTTCTATAAATGCTTCAGTGAAAAGATACCTGTAATATGATGTCAAGTTAAAAAGTCAGGTTCCAGCCGGGTGCGGTGGCTCATGCCCGTAATCCCAGCACTTTGGGAGGCCATGGCGGGCAGATCACTTGAGGTCAGGAGTTGGAAACCAGCCTGGCCAACATGGTAAAACACCGTCTCTACTAAAAATACAAAAAAGTTAGCCAGGTGTGCTGGTGGGCACATGGAATCCCAGCTACTTGGGAGGCTGAGGCAGGAGAATTGCTTGAACCCAGGAGGCGGAGGTTGCAGTGAGCTGAGATTGCGCCACTGCACTCCAGCCCGGACAACAGAGCAAAACTCCATCTCCAAAAAAAAAAAAAAAAAAAAAAAAAAGTCAGGTTCCCAGATAGCACACAATATGATTCCATTAAAAAATACACACAAATAGGCCAGGTGCGGTGGCTCACACCTGTAATCCCAGCACTTTGGGAGGCTGAGGCAGGCGGATCACTTGAGGTCAGGAGTTTGAGAACAGCCTGGTCAACATGGTGAAACCCTGCCTCTACTAAAAACACAAAAATTAGCTGGGTGTGGTGGCGGGCTCCTGTAGTCCCAGCTACTCGGGAGGCTGAGGCAGGAGAATCACTTGAACCTGGGAGGCAGGGGCGTTGCAGTGAGCTGAGATCGCACCACCGCACTCCAGCCTGGGTGATGGAGTGAAACTGTGTCTCAAAAAAAAAAAAATAGGCCGGGCGCGGTGGCTCACGCCTGTAATCCCAGCAGTTTTCGAGGCATAGGCGGGCAGATCACGAGGTCAGGAGATCGAGACCATCCTGGCTAACATGGTGAAACCTCGTCTCTACTAAAAAATACAAAAAAAATTAGCCAGGCGTGGTCACGGGCGCCTGTAGTCCCAGCTACTTGGGAGGCTGAGGCAGGAGAACGGCGGGAACCCAGGAGGTGGAGCTTGCAGTGAGCCGAGATCACGCCACTGCACTCTAGCCTGGGCGACAGAGCGAGACTCCATCTCAAAAAAAAACAAAAACAAAACACACACACACACACAAACCAAAACTGGTTAAGAGAAGATTCCATTTTTTACTCTTTTTTTCTGCGTAGAGTTTTTACATTTAGAATGAATTCAGGTATTATTTGTATAATTATTTTTTTAAGTAAAAAAAAGGAAGGGAGGGAGGGAGAATCAGAGCTAAAGACCATGACCCCTAGTCCCTGGCTGTGAGGCCTGCTCACCATAGGGGGTGGTCGGCCCCAGCTCACTGGCCGCGTCTGCCATGTACTGAGCCAGCAGCTCCCCGTTGGTGACCCTTGAGGGGACCTTCCTGTCCAGCTTCTCATACAGGAACTCCTCCACTCGGGCACCTGTGGGGAGACAGCAGCCAAAGCCACAGGGCTCCTTAGTTCAAGCCCAAAAATGAAACAGAAACAGACCCAGACCCGGCCCTGCCCACAGGTGCACCTGGCCTGCTGACTTCCAGAATACGCTCTTGCTCATGCCCAACCCTGAGACTGTTGTGATTGACCCAGCACTATACAGAGGAGGAAGCCAGGGCCCGTCCACTTCTCCCTTATTAATATGATTACAGACCATAATACATGCTTGCACAATTCTCTGCTCCTGGCACCCAAAAGTTATCTGGCCCCTCAATGAGCCACAGAGCAGATTTACAGGCAGACACACAGCACGACCCGGAGCCACCCTCCTTTCCCCGGAAGTCCTGCAGGTCGCTTCTGCTTGACCTTGGGGGCCTGCCTGGGTGTGCTCCGGGCAGTCCCTTCATCTCTGGGCCTTGCTGACCTCTTGAAAGTGACCAGGTTGGGACGGACACGGTGGCTCCTGCCTATAATCCCAGCACTTTGGGAGGCCAAGGCGGGTGGATCATTTGAGGTCAGGAGTTCAAGACCAGCCTGGCCAACATGGTGAAACCCCTTCTCTACTAAAAATACAAAAATTAGCTGGGCGTGGTGGCATGTGCCTGTAGTCCCAGCTATTCAGGAGGCTGAGGCAGGAGAATCGCTTGAACCCAGGAGGCAAGGGTTGCAGTGAGCCAAGATTGCACCATTGCACTCCAGAATGGGTGACAGAGCAAGACTCCACCTCAAAAAAAAAAAAAAAAAAACCAACAGAGTGACCAACCAGGTGTGTGTTTTGCCTGCCTCTTCTCCCACGTGTGTTTTAGCTTCCAGGCATTTTAACTCTTCTGTGCAAAACTCAGTGTTTCCACTGCCCTGGAGTGTCTGGCAGCCCAACACAGAGTCCCCCATTTTCTTTTAACTGTCCCTCTTCAACAGCCTTGAGCCCAAGAGTCTAGCTGAAACCCCGGCTGCAGCCCCGCCCCACCTATGCCACAACAGGGCCAGGCCTCCTACTGTATCCCTGCCCCACGACTACATCCCTCCCCGGGCCCACGAACACGCACTCACTGGGGTTGGGCTGCAGCAGCACCTCTGTCTGCCTCAAGATCTTCTCTGTCCAGTTCTTGGTGCTGTCTGCCCGGGCCAGAAGGTTTTCAAAGTGGGCATCAAGCTCAGTCTTCTCAGCCTGGCCAAATTTCTCCTCCGTGAACTACGCAGAGGGGAAGGCCAAGGGGTGGGGAGGGGGAGAGCTCAGAAGGAGGTGGGGGAGTGGTGGGGAAAGGGAGGACTGCCCCTCCCCACCAGCAGGAACCCAGGCAGGCCCCAGGGTCAAGGAACCAGCCCTGAGTGTGATACTGTGTGACCTGGCAGGGCCTCACTGTTTTCCCCTTTGTGAAATGAGGTGGCTGGGCCAGAGTGTGGGAATCACAGCTTCTTTTGGAAATCCAATGAAAGCTACACTCTCTCCCCACAAAAATGCACCTTCATATACAATCTGGCACACAGCTTAGTGCGGTGAGGAACCCTGGGGAGGCCAGCCCTAGGGTCCTTTGAGTCTGACTCTGAAGGAGAGGACTTGGTAGAAAGTACTCGGGACAAACAGGGCAGGGAGTAGGGTCTGGGGTTATCAGGGGGCTCCATGGGCAGCTGGGAGCTGCTAGGGAGAGGGTGCCAGAGGAGGGAGAGGAAGAACCCAGGGTCGGGGTTCAGAAGGACCTGATTCAAGTCTTAGTTCTGCCACTGTCAAGATGTGTGACTTTGGGCAAGGGGCTCTGCCTCTCTGAGCATTGGTTTCCTGAGCTGAAAAAAGGGAATAATAGCACCTCCCCCATAGGTTATGAGGATGAAAGAGGAAAGATGTGGGTTAGACATAAAGGCTGGGTCGGCTACAGTGCTGCTGCCCCACGTAAGGCACCGGTGCTATGAGCTGATGGGTGCAGAGACGTCTGGGAAGGAAGGGGAATGCAGGGAGGGAGGATGGCCAAACGGTTGGCTTTGGCCACCTGGTAGGGTAGATGGAAACACTGCCAGCCTATCAGAGCCAGCGGCTGGGCACACCCAGGGCCCGGATGTCGCATGGGTCCCCATCAAAGCTGGCAGAAGCCGTGGGGGCTACCTAGGAACAACCAGAAACTGGTCCAAGTCCTGGCCCCTCTGATCTAAGAGGGCCCTGGAACACATGTCCCCATTTTCCAAACGGGGACACCAAGGCCTTCTCTAGCTAAGAGAAAGGGCTTGCCCAAGGTCACAGCCAGGGTGAAGACCTGCAGGAGTAAGATAAGGAACAACAAACACTGTTGGCCAGCCCTGTCCTAAGGGTTTCCTCATGACCTCATCAACCTCTAATGCAAGGAGGGCTGTTTCCCATTTCACAGATGCTGCCACTGAGGCTGAGCAAGGGGCAGGGCCACGCAGGAGTCGGTCAGCCATGAATCATCCCTGGCTGCAGTTGGCTCCAGCTGCGGTGGGGGGTGGCGGGCTGGGCGGCCACCAGGAGCTCAGCAGCCATCAATTATGTAGCAGAGCTTGGGTTTCTCCCTGCAGGGCTGGGAGGGCCCAGCTGCCAGGGGTATGGCCTCAGCTCCTGCCTGGGGCCAGCTGCTCCTGGCCTCCCTCCCCCACCCTGGCTGGCTCTGCCTCCTCTTCCTCGTCACACTCCCCAAAATGAGACCTTCCAGAGCAGAGGCTCAGATTTCCTCGTGGCTCTATTACCTCACCCAGTCCTTTGAGGGGGGTGGCGTTCACCCCATTTCCCAAATGAGGAAACCAAGGCTCGAAGAGGCAAAGTCTCCCTTCTGGACCTGAGAGCCCCTGCCTGGAGAATGCAGATAACAGGATCTAGTTCATTGGCTATTTGGCCAGCACACAGTATGGGGCTGATACATGTTAGCTAGTATTATTATCACCATCATTAATGAAAAGCCTTGGCTAGGTGCAGTGGCTCATGCCTATAATCCCAGCACTTTGGAAGGCCGATGTGGGCAGATGGATTGAGCCCAGGAGTTCAAGACCAGCCTGGGCAACCGTGAGACCTCCTCTCTACAAAAAAAAAAAAAAAAAAAAAAAAGCCCGGCACGGTGGCTTATGCCTATAATCCCAGCACTTTGGGAGGCCAAGGCAGGCGGATCACGAGGTCAGGAGATCGAGACCATCCTGGCTAGCAAGGTGAAACCCCTTCTCTACTAAAAATACAAAAAATTAGCCGGGTGTGGTGGCGGGCACGTGTAGACCCAGTAACTCGGGAGGCTGAGGCAGGAGAATGGCATGAACCTGGGAGGCGGAGCTTGCAATGAGCATCGCCCCACTGCACTCCAGCCTGGGCCACAGAGTGCGACTCAGTCTCAAAAAAAAAAAAAAAAATTAGCTGGGCGTGGTGGCACCCACCTGTAGTCCCAGCTACTCAAGGGGCTGAGGTGGGAGCCCAGGAGGCGGAGGTTGCAATGAGCCAATATCATGTCACTGCACTCCAGCCTGGGTGACAGACCAAGAACCTGCCTTAAAAAAAGAAAGACTTTGGGAGGCCGAGGTGGGCGGATCACGAGGTCAGGAGATCAAGACCATCCTGGCTAACACGGTGAAACCCCATCTCTACTAAAAATACAAAAAATTAGCCAAGCGTGGTGGCAGGCGCCTGTAATCCCAGCTACTCGGGAGGCTGAGCCAGGAGAATGGCATCAACCTGGGAGGTGGAGCTTGCAGTGAGCCGAGATCACGCCACTGCACTCCAGCCTGGGTGACAGAGCGAGACTCCATCTCAAAAAAAAAAAAAGACAGCAAGGAAGCCAGGCATGGTGGCTCACGCCTGTAATCCCAGCACTTTGGGAGGCCAAGGCAGGTGAATCACGTGAGGTCAGGAGTTCGAGACCAGCCTGGCTAACATAGTAAAACCCCATCTCTACTAAAAATACAAGAATTAGCATGACGTGGTGGTGGGCGCCTGTAATCCCACCTACTCGGGAGGCTGAGGCAGGAGAATTGCTTGAACCGGGGAGGCGGAGGCTGCAGTGAGCTGAGACTGCGCCAGCCTGCGTGACAGAGTGACTCCGTCTCAAAAAAAAAAAAAAAAAGGCCAGGCATGGTGGCTCATACCTGTAATATCAGCACTTTGGGAGGCCGAGGCAGGAGGATCACTTGAGCCCAGGAGTTTGAGACCAGCCTGGCCAACGTGGTGAAACCCTGTCTCTACTAAGTACAAAAAAAAAATTAGCCAGGAGTGGTGGCAGGTGCCTATAATCCCAGTTACTCGGGAGGCTGAGGCAGAAGAATCACTTGAACCTGAAAGGTGGAGGTTGCAGTGAGCCGAGATTGTGCCACTGCACTCCAGCCTCGGCGACAGGATGAGACTCTGTCTCAAAAAAAAAAAAGGAAGGAAAGAAGAAAGGAGAGAGGGACTAAGGGAGGAAGGAAGGAAGGCAGGCAGGCAGGCAGGCAGGCAGGCAGGCCTCCCTCACATCCCTCCTCAGCTCTCAGGAGCTACCCTGATGGTACCAAGGGCATCACCCTAAATGTGCACCTCAACACCTCCCCTCCTTACCAAGGTTCAGAGCAGCACTCCCCACCCCGCCCTCCCTTACAGGCCACATCTGCCCAGGTGAGAAGTTCTACCAGGCTTTCCCAAACTAGACGGCATCCATCCCATGTCCACTGCAGTCTGCCTAGCTCCATGATGACGATGCCACCACCTCTCTGGACTTTATAAGTATTACTTCTACCACTACTATTACTGTTACTGCAATTACTACTAATAGTATTAGTACTATCACTCCTCCTGCCCTCTCCCACCCCCACTGGCATCTTGTCCAAATCTGCCTTAGGTTTTCTTGCCTCGGTGCCCTTATCTGGGCTGCTCCTGCCACTTGGACCAACATCATGAGCCCCTCCCTACTTTCTGAGCACAGTTCAGGGGCCCTCCATGCAGGAGACCATCCCAGAATGACCCATACAAAAGGGATCCTGCCCTCTGGATCCTCATCTCAGGGCCAAGGCCTTGTTCCTTGCTGGATCGGGGAGGCTCTTAAAGTTGTTTCTTGTACCTGCAGGGACTGGGAGGTTCCTGAGCCCATCACATGTATTGATCATAAAGAACCCCTCTCCCATCCCTCCTGACTGTCTCCCATCCAGGCCAGCTTGGTCTCAGGCGGAGCCCCTCTGTGGCCTCTCCTGCCAGGTCACATTTCAGGCCTCTCTATCCCCTGGCCTGCCACTCTGCCCCAATCCTGCCAAGAGGAAGGGGTTTGGTGCTGGAGTCCGAGGCTGCTCCCGGGAAAATGGCAGCAGTGGGGTGGGCGTGCAGAGCAGAGAAAGCCTCTATTTATAAAGCTCTCAGCTCCCTCCCTCCCACCCCGAGGCTGGGGCCTGACTGCTGGCTCCCACTCCAGTAACAGTGACCCTGTGGGGCAGCTCCCACCAAGCGGAGCCACACCTAGGCCCTGCCCTGCCTAGGTCCTGAGAGCCCTGGCCAGGTCAGGCAGCAGGGCCCCAGCCCTAGCAGGGAACTGGCAGATCAGGTTCTTCCCAGATGTGGGAGATAGTGTGGTTGCCATACCAACAGCAGAGTGGGTTCCCCCCTCCCAGATGGACTGGGGCCGTCCAATCCGAGGGGCTCTGGGATCCTGGCATCTCCACTAGGGCTGGGGCTGCCCACCAGACTTGGAACACATTAAGCAGTGAATTCTCGCTGGGATGCTAATCCTCAGCGGGACACAGCACCTTCTAGTAAACATGACTACATGGGTTGCTGGCTGGGTGTGGGCTCCTGGGGAGGGGAGTGCCCGGGTTGGGGGTGGGGAGAGAACTGTACTCAACAGAAACAACAACGATGACAACGACAACGACAAAGACAAGACTACAGGACCTGCTCCCAGAACCCTGGGATGGGCCAGCCCCGGGCCTGCGGAATCCCACTGAATCCCATAACCACGGTGTTACACCAGATTTACAGAAGGGGAGGGCGGGGCTCTGAGAGAAGTGACTTGTCCAAGGTCACATGCTGCACAGGTGCAATATTAACCACTTTGACACCAATAATGAGCTTGCCTTTGGTGAGCACACATATGCAGAGTCCCACAGAATCCTCGCATCTGTCCTGGGAGGCAGGAATACTGATCCCATTTTTCAGACTGAGAAACTGAGGCCCAGTGAGATGAAGGCCCCTCCCCCAAGGTCACAGGAGGGCACATTCCCACCCACACCTGACCCTAGGTCTTCCCATGATGTTGAGTTGCCTGTTACTCTCTGCCCCTAAACGGATAGGACTTCTTCCAATCTCAGCATCGTGGGCCTGGACAGCTTCCCAGCCAGACCCCAGCCCTCTCTCCATCCCCCAGGCCCAGGGACCAAGGAAACAGACCTCCCGTGGAGCAGAAAAGAAACAACTCCTGGCTTCCGGCCTGACTATCCAAACGTGTGAAATGGCCATGAGGGACTCATGGCACCAGCCGCCCATTGCACAGGTGCGGAGACTGAGGCTCGGAGAAGGGGTTGTGGTGGACGCATGAGTCCCTGGGCCTGGGACCCAGGTCGCTAAATGCCCCGCCAGGCGCCAGTCACTGCTGGACAAGGGCAGGGAGGTAGCACCCAGCCGGTGCCTCCTCCCCTCCTCAGCCAGGCAGGCGCCAGGGGAGCAGGGTAACCCAACCAGCCCAAAGGGTGGGCACCGGTGCCTCGCCCCAGGCAGCAGGGCCAAGGCCCGGCTCGGGCCGCACGGGCTCTTTCCCTCTTCCGGTCAGCAAGGGCTCAGGGGGGCAGAGGTGTGCCGCGGCGGGGACGAGGGCAGCAGCCCGGGAGGGCTTTCCCGCGTCCCCAGGCGTCTGCCGCAGGGTGCTCCCCGCCCGCCGCACATCCGGGCCCCCGGCGCACGGCGCGACGCCAGGCCTCACCTGCACCGCCCGGGTGAAGAAGATGCCCGCGTCCGACGCCAGCTTCTTCATGTTGAAGTCCATGGCGTGCCCGCACGGCCGCCGCGCACGGCCCGAGCGCAGCCGGCAGCCCCCGGCCCAGCCGCCGCCGCCAACCGCACCCCGCCCACCTGCTGCGGGGCACCAGCCCTCCGCGCACCCGCCTGCCGGCCTGCCCGCCTGCCCGCCCGCCGCAGCCGCCGAGCCAGCCCGAGCGCGCAGGGCGGGGCGCGGAGGCCGCGGGTCGGAGCCAGAGGGGCGGGGGCGGAGCTGGCGGTGCCGGGGCGGGACGGGACGGCAGTGGGGCGGAGCTAGAGGGGCGGGGGCCGGGCTGGTTGGCGGAAGCCGGGCGGAGTCGGAGGGGGCGGGACTGGCGGGACAGGGGCGGAGCGAGAGGGCAGTGGGGCGGAGCTACATGGGTGGGGGCGAGGCCTTGGCGCGGCCAGAGCGGGGGTTGGTCTGGGGAGCAGGTTGTGCTGGGCAGGGCTCGCTGCTGGGCAGTGCTCGCTGCTGCCCCCATGCGCCTGCCGCCGCGGATTGGGCCGGCCTCTTTTTTTCCTTTTACTAAAATTATTAAAACTGGAACACATGTGCTCTTAGATGATTGCAGGTACACGCCATAATTACATATTATTTGCCATCTTACCAATGCTTTTCAAAAGTTTTAATTGATAAATATATATTTACGGCCTACAAGGTGATGAAATTGTGGAATGATGAAATCAAGTTAATTGACATATCCATCACCTCACCTACTTTTTTTGTGGTTAGAACATTTCAAATGTACTCTTTTAGCAATTTTGAAATATGCAATACTTTTTTTTTTTTTTTGTAGACAGAGTCTTGCTCTGTCGCCCAGGCTGGAGTGCAGTGGCGCGATCTCGGCTCACTGCAGCCTCCACCTGCCGGGCTCAAGCGATTCTCCTGCTTCATTCAGCCTCCCGAGTAGCTGGGACTACAGGCGCCCACCAACATGCCCCGCTAATTTTTTGTACTTTAGGAGAGACAAGGTTTTGCCATGTTGCCCAGGGTGGTCTTGAACTCCTGATCTCAGGCAATCTGCCTGCCTCAGTCTCCCAAAGTCACTAAGTGACTGAGTAGTCACCAATATGTGCAACAGATCTCTAAAATGGGCCTCTCTTGCTTTCTCCTCCCACCACCCAGGCCTGCTGCCTCTCCCCTGTTTGTGCCTCTTCATCTCCGCTCTTTATTCACACCCCCTCCCTCCCATTCCCATTTCTTCCACTCTGTTTCCCTTGGGTTTCCTCCCGTTACTCCTCCTCTCTGACCTCTCCTCCTCTCTTCTGCCCTGACCTTGGTGACTGAGCCGGAGTCAGGCTTGGGACTTGCCCTCCACCGCTGGAACAGCTGTTTGTCAGCCTGGGAGGCCCTGTGGCTTCCCCAAATTGGAGGAGGGTTGGGGTGGCGGTCACGGGAAGGGAGGGGGTTCTGGAGCTGGGGCCTGGAGCCCCCTGTGTGGTGAGAGGAGGAGATCAAAGGTTGGGTGACTGTCAGGGTGGAGAGAATGAGCTGCCCTGGGAGCACAGATGTGTGATAACCTTGAAACCAGCTCCTCACAGCCCCAGGCAAGGAGATGACCTACAGGTGCTCCTGACCCCAAATGCCTTCCCTTGGGGCTCAGATAGAGGCTTTGTACTGGTCTTCACCTCTCCTTGCTGTCTACCTCTAGGTTTCCTCTTTTTTTTTTTTTTTCTTTTTGAGATGGAGTCTCGCTCTTTCACCCAGGCTGGAATGCAGTGGCACCATCTCAGCTCACTGCAGCCACCGCCTCCCGGGGTCTAAGCGATTCTCCTGCCTCACCCTCCACAGTAGCTGGGATTACAGGCATGTGCCACCACGCCCGGCTGATTTTTGTATTTTTAGTAGAGACGGGGTTTCACCATGTTGGTCAGGCTGGTCTTGAACTCCTGACCTCGTGATCCACCTGCCTCCGCCTCCCAAAGTGCTGGGATTACAGGTGTGAGCCACCACGCCCGGCCTAGGTTTCACCTTTGAACCCAGTGGAGAGCTCTGTTCCCAAGCTGTACCCTCTTCTATCTGGCTTTGTTCATCTTTCTATACTTACCCCAGTTTCTGTCACCTATCCCAGCATGGCTCTGCAGGGTGAGCCTCAAGTCACCTGGGGGCTTGTTCAAAATCCAGACCCTGTTCCCTCTCCCAGCCCTGGTTCTGGGTCAACAAGTCAATGGCTCTAACATTAAATCACCTGGGAGCTTTCAAAACTCCACCTACCTGGGCCATCCTGTCATGTACTTGGGCCAGTATGTACATGTTGCCTTCATCAACTTTCATGTCATTCACACATCTGCAATCCCTCAACTCTGATTCTCTGTGTTTCTGTTTTTGTGTTCACTATGTGTTTGTTTCTATTTGTCTGTATTGATCATGGACTTATTTACTATCATCTGTTTATAGCTGACTATATCATTCATTTAGCCAGTGTTAACTTTAAAAAAATCTAGTCAGGCATGGTGGCTCATACATGTAATCCCAGGAGGCCAAGGCGGGCGAATCACCTGAGATCAGGAGTTCAAGACCAGCTGACCAAGATAGAGAAACTCTGTCTCTACTAAAAATACAAAATTAGCCAGGCGTGCTGGCGCATGCCTATAATCCCAGCTACTTGGGAGGCTGAGGCAGGAGAATCGCTTGAACCCGGGAGGCAGAGGTTGCGGTCAGCTGAGATAGCGCCATTGCACTCCAGCCTGGGCAACAAGAGAGAAACTCCATCTCAAAAAAAAAAAAAAAAAAAAAAAAAAGAAATCAAGATGTAGGCCAGGTGCGGTGGCAAACGCCTGTAATCCCAGCACTCTGGGAGGCCGAGGCAGGCGGATCACCTGAGGTCAGGAGTTCGAGACCAGCCTGGACAACATGGTGAAACCCCATCTCTACTAAAAATACCAAAAATTAGCTGGGCGTGGTGGTGTAGGCCTGTAGTTCCAGCTACTAGGGAGGATGAGGCAGGAGAATAGCTTGGACCGAGGAGGCAGAGGTTGCAGTGAGACGAGGTCACGCCATTGCACTCCAGCCTGGGCAACAGGAACGAAACTCCGGCCAGGCATGGTGGCCCACACGTGTAATCCCAGCACTTTGGGAGGCCAAAGCGGGTGGATCACGAGGTCAGGAGTTCAAGACCAGCCTGGCCAAGATGGTGAAACTCCTTCTCTACTGAAAATCCAAAAATTAGCCAGGCGAGGTGGTGTGCATCTGTAGTCCCAGCTACAAGGGAGGCTGAGGCAGGAGAATAGCTTGAATCCAGAAGGCAGAGGTTGCAGTGAGCCGAGATCATGCCACTGCACTCCAGCCTAGGCTACAGAGCGAGACTCCTCCTCAAAAAAAAGGAAAAAAAAAAGTGAAACTCGATCTCAAAAAAAAAAAAATCAAGATGTATACATTTAAAGAAGGAAAGAAGATTTTATTTCTTATAAAAGGGTACAGACTGCAAGGTGACCATCCCACAAATTGGGAAGCATGCCTGTGACAGAGGCAGGAGGCAGAGAAATACTAGGCAGACAGGGGCGGGTCCCTGGCAAAACCCTACCTTCCAGCTGAAAAGCCTGAATCCTGTGGCCCAAAGTGAGAATTTCTATCCATCCGTTTGCCTGCTCTCTCCTGATTGGTTCTTTCTGAATCGTGCCTTTTTACCAATCAGATGTTGCCTTTTCCAAAACTACCTACAGCCCACCCCACCTCCCATCCTGTACCTATAAAGACCCACCCCCCCCAGACCCCAGACTCAGTTGGTAGGGAGAGAGAAGTGGCTTGACTAGAGAGAGGCGACTTTACTTCAGAGTGAAGAAGCTAGACTTCAGAGGAGAAATGGCTTAACTTCAGGGAGATGGCTTGACTACAGGGAAGAGCCATCCAGAGAGGCCAGGCTTCAGGGGAAGATTACCTGCCCGTCCCATCTCCTCTCCAGTTCACCTCTCTGCTGAGAGTCATTTCTACTGCTTAATAAAATTCTCGCCTGGCGCGGTGGCTCACACCTGTAATCCCAGCACTTTGGGAGGCCGAGGCGGGCAGATCATGAGGTCAGGAGATGGAGACCATCCTGGCTAACACAATGAAACCCCGTCTCAACTAAAGATACAAAAAATTAGCTGGGCGTGGTTGTGGTGGGTGCCTGTATTCCCAGCTACTTGGGAAGCTGAGGCAGGAGAATCACTTGAACCTGGGAGGCAGAGGTTGCAGTGAGCCAAGATCAGGCCACTGCACTCCAGCCTGGGCGACAGAGCAAGACTCTGTCTCAAAATAAATAAATAAATAAAAATAAAATAAAATAAAATAAAATTCTCCTCCTTTGCTATCCTTCAAGTGTCCAGGTGACCTCATTCTTCTTGGACACTAGACGAGAGCTCAGGACCCACCAAGTGCGGGTACCCGAAAAAGGTCGTCATACTGGCCCTCTGCCCTCACTGGCAGAGAGCAGCCACCCCACGTGGCAAAGCAAGGAGCCTACCGAGCTGATAACACACTGCTGTCCATGGACAGCAGAGCTAAGAGAGCACTGTAACATGTCCTCTGGGGCTTCAGGGTTTGCAGGCACCCCGACCTGGGCACCGCCATGGGGCCTGCATGGAGCCTCCTTCTGCCCACGCCCAGAGCAGCCAGCGGGATCCTGCACTTGCTCGCCCACATGCTCCCTCCCACAAGGGTTGAGCATGGCGGGCTGGCCTAGACAGGGCACCCCCATCGCAAGTCCAACAAAGAAGTCAAGAAAAATCCTGCATCGCCTCCAGGAAGGAGGAGAACTTGTGGTAGGAGCTTTATGCTGAATAGGTTGACTAAACATACATATTCAACAGGTTGCAGGAGGTGCTATGAATATTCATCAAGGTGGTCCCATGTTCACTTTGTGGTGAATTAATATTTAGATGTATTACAATTAGGCCCTATATGTCAAGAGGATTGTTTAGGGACATGAAGGCACACAACGGCCAATCTCTGCAAAATGGCCAGAACTGGTCCATGGCCAGTGGTCTAATTCTTTTTTTTTTTTTTTTTTTTTAAGACAGGGTCTCGCTCTGCCACCCAGCTGGAGTGCAGTGTTACAATCACGGCTCACTGCAGCCTCAACCTCCTGGGCTCAAGCGATTGATCATCCCGCCTCAGCCTCCCAAGGAACTGGGACCGCAAGTTATAGAGACGGCGTTTTGCTGTGTATTGACCAGCCTGATCTCCAACTCCTGGATTCCAGTGATCTTCCTGCCTCAGACTCCCAAAGTGTTGGGGTTATAACCATTAGCTACCGCACCCAGCTGTTGGTCTTATCAGAAGAGTAACTGAAATTAGTCTTTTGTCCAATGAAAGCTATAGTTAGGCTAGTAGAACAGGAGTTCAGTTAGTCAGCGTCCGGGAGCTGAAGGAGCTGCAGTTGTTTGAGTGTTGCTTATCTTGAGGCCAATGCTTGTTTGTATTTATTTATTTATTTATTTATTTATTTATTTAATACATCCTTCATTGGAAGCCAGTGCTTATTTGGCTGCTAGAGAAAAACAAAACAAAACACCTTTTGCCAGTTAGAGGACAGTTATTTTATTTTATTATATTTATTTTTTTGAGATGAAGTCTCACTCTGTCACCAGGCTGGAGTGCAGTGGCACGATCTCGGCTCACTGCAACCTCCGCCTCCCGGGTTCAAGCGATTCTCCTGCCTCAGCCTTCTGCGTAGCTGGGATTACAGGCACCTGCCGCCATGCCCAGCTAATTTTTTGTATTTTTAGTAGAGACAGGGTTTCTCCATGTTGGTCAGGCTGGTCTCCGACTCCCAACCTCAGGTGATCCGCCCGCCTTAGCCTCCTAAAGTGCTGGGATTACAGGCATGAGCCACCGTGCCTGGCCCTTGGCCCCCCCCCCACCCTTTTTTTTTTTTTTGAGACGGAGTTTCACTCTTGTTGTCCAGGCTGGTGTGCAATGGCATGACGATCTTGGCTCACTGCAACCTCCACCTCCTGAGTTCAAGCGATTCTCCTGCCTCAGCCTCCCAAGTATTTGGGGGCAGGTACCACCACCCCCGGCTAATTTTATATTCCAAAGTTACCACAGTACTTACAGCACCCTCAGCCTGGGTGTCTAAGCTTATCATCCCATGCGCCTCCTCCCCTGTGCCAGACAACCCCACTAATGACTCTGGCCTGTGCACTCATTCCGCCTGGACCCCAACAACATCCCCGACTCCCTTTAGCCACTCTGCCCAGTCTCCTATTCACCCCATGCCAGACCTCTCACCAGTCCCACCATGCCGGGCACTGGGCATCCGCTGTTTGGACCACCCTCCCCTCCCGTCCCCTCCCTTGCCTTCCCCTTCCCTCCCCTCCCCACGGAGTCTCGGAATGCAGTGGCGCCATCTCGGCTCACTGCAACCTCCGCCTCCCGGGTTCAAGAGATGATTCTCCTGCCTCAGCCTCCTGAGTAGCTGGGATTACAGGCGCATGCCACCACCCCTGGCTAATTTCATCATGTTGGTCTGGCTGGTCTCGAACTCCTGACCTGGTGATCTGCCCGCCTCGGCCTCTCAAAGTGCTGGGATTACAGGCGTGAGCCACCACATCCGGCCTTGGACCCCTTTTCTTTCTGGAGCCCTTCACCTCCCCAGGCAAGCCCAGGTATCTCCTTGGTATCCCACATTCCCCCATTAGAGTAACCATCACAGGGGATTGTGATTAAGTATCTGCTCCCCAGACAATGAGCTCCCTGGTGCCACCACATACCTGTCTCTTGTCCACCACTGAGCTCCCATGTCCAGCCAAAGGATTGGCACACTTAATTAGTTGAATGAATGAAGGAATGTGGCTTTACCGACAATTGTAATTTTCCTTTTTTTTTTTTTTTGAAATGGAGTCTTGCTCTGTCACCCAGGTTGGAGTGCAGTGGCGCAATCTCGGCTCACTGCAACCTCCACCTCCCAGTTTCAAGCGATTCTGCTGCCTCAGCCTCCTGAATAGCTGGGACTACAGGCACACGCCACAATGCTGGGCTAATTTTTATATTTTTAGTAAAGATGGGGTTTCACCATGTTGGGCAGGATTGTCTCGATCTCCTGACCTCATGATCCACCTGCCTTGGCCTCTCAAAGTGCTGGGATTACAGGCGTGAGCCACTGCTCCCGGGCTTTTTTTTTTTTTTTTTTTTTGAGATGGAGTCTGGCTCTGTTGCCCAGGCTGGAGTGCAGTGGCGTGATCTTGGTTAACTGCAATCTCCTCCTCCCGGCTCAAGCAATTCTCCTGCCTCAGCCTCCCAAGTAGCTGGGATTATAGGTGTGTGCCACCACGCCCAGCTAGCTTTTTTATTTTTAGTAGAGACCGGTTTTCACCATTTTGGCCAGGCTGGTCTCGAACTCCTGACCTCATGTGATCCACTCACCTCAGCCTCCCAAAGTGCTGGGAATAGAGGCATGAGCCACTGCTACCGGCCGACGATTACAATTTTAAAACGTAGTTGTGCCCAGCTCTTCGCAGTTATGGAAGGGCTGATACACCGTCCTCTTTCCATCCTCACCAAAGCCCTATGATTTGGGAAAGGGAAGATTTTATCCCTATTTCTTTTTTTCTTTTTGAGACGGAGTCTCGCCCTTTGGCCCAGGTTGGAGTGCAATGGGTGGATCTCAGCTCACTGCAACCTCTGCCTCCCGGGTTCAAGAGATTCTCCTGCCTCAGCCTCCTGAGTAGCTGGGATTACAGGTGTGTGCTACCAAGCTTGGCTAATTTTTTTTTTTAATCTTTAGTGGAGACAGGGTTTCACCAGGTTGGCCAGGCTGGTCTCGAACTCCTGACCTCGTGATCCACCCACCTCGGCCTCCCAAACTGCTAGGATTACAGGCGTGAGCCACCGCGCCCGGCCTCATCCCTATTTCATAGAGGGGTAAGCTCTAGAGAGCTGAAGTGGCAACACTTGATTCTATCTCAGGTCGGCCTGATCTCAATCCTGGTATTTAGTGTAAGACCCAGATAGGTGGCCAGAACTGAAGACCCCTTGACTCCAGCTCTCAGAGAGACACTGTCTAGCGGCGAGACCTGGCACTTTTGCAAACAACTCCAGAACAAGGGGGAGAGTGGCGACAGTATAAGAGCATGCTGCGGGAAGTCAGGGGCGGTAGTATTTGAAAATGGGCGCTTGGAGAGTGGGAAGGATTTGTCCTTGTGTGGAACAAGAATAGAGGATCCTAATACGAGGGCTCAGCCTGCTTTGGCGTACTCCAAGAAAGCCCCTTGGAGGTCTGACTGCTCCGCTTCAGCCCCTTTAAGAATGGCCCCGCCCCACCCAGCCGCCCATGTCGATCTAATCTGAATGACCAATAGTAGAAGAGAAGAGACCACTTTCGCGCTTCAACCGCACTAGGAGGAGGGGAAGAGGGCGGGAGAGGCGGAATATAAGCTTGGTCACATGACCCGCCTAATTGGCCAGAGGCTGCGGCGGCCCTGAGAGACTCAGCGATGCTCATTGGCCAGAAGAGGGTGGGGGCTTGGCGCTAGGCCACGCCCCCGGGCGGCCGGTTTGGTTGCGCAGCCGCCGGGGAAGGAGACGCTGCCCTTCCGCAGCGATGGCATCCCGGGTGAGTATCGGCCCCGGCCGAGCCCCCAAGGCGGGCGGGCAGCGCGGCAGGGCCGGGACTTGAGCGGAGGACCGAGTAGGCGCAGGTGTCCGGGCCCAACAGGACCAGGAAGGTGTCGGGGTTGGAATGAGTGGGTACCCGGGCCGGGGACGGTGCGAGAGGGTGCCTTGCTTGGGAGCGGAACGAGAAGGTACTTGGGTCAGGGAGGTGATGCCCGGGCCTGGAACGTGGCGGGGATTGGAGCAGGCGCGCAGGTACCCGATCCGAGGCGGGGAGAGCACCCGGGATGGAAGGAGCAGGCGTGCGGGCCGTGAGCGGCGCCAGAGGGTACCTGGGTGAGTTTCAATGATATTCCGGGGTGGGGGCAAGAGAAGAAGGGGCTGCCCAAGATGCCTGGGGTGGAGTGAGCAATTTCTGAAGACGGGGATATTGCTGAGGTCCAACGCGGGGATGCCCGGTGCCCGGCATGGTGGGACTATTGAGGGGTCCGGCATGGGGTGAATAGGAGACTGGGCAGAGTGGCTCAAGGGAGTCGGGGACGTTGTTGGGGTCCAGACGGAATGAGTGAGTGCACAGGCCAGAGTCATTAGTGGGGTGGTCTAGCGCAGGGGAGGAGGCGCGTAGGATGATATGCTTAGGCACCCAGGCTGAGGGTGCTGTAAGTGCTGTGGTGACGGTGGAATGAGGAGGTGTCCGCCTAAGATTGTAGGGCACAAGAGATGGCTGCCCAAGTGGGGCCAGGCCCTACACAGCAGTAGAAGTGTCCATTTGGTAGGGGACCTTGCCGTGGGCTTTTCATTGTGGAGAGGAGGTGGAGGGGTCTCAGCTTAGGCCCTGGAGGACGGACAGGGTGCCAGGGGGACGGACACAGTGTGGGTTGACTGGATTTGGATCCATCCCTGGAGTGAAGCAGGCTTGGGGGCTGGTGATGTTACCTCGCACCTGCAGGCTCTGCCTCCCAGTGGGGACAGCAGGGGCTGCTCTGGACTCTCCCGCAAACAGTGGGCCTCAGTCACCCCTGTAGCGTTTATTTGTTCAGGCTCATCTTTAACACCATGTGGGCTTCTCACTTGGGGGCCCAGAAGTCCTACAGTTGTGGCCTGGAAGGAGCAGTGGCAGTTGTAGCAGGCAGAAGCTGGGAAACCCTGCCACAGCCTTGAGATCCCCCAGAGCTTGGCCGCTTAGTACTCGGTGACCTCAGGCAGGCTGCCTCATCTCAGAGCCTCCGCGTTTCCCCATCCTTGAGATAAACATTGGCCATTGCGAGGGTTCTGAGAGGACTGGACCCAAAGCCTGTCGTGGAGAGCCTGTTCTGGATCTGGCCTGGAATAAGAGCTTGGGAAATAGTAGCTGCTGGCCCTCTGATGTTCTTGTCTTCCCTCTTTCTGAGACCTGAGCCAGCCTGGGGTTGGGGTGAAGGGTAGGGGGACGTGGCTTACAGTATTAACCTAGGTCCTGACCACTGCAGCTCACGTAGCTCAATTCACAGCCTCCTGGGCAGATGTCTCTACCCCTGACAACCTGGAAGCTTCCTTAGCCTGCCCTGCCCTCTCACACACCCCCACCAGCCCTAGAGCGAGACTGACAGGCTCCTCAGTCCTTCCCACTCACTGGGGAGAAGCTGTTTCTTCTGCTGGCCCAGTGACTTTGGCGGCCATCCCAGGGAGACAGGGTCTGTCCTGGCTTGTGTGTTCCTTCCGCTTGAGGTCCCGGGAGACCTTGAAGGCATCCTTGGGCTTGGAGCTGGAAGTGGGGGAGGACCCTGCCGGGTCTTGGGGTCCAGGCTAGGTGTGATCAAGCCACTTATTTCCTGGCCTTGGGAAGGGGCAATGGGGTACCCTGGCAGGGAGGGGAGTATCTCCCAAGGTCCAGGGGAAAGCTGCCCAGTACTCTGTGGTCTGCTGGGGCTTGCTACTTCCTGCTGCATGTCAAATTTAGCAAAAGCATTGTACTGAGCACAAAGTCTGACTCTACCAAGTACCAGCTGTGTGACTTTGGACTCCTGACTTAGCTTGTCTGAGATTCAGTTTCCTCATTGGAAACCAGAGGTGAGGCTGGGGGGAAGGTGGGTGGCATCAACTTCACATAATCCTTTTTTTTTGTTTGTCTTTTTTTTTTTTTTTTTTTTTTTTGTGGCAGAGTCTCGCTCTGTCACCCAGACTGAAGTGCAGTGGCGCGATCTAGGCTCACTGCAACCTCTGCCTCCTGGATTCAGGCGATTCTCCTGCCTCAGCCTCCCAAGTAGCTGGGATTACAGGCACGTGCCACCACACTGGCTAATTTTTGTATTTTTAGTAGAGACGGGGTTTCACCATGTTGACCAGGCCAGTCTGGAAGTCCTGACTTCAGGTGATCCGCCCGCCTCAGCCTTCCAAAGTGCTGGGATTACAGGCATGAGCCACCCCAGCCAACCTCACAAAATTCTAATGATTCAGTGAGATGATGGATGTAAAGAATGCAGCACAAAATACGTAGCGTGGAGTAGCTCTTTGTTTGTGTGTGTGTGTGTGTGTGTGTGTGTGTGTGTGTGTGTGTGTGTTTTATTTTATTTTATTTTTTTGTTTTTTATTTATTTATTTTTTGAGATGGAGTCTCACTCTATTGCCCAGGCTGGAGTGCAGTGGCGCGATCTTGGCTCCCTGCAAGCTCCGCCTCCTGGGTTCATGCCATTCTCCTGCCTCAGCCTTCCGCGTAGCTGTGATTACAGGTGCCCGCTACAACGCCCGGCTAATTTTTTGTATTTTTAGTAGAGATGGGGTTTCACTGTGTTAGCCAGGATGATCTTGATCTCCTGACCTTGTGATCCTCCCTCCTCGGCCTCCCAAAGTGCTGGGATTATAGGCGTAAGCCACTGTGCCCAGCTTCTTTATTTTATTATTATTATTATTATTTTTTGAGACAGAGTTTTGCTCTGTAGCCCAGGCTGGAGTGCAGTGTTGTGATCTCAGCTCACTGCAACCTCTGCTTCCCGGGTTCAAGCGATTCTTCTGCCTCAGCCTCCTGAGTAGCTGGGGTTACAGGTGTGCACCACCACGCCCAGCTAGTTTTTTGTTTGTTTGTTTGTTTGTTTGTTTGTTTGAGACTGAGTTTTGCTCTTCTTGCCCAGGCTGGAGCGCAGTGGCCCCATCTTGGCTCACTGCCACCTCCACCTCCCAGGTTCAAGCCGGTTCTCCTGCTTCAGCCTCTTGAGTAGCTGGGATTACAGGTGCGTGCCACCACACCCAGCTGATTTTTGTGTTTTTTAGTAGAGATGGGGTTTCACCATATTGGCCAGGCTGGTCTCAAACTCCCGACCTCAGGTGATCCACCCATCTCGGCCTTCCAAAGTGCTGGGATTACAGGCGTGAGCCACCGTGCCCAGCAAGAAAACATTCTTAACTTTGTGGGAGGTAAAAAGATGCAATGATTCTCAGTCTGGGGTCTAAGATTTTTGCTTAGCAAATGGTCCATGGGTTGAAAAAGGTAGAGAAAATGTGGCTTAAAGCCCTAAGTCTGAGAGTGACCTGTCCACCTCCCAGGTTCTGGGTCCTCTCCTGGGCTGGCTGGCCAGAGATGTTTCCGCTCGCAGGGCCCCTGGTAGGCAGAGGGTCTGTGGGTGTGGGGCTGCCTGCTGGCGGGCAGATGCAGAGGCCTGGGGCCTGATTCCAGGCCTGGGGTTCCAGAGGCAAGCTTTGCTCCTGCCTCCTCCCCCATGGACGCTCTTCTTGAGTGCATTTCTGCATGTTCCCGTGTGCACGTTCTCTTATCTGACTTGGTCATCTGTCTCTTAGCTCTGTGGAGGGGCCCTCTGGTATGTGTGTCCCTGTCCTTCTGGGGCGTGGATGGTGCCTGGGACCCAGCTGGCAACCAGTTGAAGACGTTCTCCTTGGAAGCTCTTGGCCCTGAGGACTTTGCCTGGGGCATTGGCCCTGCCATGGCGTTCCGGAGGGCCGAGGGCACGTCTATGATCCAGGCCCTGGCCATGACGGTGGCCGAGATCCCCGTGTTCCTGTACACGACGTTTGGGCAGGTAAGGATCAGGGTGGGTTGTACCTCTGGTCTATGAAACACTTCCATGCTCAGCCAAGGGCTCCTCCGTGTCCAGGAACGCTGAGCCCTCGTTCTTGCTTTGCCAAACCTCTGGTGTCTCCTCTTTGGACTGGGTTTGTTGTCTGAGGCTTCAGGCCTGTTCTTTAGCCTGAGACTATACGAACTCTTTTTTTTTTAATTAATTAAAAAAATTGTATTGGCCGGGTGCGATGGCTCACGCCTGTAATCCCAGCACTTTGGGAGGCCGGGACGGGCGGATCACCTGAGGTCAGGAGTTCAAGACCAGCCTGGCCAACATGGTGAAACCCTGTCTCTACTAAAAATACAAAAATTAGGCGGGTAGGCTGGGCACAGTGGCTCATGCCTGTAATCCCAGCACTCTGGGAAGCTGAAGCAGGTGGATCACCTGAAGTCAGGAGTTCAAGACCAGCCTGACCAATATGGTGAAACGCTATCTCTACCAAAAGTACAAAAATTAGCCAAGCATGGTGGTGTGCACCTGTAGTCCCAGCTACTTGGGAGGCTGAGACAGAATTGCTTGAACCCAGGAGGCGGAGGTTGCAATGAGCTGAGATCATGCCACTACACTCCAGCCTGGGCGACAGAGCGAGACTCCGCCTCAAAAAAAAAAAAATTAGCTGGGCATGGTGGCAGGTGCCTGTAATCCCAGCTACTTGGGAGGCTGAGGCGGGAGGATCACTTGAACCCAGGAAGCGGAGGTTGCAGTGAGTCGAGATCGCACCACTGCACTCCAGCCTGGGCAACAGGGTAAGACTCCGTCTCAAAAAAAAAAAAGTTTTTCGTAATAGAAATAGGGCCTTGCCATTTTGCCCAGGCTGGTCTTGAACTCTTGGGCTCAAGCCATCCACCTACCTTGGCCTCCTAAAGTGCTGGGTTTATAGGCATGAGCCACTGCACCTGGTCCTATATGAACTCTTGACCTCAGTTACTCAGTCTGTAAAAGGGGTCAGTGCCCTCCCTGACAACTCACATGTTTGTGGCTGACTGGGATCTTGACCGAAGATCTGCCTTGTGGGGTACAGTCCCATCTGAGGGGCTCCCAGGCCTGGGGGGCAGAGGGTGAGGTGCAGCAGTAGGAATTGTTCAGATGGGGTGGCAGGTGAGTGAGTGTCATCATCTTTGAGGCATCACTGAGAAATGGGGGTCAGCAGATCTGGGTTTCATGTCTGCCTCTGTCACCTTGAGTATATGTCTTCATGTGGGTGAACCTCAGGTTCCTCGTCTGGAAATGACAGGGACTCAGATGGGTACCCCAGGCTAGGTCCTAGTGCAGTGCCGGGCACAGCTGGTGCTTGTTCACTGCGGCTTGTGTGCTCATGACTGAGGGTGCTGGCCCCTAGACCTCACCTTCTCGGCACTGGCATCTTGCCATCTTTATGTTTTTGTGGCCTGTGTTTCAGGGAGGCTGGTCAACTTCCCCGTCTAGGGTGGCTGCCTCTCAGTCTCTCATCTGGTCGGCAGATGTGCCGGAGAGCCGGTGTGTGTCCCGTCCCTGAGGTGCTCTGGGGCGGTCCTGCTGCCTTGGACCTTCCCCAGGGAGGTGTAACCGGCAGCGTCTCCTCTTCCCTGCAGTCTGCATTCTCCCAGCTACGGTTGACGCCAGGCCTGCGGAAAGTCCTCTTTGCCACGGCCCTGGGGACTGTGGCCCTGGCCCTGGCTGCCCACCAGCTGAAGAGGCGACGGAGGAGGAAGAAGCAGGTTGGTCCCGAGATGGGAGGGGAGCAGCTGGGCACGGTGCCCCTCCCTATCCTCTTGGCCAGGAAGGTCCCTTCAGTGAAGAAAGGTAGGTGTGAGGTGGTGGGCATAGGCCTGACCTGAGGTCACATCCTGGGGTCATATCCCAGCTGGGTCACTCTCTACTTGGGGATATTGGGCCAGTGTCTTCCTGTCTCAGAGCCAAGGTCTCCTGATCTGTGAGCGGGATGACAGTAGCGTCCCTCCCTCCAGTCACTGTACTGGAGGGTGATGTGGTTGGATGCGCATGCTCCATTGGTGGAGGTGGTTTTGGTTGTTCTCATTAGCTGAGGACCCTTTGGGAGCACCTTGGTCAGAGGGGGTCGGGGATGTGGCTCCTGGGTCCAGAGAGGGATGTTCCCCAGGCTGAGGAGCAGGAAGAGCCATGTGGTTCTTGAATGATGCAGTATTCCTCCCATTCCCTTCTCTCTTAAAAATTGAGGTTTAGGCCGGGCGCGGTGGCTCACGCCTGTAATCCCAGCTCCTTGGGAAGCCGAGGCGGGCAGATCACAAGGTTAGGAGATCGAGGCCATCCTGAATAACACGGTGAAACCCCGTCTCTACTAAAAATACAAAAAATTAGCCGGGCATGGTGACGGGCACCTGTAATCCCAGCTACTCAGGAGGCTGAGGCAGGAGAATGGCGTGAACCCAGGAGGCGGAGCTTGCAGTGAGCCGAGATTGCGCCACTGCACTCCAGCCTGGGTGACAGAGCGAGACTCCGTCTCAAAAAAAAAAAAAATTTGAGGGTTAATTTGCATGCAGTAAGATTCGTACTTTTTAGCATACTATTCTGTGTCTTTGACACATAGAGTCATCCGACCACCACCATAGTTAGGAATCATTCAGCTGGTTGGAAGGTAGTGAGTTCACTCAGTCGATTGCTCACAGTCACAGATCACACTCCTTCTGTTCTCTCTTTTTTTTTTTTTTTTTTTTGAGATGGAGTCTTGCTCTGTCACCCAGTCTGCAGGGCAGTGGCACAATCTCGGTTCATTGCAGCCTCGGCCTCTTAGGTTCAAGAGATTCTCCTGCTTCAGCCTCTCGAAAAGCTGGGACTACAGGCACGTGCCACCATGCCTGGCTAATTTTTGTATTTTTAGTAGAGACGGGATTTCGCCACGTTGGCCAGGCTGCTCTCGAACTCCTGAGCTCAAGTGATCCGCCCACCTCAGCCTCCCAAAATCCTGGGATTACAGGTGTGAGCCACCGCACCCGGCCCCGGCCATCTTTCTACTCTTTTTTTTTTTTGAGACGGAGTCTCACTCTCTGTCACCCGGGCTGGAGTGCTGTGGCATGATCTTGGCTCACTGCAACCTCTGCATCCCGGGTTCAAGCGATTCTTCTGCCTCAGCCTCCGGAGTAGCTGGGACAACAGGTGCGTGCCACCAAGCCCGGCTAATTTTTTGTATTTTTAGTAGAGACAGGGTTTCACTGTATTAGCCAGGATGGCCTTGATCTCCTGAACTCGTGATCCGCCTGCCTCGGCCTCCCAAAGTGCTGGGATTACAGGCATGAGCCAACCTGCCCGGCTTTTTTTTTTTTGAGACAGAGTTTCGCTTGTGTTTCCCAGGCTGGAGTGCGGTGGTCTGGTCTCTGCTCACTGTAGCCTCTGCCTTCCGGTTTCAAGCAATTCTCCTGCCTGAGCCTCCCGAGTAGCTGGGATTACAGGTGCATGAAACCACGCCCGGCTAATTTTTGTATTTTGAGTAGAGTTGGGGTTTCACCATGTTAGCCAGGCTGGTCTCGAACTCCTGACCTCGTGATCCACCCGCCTTGGCCTCCCAAAGTGCTGGGAGCCAGGCATGAGCCACCGTGCCTGGCCCCTTCTTCTACTCTTTTTCCCAGCTTCTCACTACTACACTTAACTAGTCTTAAAAAAAAAAAAGAACTGTTCTATCGTTGTATCACTCTCTAAATGCCCTGTGTCCTTCTGTGTCAGCTCTGGTAGCCACTGCTCTATTTTGTGGCTGCTGCTGTGGTTGTAAAAACTCTTACGGCTCCTGTTAATCTTGTAATACAGACCCGGTGTTTGCTGCATTGAAGTGTTGTCTTGATCTCTTTGCAAGGCCAGGAGTTCTCATCTTGGGAGACTTGTTTTTTTTGAAACACAGTCTCACTCTGTCACCCAGGCTGGAGTGCAATGGCACAGTCTCGGCTCACTGCAACCTCCACCCCCTGGGTTTAAGCGATTCTCCTGCCTCAGCCTCCCGAGTAGCTGGAATTACAGGCATGAGCCACCACACCCAGCTAATTTCTGTATTTTTGGTAGGGATGGGGTTTCACCATGTTGGCCAGGCTGGTCTGTGTTGGCCAGGCTGGTCTGTGTTGGCCAGGCTGGTCTCAAACTCCTGGCCTCAAGAGATCTTCCCGCCTTGGCCCCCCAAAGTGCTGGGGTTATGGGTGTGAGCCGCCGTGCCCAGCTGAAACTTGTTTTAAGAAGCAAAAGTAAGGCCAGGCGCGGTGGCTCATGCTTATAATCCCAGCACTTTGGGAGGCTAAAGCAGGCGGATCCCGAGGTCAGGAGTTTGAGACCAGCCTGGCCAACACGGTGAAACCCTGTCTCTACTAAAAATACAAAAATTAGTCGGGTGTGGTGGCAGGCATCTATGGAGGTGGAGCTTGCAGTGAGCCGAGATTGTGCCACTGCACTCCAACCTGGGCGACAGAGCGAGACTCTATCTCAAAAAAAAAAAAAAAACGAAGCAAAAGTAGCCTGTGATTTCAGCACTTTGAGAGGCTGAGGTGGGCGGGTCACCTGAGGACAGCAGTTCCAGACCAGCCTGGCCAACATGGTGAAACCCCCTCTCTACTAAAAATACAAAAATTAGCCAAGCATGGGGGTGCATGCCTGTAATCCCAGCTATTTAGGAGGCTGAAGCAGAAGGATCGCTTGAACCCGGGAGGCAGAGGTTGCAGTGAGCCGAGATCACACCACTGCACTCCAGCCTGGGCTATGGAGTAAGACTCTGTCTCAAAAAAAAAAAAAAAAAAAAAAAAAAGCAAAAGTAGACCGGGTGTGGTGGCTCACACCTGTAATCCCAGCACTTTGGGAAGCCAAGTCGGGAGAATTATTGAGTCCAGGAGTTTGAGACCAGCCTGAGCAGCATAGAGAGACCCTGTCTCTATAAATAATTTTTTTTTAAAAAGAGAAAGAACATAAATTAGCTGAGTGTGGTGGCTCATACCTGTAATCCCAGCAATTTGGGAGGCAGGAGGATTGTTTGAGGCCAGGAATTCAAGACCAGCCTGGGCAACATAGAGAGTCGCTGTCTCTGTTAAAAAAATAAGAAGCAAAAGTCTCCTGTGAAAATAAATTTTAATTGTGTATTATTGTTGCAAAAGGAAAGTATTATCTTTAGAATTGGAAAAATAAGTGTTTTGTTTTTTTTTTTTTGGTTTTTTTTTAGACGGAGTCTTGCTCTGTCGCCAGGCTGGAGTGCAGTGGTGCCATCTTGGCTCACTGCAACCTCCGCCTCCCGGGTTCAAGCAATTCTCCTGCCTCAGCCTCCTGAGTAGCTGGGACTACAGGTGCGTGCCACCACGCCCAGCTAATTTTTTGTGTTTTTAGTAGAGACAGGGTTTCACCATATTGGCCAGGATGGTCTCCATCTCTTGACCTCCTGATTTGCCCGCCTCAGCCTCCCAAATTGCTGGGATTACAGGTGTGAGCCACTGCGCCCGGCCTAGAATTGGAACAAGAAGTCTTGAGACTAATATGGAAGAGGACCCTGAGAGACACTCAGGCAGCCTAATTTTGTGTCTGTCCTGGGAAACCTGGAGTCATCTGCACAGCGTTTAGCTTCTGTGCCCTGTCCCACTCTGCCTGCTCTCATTTCACCTTATTTTCCCTTCCCTACTTTTCTCACTTCTAACAAAATATTGGCCATGTATAGTGGCTTGTACCTGTAATCCCAGTACTTTGGGGCAGGTGGATCACTTGAGCCCAGGAGTTTGAGACCAGCCTGGGTGGTATGTGGAGGCCCTGTCTCTGTTTTTTTTTTTTTTTGGAGACAGAGTCTTGCCCTGTCGCCTAGGGCAGAGGGCAGTGGCACAATCTTGGCTCACTGCAACCTCCGCCTTCCAGATTCAAGCAGTTCTCATGCTTCAGCCTCCCGAGTAGCTGGGAGTGCTACCATGCCTGGCTAATTTTATGTTTTTACTAGAGACAGGGTTTCACCATTTTGACCAGGCTGGTCTCAAACTCCTGACATCAGGTGATCTGCCCACTTCGTTCTCCCAAAAGTTGGGATTACAGGTGCGTGCCACCACACCCGGCTTTCTTTGTTTTATTTTATTATTATTTTTTAATTTTTATTTACTTTTTTTTTTTGAGACAGTCTCACTCTGTTGCCCAGGTTGGAATGCAGTGGCACAATTTCAGCTCATTGCAACGTCCACCTCCCAGGATCAAGCGATTCTCCTGCCTCATCCTACCAAGTAGCTGGGATTACAGGCGTGTGCCACCACACCTGGCTAATTTTTGTATTTTTAGTAGTGACGGGGTTTCTCCATGTTGGCCAGGCTGGTCTTGAACCCCTGACCTCAGGTGATCCACCCACCTCGGCCTCCCAAAGTACTAGGATTACAGGCATGAGCCACTGTGCCCAGGCTATTTTGTTTTGTATTTTTGAGACAGAGTCTCACCCTGTCGCCCAGGCTGGAGTGGAATGGCGCAATCTTGGCTCACTGCAACCTCTGCCTCCCGGGTTCAAGGATTCTCCTCCTCAGCCTACCAAGTAGCTGGGATTACAAACAGGTGCCACCATACCTGGCTAATTTTTTGTGTTTTTAGTAGAGACAGGCTTTCACCACGTGGGCCAGGCTTCTCTCGAACTCCTAATCTCATGTGATCTGCTGACCTCAGCCTCCCAAAGTGCTGGGATTACAGGTGTGAGCCACTGTGCCCGGCCCTGTCTCTATTTTAAAAAATAACCTTTGGTGCATTTCATTAAATTTTTTTTTTTGAGACATTCTTGCTCTGTTGCCCAGGCTGGAGTGCAGTGGCACAGTCTTGGCTCACTGCAACCTCCGTGTCCCAGGTTCAAGCGATTCTCCTGCCTCAGCCTCCTGAGTAGCTGGGATTACAGGCGTGCGCCACCCCATCTGGCTAATTTGTGTATTTTTATTATAGATGGGGTTTTACCTTGTTGGCCAGGCTGATCTCGAACTCCTGACCTCAAGTGATCCACCCACCTCGGCCTCCCAAAGTGCTAGGATTACAGACATGATCCACCCAGCCCATCCTAAAAAAATTTATATATATATATGTATATATATTTGAGACAGGGTCTCACTCTGCTTCCCAGTCTGGAATGAAGTATTGCGATCATGGCTTACTGCAGCCTTGACCTCCCAGGCTCAATTGATCCCCCACCCTCAGCCTCCCAAGTAGCTGGGGCTGCAGGCCACGCCACCACACTTGGCTAATTTTTGTATTTTTTGTTGAGACAGGGTTTCGCCATGTTGCCCAGGCTGGTCTTGAACTCCTGGGCTCAAGCAGTCCTCCCCCATCTCGGCCTCCCAAAGTGCTGGGATTATAGGTGTGAGCCACCGTGCCCGGCCTTTTGTATATTTTTAAAAGTTGTCGTCTCACATCTCTTTTGCAAGGAGAATTCTAAACCATTCTCTCAATCAGCAGCCCAGAGAAGGCTAAGCAAGGAGGCGGGAAAGCAGATGGACCTCATTCTTGGCTTATCTGGCAGATCGGGACTCCTCTCCTCGGCCTGGCCCTGTGCCCTGTGGCAGGGATATGGCAGGGATGTGGTCATGAGCAGGACATGGAGGGCCCCGCGCTTTTCTCCTGAGTGCACGCCCTTGGGGCCCCTCTGTTCCCCTGACTTAGAAGGTCGGGACCGATTCCCAGATGAGGAAGAAGGGGAAGGTGGTCCAGAGTGGGGGCAGCCCGTGTAAAGGCCACAGGGGATGCCTGTGTGACGCCTGCCCTTCTGCTCCTCACAGGATACTCCAGCCGGAGAGTCCAGAGCCCCAGCAGCAAGAGCAACGACACCCTGAGTGGCATCTCTTCCATTGAGCCCAGCAAGCACTCGGGCTCCTCCCACAGTGTGGCCTCGGTGAGCAGCAGGTGCCAGGGCTCCAGGGCTCCAGGTCCGGGCTTACCCCTGCTGAGGACTCTGCCCTCAGCAAGCTTATAGACTGGTAGAGTCCATTCATTCATTCTCTCTCTCACTCCTCCACCCACGCGGGCTTTCAGGGATTGTCCCTAATCACTCACTGTGCCAGGTGTTGGTGGGAGAAAGGTGGGCTGGTGCAGAGGAGAGAAACTGATGGTCTCCTGGGGAGACCTGTACCTGTGAAAGTGCAGGTTATTCATTCATCAGCCACTGACAAGCACCTGCGTTATACCAGGGACTCTGTCAGGCACTGGAGGTGTAGAGATAAACAAGGCAGAAGCTTGGCTTCTTCTGGGGTGTGGCTTTTGGTTCATTCACTCATCCAGCAAGCAGAGTCCCAGCTATGAGCCAGGCTGGCACAGGGGCAAGCAAGAGCTGGTTCTTGTCCTGGGGCTGCCAGCCACTCGTGTGGATGAGAGGCAGGACCCTGGCACAGAATGGGTACTCTCTGTCTTCTTGTTCAAGGGGTAGAGGAGCCCCGGCATAGGGGATGGATACAGCAGTCAGGAGCAGGGCTCAGAGGGATTCCCAGGTTCCTGGGCTGGGTGTTGGTCTCAGGATTCCTTCCTGCTTTGGTGGCTTCTTTCTATGAAGCACCATCAGGCAGTTTGTGGGTCCAGGCCATTCTGAGGGTGTGGACGCTGTGGCTAGGAACAAGCTCAGGGATGGCATTTGGAGGGGGCGTGTGGCCCATGGTCAGGCAGTGGAGGAGGGCTCAGGGGGGCCCTGCAGAGAGCCCGGGAAAGCTTCACTCTTTCTTCTTGCACTGATTGGCGCCCAGATGATGGCAGTGAACTCATCCAGCCCCACAGCCGCGTGCTCGGGACTATGGGATGCCAGAGGGATGGAGGAGTCTCTGACCACCAGCGACGGCAATGCAGAGAGCCTGTACATGCAAGGTGTGGCCAGGAGGTGCCTCAGCTTCGAGGGCAGGGTGGGTGGCAGGAACAGTCCCTTCCTAGGAGCTTGGCCAGTCTTGGGTCACTTTGCCCCTCACTACCCTGCCCCAAATCCCAACTGGGTGATTTCCAGCCATTTCTGAACAAGGGACAGTGTCTAGGAACAAACCTGGTCTGAAAGAAGGCCTGGAACCTGAGCAGCCCAGGCCACACGGTCCCACCCAGTTCTTGCCCTTCAAGGCCCTCCTGCCTCCTTGATGTTCTGAGCCCCCTCTTGGGTGAGACTGTGGAGGTGCTGACCCACGCTTTTCGCCTCACCTGTGCTCAGGCATGGAGCTGTTTGAGGAAGCTCTGCAGAAGTGGGAGCAGGCACTAAGCGTGGGCCAGCGGGGGGACAGCGGCAGCACCCCCATGCCCAGGGACGGCCTCCGGAACCCAGAGACTGCATCAGAGCCACTGTCTGAGGTAGGTGGTCTTCTGCATCCCCCTACGCCCATGGGATAAAGTTGGCAGCACAGGAGAGGGGCGGCCACACCTTGGGAGGCAGGCAGTCTCCTGTCCTCTGAGACTGCTGATTTCCCTCTATGAGGGTGTCTTGATGTGAAACAAAACAATTCATGTCACGTGCTCAGCACAATGCCCGGCGCTTGGTAAAAACAGCCGTACTGAGACTCACACCCGCCTCGACCCTGTGAAGGGCAACGTGTGGTCCTGAAAGGCTGGAAGGGAAGGCGCCTCTGTTGAGGGTTGGCTGCATTGCCTGGCCTTTGTTTTGTTTTGTTTTGTTTTGTTTTTGAGATGGAGTCTCGCTCTGTTGCCAGGCTGGAGTGCAGTGGCGCAATCTTGGCTCACTGCAACCTTCACCTGCCAGGTTCAAGCGATTCTCCTGCCTCAGCCTCCTGCGTAGCTGGGATTATAGGCGCCCGCCACCACATTCAGGTAATTTTTGTATTTTTAGTAGAGACAGGGTTTCACCATGTTGGCCAGGCTGGTCTTGAACTCTTGACCTCATGATCCACCCTCCCTGGCCTCCCAAAGTGCTGGGATTACAGGCGTGAGCCATCGTACCCAGCTGTTTTTTTTTTTTTTTTGAAATGGAGTCTTGCACTGTCACTCTGGCTGGAGTGCAGTGGCGCAATCTTGGCTCTCCGTAACCTCCGCCTCCTGGGTTCAAGTGATTCTCCTGCCTCAGCCTCCTGAGTAGCTGGGATTACAGGTGCCTGCCACCACACCCAGCTAATTTTTTGTGTTTTTAGTAGAGACGGGGTTTCACCACATTGGCCAGGCTGGTCTTGAACTCTTGACCTCGTGATCCGCCTGCCTTGGCTTCCCAAAGTGGTGAGATTACAGGTGTGAGCCACTGCACCCTTTTTTTCTTTTTTTTTTTCCTTTGAGACAGAGTTTCGCTCTTGTTGCCCAGGCTGGAGTGCAATGGTGCGATCTTGGCTCACTGCAACCTCCGCCTCCCGGGTTTAAGCGATTCTTCTGTCTCAGCCTCCCAAGTAGCTGGGATTATAGGCGCATGCCACCCCATGTGGCTAATTTTTGTATTTTTAGTAGAGATGGGGTTTCATCGTATTGGTCAGGCTGGTCTCGAACTCCTGACCTCAGGTGATCTTGACCTCAGGTGATCTGCCTGCCTCGGCCTCCCAAAGTGCTGGGATTACAGGCGTGAGCTACCGCGCCTGGGCTTTTTTTTCTTTAATACACTTTTTTGGGGACTTTTTGGGCAACATCCAAGTTTTCAACAGTGAATTATTTATTTATTTATTTATTTATTTATTTATTTTTTTTTTTGGAGACGGAGTCTCACTCTGTTGCCAGGCTGGAGTGCAGTGGCGCGATCTCGGCTCAGTGCAACCTCCGCTTCCTGGGTTCAAGAGATTCTCCTGCCTCAGCCTCCCAAGTAGCTGGGATTACAGGTGTGCACCACCACGCCCAGCTAATTTTTGTATTTTTAGTAGAGACGGGGTTTCACCATGTTGGCCAGAATGATCTCCATCTCTTGACCTCATGATCCGCCCGCCTTGGCCTCCCAAAGTGCTGGGATTACAGGCGTGAGCCACCGTGCCTGGCTTATTTATTTATTTATTTATTATTTTATTATTTTTTTTTAAGACGGAGTCTTGCTCTGCCGCCCAGGCTGGAGGTGCAGTGGCGTGATCTCGGCTCACTGCAAGCTCTGCCTCCCAGGTTTACGCCATTCTCTTGCCTCAGCCTCCCCAGTAGCTGGGACTACAGGTGCCTGCCACCATGCCCGGCTAATTTTTTGTATTTTTTAGTAGAGACGGGGTTTCACCATGTTAGCCAGGATGTAATTAATTAATTAATTAATTAATTAATTAGAGACGGAGTCTCACTCTGTTGCCCAGGCTGGTGTCCAGTGGTGCGATCTCGACTCACTGCAAGCTCTGCCTCCTGGGTTCACGCCACTCTCCTGCCTCAGCCTCTGGAGTAGCTGGGACTACAGGTGCCTACCACCACGCCCAGCTAATTTTTTTGTATTTTTAGCAGAGACAGGGTTTCACTGTGTTAGCCAGGATGGGCTTGATCTCCTGACCTCGTGATCCGCCCGCCTCGGCCTCCCAAAGTGCTGGGATTATAGGCGTGAGCCACCGCGCCCAGCCTGTAATTTATTTATTTTTAAGGTGTGGCCTCACTCTGTTTTCCAGGCTGGAGTGCAGTGGCGTGATCTTGGCTCACTGCAGCCTCCACCTCCTGGGTTCAAGCGATTCTGTCTCAGCCTCCTGAGAAGCCAGAGTCAGAGGTGCCTGCCAGCACGCCCGGCTAATTTTTGTATTTTTAGTAGAGATGGGGTTTTACCATGTTGGCCAGGGTGGTCTCGAACTCCTAACTTCAAGTGATCCACCCGCCTCGGCCTCCCAAAGTGCTGGGATTACAGGCTTGAGCCACCACACCCAGCCTACAGTGAATATTTATTATTGCAATATCAGGAAAGGAAAATGAAGTTAAAAGGCTAAAATTTAAATTTTTGTGGCCAGGCACGGTGCCTCACACCTGTAATCCCAGCACTTTGGGAGGCCGAGGCAGGAGGACCAGTTGAGCCCAGGAATTTGAGGGGATGGGGCCACTTTTGGCAGCGGAGGTAGAAGGAGGAGGGAGGATTTCTCTGCCTATTCCTCCCTCACCCTTGCCTTCATTCCTCTACCCGTGTGTCCCATTGGCCGAGAGCCAGCTGGCAGGGGGACCTGGGAAACAGGTTGCAGAACAAGGGGAGGGCTGTGTCTGGCACAGCTGGTAACAAGTTGAAGGTGTCCATGCTCTCTGTCCCTGCTGGGGCGTGAGCTCAGGATGTGAAGGTCAGGGAAATACCTGAGGTTTGAAGTGACTCAAACCCTTGAGTGCCTGCAGTTGCAGCTGCGTCAGGTCCTGTCTGCGAGTCGGCAGGGAACGGGCACCTGTAGGAGTGTGTTGGTGAGGGGGACTCAAGGGAGGTAGCTTTATTTCCCAAATTGTATTTCTTGCTAAAAACTATATCTGAAAATGATAGAATTTGCATTGTTTTCCTTGTTGTGAAAGCAATTACATATTCCTTATCAAATAATGAAAAGTACAGAAATAGGAAAGAGAAGGGGGTGTAAAATAGTCTGATCCCAGACTCTGATCAGACAGCCCATGGTTGTGTGGTGTGGCACCCTCGGCCTCCTGGAGCACTGGCGCTCTGTGGGGGCGCCAGCACCAGCTGTTCAGGCCTGGTCCATAGTAGGTGCTCAGTTAATGATCTGTGGCATATCTACATGCCAGGACGCCTACAACCTTACAATCCTACAAGGGGTGCCTGCAGCCCTTCATCCAGGCATCACCACTTTCTATTCCTTCAGGCATTTTTTTCTGTCTATTGCTATAATTTTTTTTTTTTTTGAGACGGAGTTTCGCTTTTGTTGCCCAGGCTGGAGTGCAGTGGCGCAATCTTGGCTCACTGCAACTTCTGTCTCCCAGGTTCAAGCGATTCTCCTGCCTCAGCCTCCCGAGTAGTTTGGATTACAGGCATGTGTCACCACGCCCGGCTAATTTTTTTTGTATTTTTAGTAGAGATGGAGTTTCACCATGTTGGCCAGGCTGGTTTCTATCTCCTGACCTCAGGTGATCCGCCCGCCTCGGCCTCGCAACGTGCTGAGATTACAGGCATGAGCCACTGCGCCTGGCCTATTGCTATAATTTTTAAACAGTTTTATTGAAATATAGGCTGGGCACAGTGGCTTACACTTGTAATTCCAATACTTTGGAAAGCTGAGGTGGGAGGATTGTTTGAGCCAGTGAGGGAGAAGTTCAAGACCAACCTGGGCAACATAGTGAGACTCTGTCTCAAAAAAATTTTTTCTTGAGACGGGGTCTTACTCTGCTGCCCAGGCTGGAGTGCAGTGGCGTGACCAATTAGCTGGGTGTCATGGCATGTTCCTGTGGTCCCAGCTACTCGGGAGGCTGAGGTGGGAGGATCACCTGAGCCCAGGAGTTCAAGGCTGCAGTGAGCTATGATTGTGCCACTGCACTCCAGCTTGGGCAACCCTGTCTCTACAAAAAGAAAAAGAAAAGATATAATTCACATAGCATCTAAACTGTACAATTGAGTAGCTTTTGGTATATTCACAAAATTGTGTATCTATTATCACAATCAGTTTTGGAGCATTTTTATCCCAATAAGAAACCCCTGGTCCAGCATGGTGGCTCATACCTGTAATCCCAGTGCTTTGGAAGGCCGAGGTGGAGGAAAATTTCTTGAGCCCAGAAATTCAAGACCAGCCTGGGCAGCATAGTGAGAGCCCATCTCTGCAAAAAATTAAAAAGTTAGTTGGGCATGGTGGCGCACACCATGTGGTAGTCCCAGCTACTCAGGAGGCTGAGGCAGTAGGATCCCTTGAGCCCAGAAGGTCAAGGCTGCAGTAAGCCATGATTGTGCCACTGCATTCCAGCCTCTGCAATAGAGTGAGACCCTGTCTCAACAACAACAAAGAAACAACAACAAAGAAACCCCATGTACTTTGGCCATTCCCTTCACATTCCTTCATTTCCCCCCAGCTCTAGGCAACCACAAATCTATTTTCTCTACATCTGGATTTGCCTATCACGGACGTTTCTAGAAATGGGATCACAGAATATGTGGCCTTTTGCGACTGCCTCCTTTCACATAGCAGAGTGCTTCCAAGGTTCATCTGTGTTGCAGCATGAATCACTGTTTTGTTTCTGTTGTATAGATGGACCACATTTTGTTTATTTGTTCATCAGTTGGTAGATATTTGGGTTGCTTCCATTTTTTGGCTCTTATGAATAATGCTGCTGTGAACATTCATGTACAGGTTTTTGTGTGGACATATGTTTTCATTTCTCTTGGGTATATACCTAGGAGTGAAATTGCGGGGATCACATGATAATTCCATGTTTAACTTTTTTTTAAGACGGAGTCTCGCTCTGTCGCCCTGGCTGGCGTGCAGTGGCACAATCTCGGCTCACCACAACCTCCACCCCCCAGGTTCAAACGATTCTCCTGCCTCAACCTCCTAAGTAGCTGGGATTACAGGCGCACGTCACCACGCCTGGCTAATTTTTGTATTTTTTTTCTTTTCTTTTTTTTTTTTTTTGAGATGGAGTCTCGCTCTGTCGCCCAGGCTGGAGTTCAGTGGCGCGATCTTGGCTCACTGCAAGCTCTGCCTCCTGAGTTCATACCATTCTCCTGCCTCAGCCTCCTGAGTAGCTGGGATTACAGGTGCCAGCCACTATGCCCAGCTAATTTTTATATTTTTAGTAGAGACGGGGTTTCTGCGTGTTGGCTAGGCTGGTCTTGAACTCCTGACCTCAGGTGATCCACCTGCCTCGGCCTCCCAAAGTGCTGGGATTACAAGTGTGAGCCGCTGTGCCCAGCCAATTTGTGTATATTTTATGGTAGTAAATGATAAAGACTAGTATCTACATATATTTTATGTATTTGTGACGTATCTTTTTCATAATTTTTTCAGTATCTCTAGGCTAAGTGGGTTCATCTCTGAGGTTTTTCAAATTGTCATAAATTTCCAAAAAATTCTTCTATATACTTATTGAAAAATATCTGGCCAGGGGCCTCGCGCGGTGGCTCACGCCTGTAATCCCAGCACTTTGGGAGGATGAGGTGGGCGATCACGAGGTCAGGAGATCAAGACCATCCTGGCTAACACAGTGAAACCCCGTCTCTACTAAAAATACAAAAAATTAGCCGGGCGTAGTGGCGGGCACCTGTAGTCCCAGCTACTCAGGAGGCTGAGGCAGGAGAATGGCATGAACCTGGGAGGCGGAGCCTGCAGTGAGCTGAGATTGCACCACTGCACTCCAGCCTGGGCGACAGAGCCAGACTCCATCTGAAAAAAAAAAAAAAAATTTGGCCGGGTGCAGTAGCTCACACCTGTAGTCCCAACACTTAGGAGACCAAGGTGGGAGGATCACTTGAGTCTAGGAATTCAAGACCAGCCTGGGCAACATGGTGAGATCCTGTCTCTACAATAAATACAAAAATATTTGCCGAGCGTGGTGGTGGGCACCTGTAGCCCCAGCTACTCAGGAGGCTGAGTTGGGAGGATTGCCTGAGCCCATGATCTCATCACTGCACTGTAGCATGGGCAACAGAGCAAGACCCTGTCTCAAGAAAAAAAAAAAAAAAAAAAACTTATGTTGTTCAAGGGTCACATGTGTATTATTAAAATTAATTTTGCCCATTACTTTGTGCTATTTATTGTGGTCTGTAGCAAACATTAAATGTTGCACGTGGCTTTCCACTGGACAGCACTGCTCTAGAGCCACAGACACCTGTATTCAGTTTGTGGCACCACTAGTTCTACACTGTGACCTCAGGGAAATAATTCCCCCTTCCGAGCCTTGTCTTAGTTTCTCTGTCTGTCAAGGGAAATAAGAGTGTCTTTCTCCTAAGATCTCAGGGATAACTTAAAGAACTACAGTAGGCAATGCACGTCACAGAAGACTGGCCCATGGTGGCCACCAGTAAGGGTAGCTTTTAGAATAAATACTGTAATAATGACTTTTTTTTTTTTTTTTAAGACGGACTCCTGCTCTGTTGCCCAGGCTGAAGTGCAGTGGCACAATCTCGGCTCACTGCTACCTCCACTTCCTGGGTTCAAGCGATTCTCCTGCCTCAGTCTCCCAAGTCGCTGGAATTACAGGCGCACACCACCAAGCCCAGCTAATTTTTGTGTTTTTAGTAGAGACGGGTTTTCACCAAGTAGACCAGGCTGGTCTCGAACTCCTGACCTCAAGTGATCTGCCCGCCTCGCCCCCCAAAGTGCTGGGATTACAGGCATGAGCCACTGCACCCAGCTGAGCTCAGGAGTTCAAAACCAGCCTGGGCAACATGGTGAAACCCCACCTTTACTAAAAATACAAAAATTAGCCGGGTGTGGCGGTACGTGCCTATGGTCCCAAGTACTCAGGAGGGTGAGGTGGGAGAATTGCTTGAACCTGGGAGTTGGAAGTTGCAGTGAACCGAGATCATGCCACTGCATTCCAGCCTGGGCAACAGAACGAGACCCCATCTCAAAAAAGAAAAAAAGAAAGGACAGTCCTGATGAAAATCCTGACTGCATTTGCAAAAAACAGTAGAGTTAGTCTATACCTTCCTGCCTTAAATCTAGTGCTCACTTCTCTTCCATACTAATAAATGTCCTTTGTGGCATTTTTTTTCCAGAATAGGGCACTTTCATTTGCATTAGAAACCTATTCAGGCAGATATCCTTTCTCCTCAATGATTTTCTTTTTTAAAATTAAATATATATGTGTATTTTATATATATAAATTTTGTTGTTGTTGTTGTTGAGATGGAGTCTCGCTCTGTTGCCCAGGCTGGAGTGCAGTGGCTCTCGATCTCGGCTCACTGCAAGCTCCCCCTCCCGGGTTCATGCCATCCTCCTGTCTCAGCCTCCCAAGTAGCTGGGACTACAGGCGCCCGCCACCATGCCCGGCTGATTTTTTGTATTTTTAGTAGACGGGGTTTCACCATGTCAGCCAGGATGGTCTCGATCTCCTGACCTCGTGATCCCCCTGACTTGGACTCCCAAAGTGCTGGGATTACTGGTGTGAGCCATTGTGCCTGGCCCAATGATTTCCTTTCATTTATTTATTTATTTTGAGACAGAGTCTCGCTCTGTCACCAAGGCTGGAGTGCAGTGGCACCATTATGGCTCACTGCAACCTCAACCTCCCTGGGCTCACATGATCCTCCTACCTCAGCCTCCTGAGTAGCTGGGACTACAGGCACACGCCACCACGCCCACCTAATTTTTGTATTTTTTGTAGAGATAGGGTCTTTCCATGTTGCCTAGGCTGGTCTCAAACTTCTGGGCTCAAGGGATCCTCCTGCCTCTGCCTTCCAAAGTGCTGGGATTATAGGTGTGAGCCACCTCACCCGGTCCATTTTTCTTCTTTATGATTTCTTTAATAACATTTTCTTTTCTCTGGCTTAGTTTGGTATAAGGATACAGAATATAATACATAGAACATACAAAATATGTGTTAATCGACTACATTCTTATTAAGACTTCTGGTCAACAATAGGTTATTAGTAGTTAATAACCTACTAATAACTCCCCCTACTTTTAGAGGAGTCAAAAGTTATATGTGGGCTGGGCACGGTGGCTCACACCTCTAATCCTAGCACTTTGGGAGGCTGAGGCAGGAGGATTGCATGAACCCATACGTTTGAAACCAGCCTGGGCAATGTGGCAAAACCCTGTATCTACCAAAGATATATACAGAAGTTAGCCAGGTATGGTGATGTATGCCTGTAGTGTCCTAGCTACTAGGGAAGCAGAGACGGAAGGATCACTTGAACTCAGGAGGTTGAGATTGTGGTTAGATGTGATTGCGCCACTGCACTGCGGGCTGGGTGACAGAACGAGACCTTGTCTCAAAAAAAAAAAAAAAAAAGTTTTTTATGTAGATTTTCAACTATGTGGGCACAGGGGTGAGTCAGTTACCATAAGTCCACAATTTTCTTTCTTTCTTTTTTTTTTTTTTTTTTTTTGAGACGGAGTCCTGTTCTGTCGCCCAGGCTAGAGTGCAATGGCGCGATCTTGGCTCACTGCAACCTCTGCCTCCCAGGTTCAAGCAATTCTCCTGCCTCAGCCTCCTGAGTAGCTGGGACTATAGACACCCGCCACCACACCCGGCTAATTTTTGTATTTTTAGTAGAGATATGGTTTCATCATGTTGGTCAGGCTGGTCTCGAACTCCTGACCTTGTGATCTGCCCACCTCGGCCACCCAAAATGCTGGGATTACAGGCGTGAGCCACTGTGCCTGGCAACCTAAGTCCACAGTTTTCAAGGGTCAGCTGTACTTCATGTAACCTGGTATGTCCAGTATGTGATCATTTCAGCATGTAATCAACAGAAAAGATTCCTGAGACAGTCTATGCTTTTTGGTGCCGTGTTTGAAATCTGGTGTGTGTTTACACTCTGGGACTGTCCAGGTTTCCAGTGCTCAGCTGCCAGAAGTGGCTGGTGGCTCCTCTATCGAGCAGTGAAGTTTTGGAGTTTATGTGCTTAGCTGCTGGGTCCTAGAGCTCCTCCCCTTTCCCCAGGGACCTGGGGGTGAGGGAAGGGGCCATTTTCATCGGGAGCTTTGAGGGTCTGGGTTGAGGGTCCTTGTTTTTATGGCAGCCAGAGTCACAGCGGAAGGAGTTTGCAGAGAAGCTGGAGTCCCTGCTGCACCGTGCCTACCACCTGCAGGAGGAGTTCGGCTCCACCTTCCCCGCAGACAGCATGCTGCTAGACCTCGGTGAGCTGGGCCCAGTGCAGGTGGGGTGGGCGTGGAGGGTGGCAGGGATGGAGGTGAGGAGAAGTTGCGAGAACCGGGTCGTGGTTCTCTCAGTGCGTCCAATGAATCAGAATCCCCAGGGCTCTCCGACCTCGCGTGATCCAGCACCTTATGGCACAGATGGGGAAACTGAGGTGTTCCCTTCTCCATGGCAGGCTGGAGCAGAGCTGAGGTGAGGCCCAGAATCCCCAGCAAGTGCACCTGGCTCCATCCTCTTGGGTGCAGCCTTGGGGTTCGTGTGGCAGCATCTCCCTGATGGCTCTCCCAGGCCTTCGCTTCGAGTCCTTTCCTGTGGCTCAAACTGGGTGGGTGGATGGAGTGACTCACGGGAGGTTCACTCAGAGCAGGCCAAAGGCCAAGAACAGAAGTTCCTGTTGTTGGGTGCGCTGAGGTGAAATGATGTGACATACTGAGGGGGAACCAAGTTATTCTGCCAAACAGCCACTGTCCTCTTCGGACCCCTGCAGTGAATGACACCCTGGCCCCTCCCTGTGCACTCAACCCTGTGGGACCCTCAGACTCCTGAGGGTCCAGCTGCCTGGCTCTGCCAGTGGAGACACAGAACCGGAGTGGGTCGGCCGAGCCACGCACCCTGCCCTGGCTTCTCCCCACGTGCTCTGGGTGTGGTTTCTCTGTTGGAGGAATCTGCCTCCTCTGGCCTCCCTACATGGCAGAAAGGGCTGGGGGACCTTTAGGGTGGCCCGCCGCAGGTCTGTGGCCTTTGCTTATTTGCTCGACAATCCTTTCCTGAGCACCCTTGGAGGTCCACACCCCTCAGCCCTTGGGCGAGCACGGAGGGGAACTCCAGGTTAGTGGCTGTGGACTCTTTCGAGCCCTTGGTATCAATGGCTGAGTTTCAGCTTGTCAGAGGAGAGAGGCGATTTCCCCGGGGCCACACAGTTCAAGGTCCTCCCCCTGCAGAGCTTGGGCCTTCAGGCCTCAGGTCCAGCGGTGCAACCTGTGAGCCTGGCAGAGCCGCTCACCAGCCGAGGGCTCACACCTGAGGCTGACGACCTCCGAGGATGTCGTGGGTGTTGAAGGAGGTCACTCACTGAGGCGAGGAGTCCAGCGTCCTCACACAGAAGCGCTTGGCACGTCAGAGCTTTGCCATTGAGTGTGGGAATCACAGGCTCGGGATGAAGCCTCCCCTGGGCCTGATGGGGGACTTCGTGTACCGGGATTCCAGCTGAGCACTGTGTGGGGAGTCTCAGCCCCGCTTTCTCTCACTGCTCTTCCCAGAGAGGACCCTCATGCTGCCCCTGACCGAGGGCTCGCTGCGGCTGCGGGCGGACGATGAGGACAGCCTGACTTCAGAGGATTCCTTCTTCTCCGCCACCGAGGTGACTCGGGGTGGGGACCAAGCCTGGGGTGGGGTGAAGGCTGGGCCTCCTCTGCAGGTCCATGGGGCCAGCACTGGGTCATGGGAAAGTGGAGGCATTTCCTCTGATGGGAGAATTTGGATGCTCCCACGGGCCTCCTCGAAGCTGTTGGGGATGGGGGGTGCTGAGAAATCGGGGGCTGTTGTCCTGTGGGTGAGAGCAGGGGTTCCACCCCGAAGGGCTCCAGCCCGTGCTGGCCTTTCCCTTCTCCAGACCGCTGTGCCCATTGTTTGGCCTCAGTCTCCTGCCATGGGCACATGGATCAGGCACTGTGTCCTTCCTTGGGATGGGAGGACATGCACATGTGTCCTTTAGATGGCCTTTTTGGGAGGGACCCCTGGAGATGGGGATGCTGAGGGCCAGAACTGGGCTCGAACTGGAGCCTCCTGGCCAGTGTTCCCTCTGACATCCCCTCAGAGACGTTGGCAGTGGGCAGGCACCTGGGGTGGCCGCTGTGGCCGACCAATGGGCAGGTGCCCTTGCGCCGTGGCGTGCTGCTCACATGGGCTTCCCTGGTCTCTTCCTCTGCACCCTCTCCCAGCTCTTTGAGTCCCTGCAGACTGGAGATTACCCGATCCCACTCTCCAGACCCGCCGCTGCCTATGAGGAGGCCCTGCAGCTGGTGAAGGAGGGGAGAGTGCCTTGCCGGACCCTCAGGTGAGCAGGTGTGGAGGGAGGGAGGGAGGGAGCAGGAGGCGATGGGTGATTCTGGCCCTTGCGGGAGGCGGAGAAGCCAGCGGTGCTTGGCGAGGACTTAGCCTGAGTGAGTCCAGGCTGCCTGAGGGCCGTGGTGAGCTGGTGACAGCTCCTCCCCCAGCTGCAGAGGGCCTGGATGGACCCATACTGGCAGGTCTGATACCAATAATGACAGTAACAAATGAACATAATTAATAAAGAACAATAGTTACTACCAGTTCTAAATTCTGAGAGAGTGTATGCTTCTACAGCACATACACTGAAAAAAAAATTGGAATGATACAGAGAAGATGAACGTGGTCCCGGCATAAGGATAACATGCAGATTTACTAAGCATTCCATATGAAAACAAAAGTAAATTCTCAGCGGGTACAGCCACAGCCACACAGGGGGCACTGGTCCTAAGCGCAGTGTCTGGACACAGCTCCTCTGTAGGAGAGGTCAGGTACCCAGGCTGTGGGGACAGACAGGCCCAGACTCCAAGTTCTGCCACCCTGAACAAGTCGCTTAACTTCTCTTAGCCTCAGTTTCTTTGTCTGTGGTTATGTTTAGGCCTCTTCACTATCTTATATTAACGTTATTATTAACTTTTTTGTATTATTTTTATGTATTATGTATTATTATCTTATTATGATAAGAGACTGAGAACTTGACTTTTTTTTTTTTTTTTTGTATTTTTAGTAGAGATGGGGTTTCACTGTGTTGGCTAGGCTGGTCTCAAACTCCTCACCTCAAGTGATCCACCTGCCTTGGCCTCCCAAAGTGCTGGGACTACAGGTGTGAGCCACCACACCCAGCCTGAGAACTTGGCTTTTTGATCATGGCTTGCAGATTTCAGTATGTATGTTTAAAAGTTTATCTGGAGCTGGGCAGGGTGGCTCATGCCTATAATTCCAGCACTTTGGGAGGCCAAGGCGGGCAGATCACCTGAGGTCAGGAGTTCAAGACCAAGCTGGCCAATATGGTGTAAACCCCATCTCTACTAAAAATATAAAAATTAGCTGGGCATGGTGGCACATACCTGTAGTCCCAGCTACTTGGGAGGCTGAGACAGGAGGATCACTTGAACCCGGGAGGCAGAGGTTGCAGTGAGTGGAGATCGTGCCACTGCACTCTAGCCTGGGCAACAGAGCGAGACTCCATCTCAAAAAAAAAAAAAAAAAAGCAAAAAAACTGGGCCAGGCGCCATGACTCACACCTGTAATCCCAGCACTTTGCGAGGCCAAAGCAGGCAGATCACTTGAGGTCAGGAGTTCAAGACCAACCTGGCTAACATGGTGAAACCCCGTCTCTACTAAAAATACAAAAATTAGCCGGGCGTGGTGGTACGTGGCTGTAGTCCCAGCTACTTGGGAGGCTGAGGCAGGAGAATCACTTGAACCTGGGAGGCGGAGGTTGCAGTGAGCTGAGATTGTACCACTGCCCTCCAACCTGAGTGACAGAACGAGACTCCGTCTAAAAAAAAAAAAAAGTTCACTGACCAGAAATGAATCAGACACTGGCTGAAGTGATCAGGGTGATCTGCCACATCTGCTGTCAGGAGGCAGTTTGGCCATTTCAGTCCTTTGCCAGTGAAGTGTGGGGCTGGTTGTGGCCTAAGGAGGCCTCGGTCATCTCTGTACCCGGTGCCTGAGAGGCTGACACGTCCTCAGAGATCATCCAGGCAGCCTCGTCCTTTGGCCTGGGAAGACCAAGGCCTCAAGGGAGGCAGACGCCAGCCAGAGGCCACACTGCCAGGCTGAGGCAGGGCCAGGGCTGGAGCCAGAGCCTCCCCCCTCCCCACCCAGGTGCCACCTGACCCCCCGGGGCATCGCTGGGCAGGGACCAGGTTGTGTGACGCCGTCTGTCCTCCCCTCAGGACGGAGCTGCTGGGCTGCTACAGTGACCAGGACTTTCTGGCCAAGCTGCACTGTGTGCGGCAGGCCTTCGAGGTGGGTGTGGCCTGGGGGTTCCTCGGGGGTGGGAGGCAAGGGGTAGTCAGGCTGGCCATGGCTGTGTGGCATGTATGTGGCCTCCTGGTCCCTGGCCAGGCCTGCTCCCACACTGGGCTCCTCTGTGGCAGGTGGGCCACCTACCTGGCCTCTTATGTGGCCCTCTCCGTGGGCTTTGAGGGACTGCCGTGCCCGGCAGCTCACTCCCCTCCCTTCCTCCTTCCCTAGGGGCTTCTGGAAGACAAGAGTAACCAGCTTTTCTTCGGGAAAGTGGGCCGACAGATGGTGACAGGCCTGATGACCAAGGCTGAGAAGGTAGCAGGGGGTGGGGTGGGGGGGCAAATTATAAAATGCAAACCACAGAGGGTCCCCCTGAACCCCACCTGCCAGAGGGAACCCCTGTGCACAGGCTGATACACGTTCCTCCTACTCCGTTCTGTAGACTCTGCAACCGTGGATCTTGTTATTCCATTTCTAAGCCTTTGTGCCCTACTTACCATCCCGCAGTTTACCCTGGAGTGTGGCGGCATGTGGCGTCCGTCTCTCCATGCTGGCACTGGGAGGGGTTTTCCCCAGCTGCGGAGGGTCCCATTGCGTGGAGAGCGCCACACGAGGCCTCCATTCCCTGATGGAGGAACACCTGGGCTGTCTGAGGTTCACCATCACAGACAACACTATATAATCTTCCTTCTACTGCTCTCTTGTGAGGTTTTCTGTGGGGCAGAGCCTTGGATATGACATTTCTGGGTCCTGGACATTTAGAAGCCCGGCAGATATTGCTAGTTTGCCCTCCAAAAGGCCTTCACAACTTACATCACTGCCAGCAATATAAGGGTGTTTCCTTGCATCTCTGATTATTGATGAGGTTGCATAATTTTTTTGATGATTTTTTCGTCTTTTTTTTTTTTGAGACAGAGTCTCGCTCTCTCGCCCAGGCTGGAGTGCAGTGGCATGATCTCGGCTCACTGCAAGCTCCGCCTCCCGGGTTCACACCATTCTCCTGCCTCAGCCTCCCGAGTAGCTGGGACTACAGGCGCTCGCCACCGTGCCCGGCTAATTTTTTTGTATTTTTAGTAGAGACAGGGTTTCACCGTGTTAGCCAGGATGGTCTCGATCTCCTGACCTCGTGATCCGCCCGCCTCGGCCTCCCAAAGTGCTGGGATTACAGGCATGAGCCACCGTGCCTGGCCTTTTTTTTTTTTTTTCTTTAATGGGTTTGAGCAAAGCTTTTGAACAGGTCGGACAGATGATTCTAAAACACACATCTGACCTCACTAGCCAGCTGCCTACAACCCTCACTTGCGCCTGCTGCCCTTGGGGTGAAGGCCAAGCTCTGTTTGGTGGTTTGCTGCCCTGTGAGCTTCGTCCTGTCTGGCTGAAGGGCCTGCTTCTAGTGCACCAGACTTGCTGCCTGATCTGGGCTTTACATATGCTGGTCTCTGCCCCAGGAACACTGTTGCTCAATCTTGTTTTTTTTTTTTTTGAGACAGGGTTTCACTCCCGCCACCCAGTCTGGAGTGCAATGTCACGATCTCCGCTCACCGCAACCTCCACCTCCCGGGTTCAAGCAATCCTCCCACCTCAACCTCCTGAGTAGCTGGGATTACAGGCATGTGTCACCGCGCCTGGCTAATTTTTATATTTTTCATAGAGACAGGGTTTTGCTATGTTGCCCAGGAAGATCTCAAACTCCTGACCTCAGGTGATCCGCCCTCCTTGGCCTCCCAAAGTGCTGGGATTATAGATGTGAGCCACCACACCTGTCCTCAATCTTTTTTTTTTTTTTAAACTTTATTATGAAATACACATAGGAGAGAGTGTAAAAAATATAGGATTTGGCCGGGCATGGTGGCTTGCGCTTGTAATCCCAGCACTTGAGAGGCTGAGATGGGAGGATTGCTTGAGGCCAGGAGTTCAAGGCTGCAGTGAGCCATGATTGCACCACTGCTCTCCAGCCTGGCCAACAGAGTGAGACCCTGTCTCAAAAAATAAAAAACCAAAAAACAAAAAACCACCCAAAAAGTATCTATAGGATTTTTTTTTTTTTGAGACAGAGACTTGCCATGTTGTCCGGGCTGGAGTACAGTGGTGCGATCTCGACCCACTGCAATCTCTGCCTCCCAGGTTCAAGTGATTCTTCTGCCTTGGTCTCCCTCCCAAGTAGCTGGGATTACAGGTGTGCGCCACCACACCCAGCTAATTTTTGTATTTTTAGTAGAGACAGGGTTTCACCATGTTTGCCAGGCTGGTCTCGAACTCCTGACCTTAGGTGATCCACCCGCTTCAGCCTCCCAAAGTGCTGGGATTACGGGTGTGAGCCACCACGCCCGGCCTATGTATAGGATTTAATGAAAGACAACGCCTGTATAACCAGCACCCAGGTTAGGAAGTGGGACATATACCAGTAACTGGAAGCCCCCCACACCACTTTTTCCTGTGTCCTCCTCCCTCTCCCTTCCTTGGTCACTTGTCATCTGAGTACCCTTCTCTGTCCCCAGGAGGTCATCACCTGACTCATCCCCTGAGGCCCGAGAGAACCCTTGGGCTCACCGTGGCGGTGTGGCCTCACTACCCTGCCTCCTGCTCATGAGCTGCCTTGTCCTTCCTCCCCCGTTATTCAGTTAGCTCCATGAGGGCCAGTGTCAGAACTCTCCTGGCACAGATGTGTGCCCCATCCAGGGCCTAGCACAGGGCGGGTACTGCATCAGCACTCCTCGGATATTCTCCTGGCAGTGGCCGTTTACCTGGCAGTGAGCTCAGTGTATACTCAATGGTTCTTCACTGCGGGGAGTTCATTCGAGCCTCACTGCAATTTCTGCTTGGCGGATGAGGACACTGAGCCCAGGAAGGGAAGGCGGCTTGTCCAGGGTACTGAGCATGTGAAGGGTAGACTGGATTTGAAGCCAGGTGGCCCGGACCCAGCCTGAGCCCTTGACTTGGTGTCTGTGGGCCTCCCCAGGAAGCTGGGTGAGTGAACAAGTGAAGGAGGGTTAAGGTGGGTGCCAGGGCCCCACCCTCTGGGGAGCTCCTCTTTGTAACCTTCCCAGTATGGGACTTTGGTTTTATTAAGAAATGAGGCTGGGCGCAGTGGCTCACGCCTGTAATCCCGGCACTTTGGGAGGCCAAGGCGGGAGGATCACGAGGTCAGGAGATCAAGACCATCCTGGCTAGCACAGTGAAACCCCGTCTCTACTAAAAATACAAAAAATTAGCTGGGCATGGTGGTGGGCGCCTGTAGTCCCAGCTACTCGGGAGGCTGAGGCAGGAGAATGGCATGAACCCAGGAGGCGGAGCTTGCAGTGAGCCAAGATCACGCCACTGCACTCCAGCCTGGGCGACCAAAAAAAAAAAAAAAAAGAAAGGCTGGGCGTAGTGGCTCATGCCTGTAATCCCAGCACTTTGGGAGGCCAAGGCAGGCAGATCACAAGGTCAGGAGTTCGAGACCATCCTGGCTAACATGGCGAAACCCCGTCTCTACTAAAAATACAAAAAAAATTAGCCGGGCGTGGTGGCGGGCACCTGTAGTCCCAGCTACTCGGGAGGCTGAGGCAGGAGAATGGCGTGAACCCGGGAGGCGGAGGTTGCAGTGAGCTGAGATTGTGCCACTGCATTCCAGCCTGCCAATAGAGCGAGACTCTGTCTCAAAAAAAAAAAAAAAAAAAAAAAAAAATTAGCCGGGCGTGGTGGCAGGCACTTGTAGTCCCAGCTACTTGGGAGGCTAAGGCAGGAGAATGGCGTGAACCCGGGAGGCAGAGCTTGCAGTGAGCTGAGATCGTGCCACTGCACTCCAGCCTAGGTGACAGAGCGAGACTCCATCTCAAAAAAAAAAAAAAAAAAAAAAATCACGAGTTAATCCACTCTGAGAACCGACCCTAACACTTAGTGTTTTTCTACATCGTAAATGCAGACCCACATCTGAAAAGAGCATCCCAAACCCCAGCTAACCCCCAGGGTCCCAGAGAGTGAAGGATGTGTGCCGAGAGCCTCCGTGCCGTGCAGCGGCACTTTAAACGCTGTTTGTTGAATGCTTTGGCGCTGGACTGACTGCGTCACACACGAGCTCGGCAACTGCCCTAGAAGAGCCTCATCAGGGTGCGGCTGTAGCTTCTCCCCTTTCCTGTTGAGGTCCAAGGTCACGGAGATTTGAACCTTCAGCTGCCTGACTCTAACCCTCACATTCTGTGTCCCTCCAAAGTGAGATCACACTGTCACACTGGGCACTCCTGGAAGTTAGCAGGTGCTCAGCAGAGGAGCTGGCTTGAGACCTGACTGGGTGCCCTGGTTCTCTGGAGAAGCCTGCTGTGCTGAGTAGGAGACACTTCTCTGCCACGTTTTCTCTGTGCCTGCTGCGTGGGGATGGGCCCCAGCCGTGCCTTGGCATGTCCCCCATCCACAGGCCAGCCTGTCCCTGTGGGTCTTGTCCAGTGACCAGGATGGGCCGTGCTTCTCTCCACAGAGCCCCAAAGGCTTCCTGGAGAGCTACGAGGAGATGCTGAGCTATGCCCTGCGGCCCGAGACCTGGGCCACAACACGGCTGGAGCTGGAGGGCCGAGGGGTGAGTTGCTTTGTGCTGAACCCCGACATCCCGGGCTCCCCTGCATCTGAGCAGCAAGGGGGTTCTTGTGCCGAGCTCTAGCTCAGTTCCAAGCGGCTGAGACGGTTCCATCACTGCTCATAGTCCCCGGTTCCTGCCCTGCCCCAGGCCAAGGCAGAGGGAGGAATGGCCTCAGCTACACCCGTTGCACAGCAGAGCGGGAAAGACGTGTCCCCCCCACGTGTGCTCATGCCCTGGACCCCAGCTTCAGTCTCCCCATCTGGAAAGTGGCCCCGAGGCTCCGGCAGTGCCCCCATGCATGAGCCTCCCGGGGGCACCCTCTGTAGGTGGTATGCATGAGCTTCTTCGACATCGTGCTGGACTTCATCCTCATGGACGCCTTCGAGGACCTGGAGAACCCTCCGGCCTCGGTGCTCGCCGTCCTGCGGAACCGCTGGCTGTCAGACAGCTTCAAGGAGACGGTGGGTCACTGCCCTGCTCTCAGACCCACACTTGCTCACATCAGCCCGTGTGGTTGCCTGGCTCCGTCCCCTCTGTCCCTAGCACTGGCACCAGGGCTGGGCCCCCACCCCCTAGATCCGCGGCTGCCAGGCCTGGGAGACCAGAGTCTGCCCTGGAGAAGCCTCCAGGGTGCCCCGTTGCTGCCTGGTGCCCCAGTTTAGAACCAACATGGTGTGCGCTTTCTTCCTATTGTGTGGTTTTACTTTTGTGCTGGTATGAATTCGATTCCATTTTAATGCATCCTGTTAAATCAAGTTAAAAGAGGGGAAAGCAAAACCAAAAGGAAAAAAAGGCACAGAGTGAGAGACAACCCAGCACAGGACCCCCAGGAAGGCAAGCAGTAACGCTCCAGCAGCCGGGCTGTGCTGCCTGGGCCCAGGCTTCTGCGAGGTGGTTTACAGGCGGGAACCATTGCTCCCACAACCACCAAAGGAGGTGGGAGTGCTGTGTTGTGCCCCTTTACAGAAGAGGAGACCGAGGCTCAGAGAAGATCCAGCAGTAAGATTAGAGTCAAGATTCAAGTTTAGGTATGTCTGAGTCCAAAATCAGAGGAGGAAGCAGCAGAGCTTAGGCACCTGGCCCCATCTTCCTGCTTGGAGTGGGGTGAGCTGGGTTTAAGGGCTTGGTGCTGGGCTGGCAGAGGGCGAGGGGCTGTGGGCTAGGCCCATTTTGACACCCGGGGGACATCCTATTTTTGATGTAGGCCTTGGCCACTGCTTGCTGGTCGGTCCTGAAAGCCAAGAGGAGGCTGCTGATGGTGAGTGACTGGCAGGCCCGGGGGAGCACGAGCTGGGCTCTGAGGCAGCGTGGTGGGGAGCGGAGCGGGTGCAGGGTGGCTCGCTGGGCCACTTGGCCTTCACCGCTCACAGTCCTGGCCCCCTTGTTCCGCCGTTACCTCTCCCTGTGCCAGGAGCTCCCTGGAGGCTCGTGTAGACCCACTTCCTCTCCTCCCCAGGCCCAGCACAGAGCAGGCCACTGGGGAGGGGAACGGATACCCTAGGGTAGTGGCCACAGGGCTGGCAGCTGGCCTGGTGCAGGCGTCTCGGTGGGGGCAGGATACCCAGGAGCAAGCAGAGCCCTGTCCCTCCTGCCCTTTCCCCGCCCCAGTCAGGCCCCTGTAATCTCCGCTCCCAGGCAGCGACTGGCTGTGCTATCTGGCCTGTGGTTTGTCGTTCCCCTCTGCGGGCCAGGCTCTGTTGCCTAGCTGATACCAGCTGCCGTGGCCACGTGCTCCAGGCACTTCCCGCGGAGCCACTATGGCCCCACCTCTTGCAGTACTCACAGCGGCCCATGGTTACCCTGTCTGCAGAAGTTAAAATGGGCTTCGAAAGCTTGAGTCACTGCCCAGGGTCATCTAGCAGGAAAGTACATGAGCTGGGGCGACCTCTAAAGCCCAGCCCTTTATGCGACACCTGGGCCTGGTGCCCTCATCCTACCTGGGCCCCGCCTGGCCCCTCAGCCTTGTGCCCACCGCAGGTGCCTGATGGCTTCATCTCCCATTTCTACTCCGTATCGGAGCATGTGAGCCCTGTCCTAGCCTTCGGCTTCCTTGGACCCAAGCCTCAGCTTGCTGAAGTCTGTGCTTTCTTCAAGGTAAACAGAGAGCAGTTCTCGTTCTTTCCTGACCCTTGCCCTGAGCACAGGCGCCCTGGGAGGTGCCAGGAATGGGATGAGGGCCTGGGCCTGGGCCTGCTCCCAGAGAGAGGGCAGAGCCAGACCCACATGGGTCCAGAGGAAGCAGTGGGAGGGAGGAGCCTGGGGATGGAAAGGACCGGCTGGGGCTCTGGTGGTGGACAAGGGGACTTCAGGTAACCTGGGGGGCATCATGGTGGGCAGTGGCTGGGCCAGGCCTGACACCAGCCCTGCTCCCCCAGCACCAGATTGTGCAGTACCTGAGGGACATGTTCGACCTGGACAATGTGCGCTACACGTCACTGCCCGCGCTGGCAGACGACATCCTGCAGCTGTCCCGGCGCCGCAGCGAGATATTGCTGGGGTACCTGGGGGTGCCCGCGGCCAGCAGCGCAGGCGTGAATGGGGCGCTGCCCCGAGAGAATGGGCCCCTGGGGGAGCTGCAGTAGAGGCGGCACGGGCTGGGGGGTGGCAGAGAGAAGGCTCCTCCTCCCTTCCCTGGGTTGGTATCTGACAGCTGTGGTGGCTGAGGGCCGTTGCCCCTGACTTTGCCCCACCCCCATCATCTGGGAGTCCCCAAGGCCCAGAGGGGACATTTCCATGGAGAAGAACGGTTCCTGGGGGAAGCAGAGGCCAGGACCAGTGGGGCCTGTGGGAGAGAAAGGCTGTGAGAGAGGGGGTTGTTGTGGAGAATTGGGACAGGCAGAGCCAGGATGCCCCAGGTGGGGGACCCCAAAACCTCCCATCGCTCCAGGGCTGCTGACAAGGGTGCTGGGAGGGTGGAGGTGAAGGATGGGGCCTAGAGCCCTGTGGTGAAGGTCACAGTGTCCTGAGCTAGAAGCCACCTGTGGCTATATGGTCTCAGCATCCAGCTGGCCTGTCCTGATGCCCTCCCCACCTCAACCGCCTTCTCAGAGAGTTTGCAACTCCAGAGAAGGAGAGTGGGGCCACCTTAGTGGGCAGCAGGCCTGGGCCATCCAGAGATGGGGCAGAGGTGGGCCTCCCACTCCTGTGCTCTCTTCTGAGCAGGAACTGGGCCCTTGACAGTGTCCTTTGACATTCCCTCGCCCTACCAAAGATCGTCTTTTCTCCTCCCACCTCTGTCACCACCAAAGACGGGCGGAGGTGGGGCTGGGCCCTCCTGCCCCCGCCCATCCCCCTTCCATGAGCCCAGACCTCCCTGGGTGGTGCTAGGCTCTGAGCTGGGGGCTCAGACCAGGGATCGCTCAGGCCCCTGTCACCTGTGGGCCCGGGGACCACTTGGGGGAGGTCAGAGGATGTATGTGGCCGGACCAGCTTCCCCACCTTCATTAGGACAAGAAACTGCCCAGCACTTTGCCTTCAGTTCAACGCACAAACGCTCCTGGGGCCTCATGGGGGCAGAGCCTCCCCTGGGCCTGCAGAGAGTCCTGTTAGCAGCGACGTCCCCCCGCCGCGGGGTCCTGTCAGCCCGGCAGTGTCTTCTCAGTGTCTTCACCTGAGCGAGTGTCTGTGGCCCCAACGCGTTCTGCTGTGGCTCTGCCCTTTCCAGGTTGAGAGGCCTGCAGGAGAAACACACTCCCCTCCTGGGTTTCCACACTCAGGAGGTCAGAGGACTGGCTCCTGTGACCAGGGCCCCTCTCCCCTGAATGGGAAAGGGGTCTGGGGATGGGAGGGCGCACCACAGAGAGGAGATGATGCTGGGTGTGGCCCATCTTCTGTGGGCCCCTTCCCAGACACCGGATCCATGGGCACTAACCCGCCTCCCAGGCTGATGCCCGGAGGCAGCTTCCTGGGCAGGAGGGTTCCATGGGCACTAACCCACCTCCCAGGCTGATGCCTGGAGGCAGCCTCCAGGGCAGGAAGGACCCTGTGCTCCCCGCCCCCCATCCTGACATCCTGTTCTTTTGCACTTACCCTGTGCTGTGAATGTAACAGTGGGCCTTGGCCCCGCCCACTCTGATTTGCATTTTCATTTGTGTTTGTTTACACATCCATGCACTGCCTGTAGCAGTCGATTGTCACAGCTTCGACTTTTGGATGGTAGAGTGTGTGCACTGACTGTGAGTCGAATAAACAATTGAGACGATTTCCTTCCACTTTGCCATGTTGTTGGTTATGTGCATGGCTGTTTGCTTCTTGGGGCAGAGCAGGGCACCTGCTTTTTGGGGTGCCGTGGGTGAAGGTTCCAGGAGGACAAAGGTCAGGAGAAGCCTGGTGGGGGCTGTGATCCTACTTGGGGCAACTTGACTGCCTGACAGGATCCAGCCATCCCTAGGCAGGGAGGGCCCCGGTGGTCCGCGGGGAAGGGTGGGGAGCGGCCAGTGCCACGCTCAAGGCCATGGATGCAAGGTGGGCAGCCTGGCTGTGGACCCTGCTCAGGCACCATCTTAGGGAAGTCGATTCTCACTGGCCCTCAGTTTCCACATCTGTAAAATGCAGGCACTGGACCGGGCCAAGATGCAGACTCACAGGCTTAAAGGTTGTTACCCCCCAAGCTGTGAGAGCCAGGGGGAGGGGCTGGAACACTGGGAACAGGTCCAAGCCTGCCGGATCGTTACAAGTTTTCATGGGCAGCTGGAAATCACAAGTTTTATTTTACAGGTTTTTAAAAAAGAAACTTTAAAAAAAAATTTCAAATGTATGGAAAAATTGAAAAAACTATATAAAACCAACACTTCTGGTCATGTAATTAACATTTTGACTTTTTTTTTTTTTTCTTGAGACAGAGTCTCGATCTGTCACTCAGGCTGGAGTGCAGTGGCACGATCTCAGCTCACTGCAAGCTCTGCCTCCCAGGTTCACGCCATTCTCCTGCCTCAGCCTCCCGAGTAGCTGGGATTACAGGCACATGCCACCATGCCCAGCTAATTTTTTTGTATTTTTAGTAGAGACGAGGTTTTACCGTGTTAGCCAGGATGGTCTCGATCTCCTGACCTCGTGATCCGCCCGCCTCAGCCTCCCAAAGTGCTGGGATTACAGGCGTGAGCCACCGCTCCCGGCAACATTTTGCCATGTTTATTTCATGTATTTCCAAAATACTTTAGCCTAAGTTTCAGACATGTACTTTACTCTTAAACCTTTAAGCAGAGCTTAAAAACAAGGTAGTCACATTCTTGTAAGTGGGAGTTGAATGATGAGAACACATGGACACACTGCAGGGAACAACACACACTGGGGCCTGTCGGAGGGCAGGGTGTGGGAGAAGGGAGAGCATCAGGAAGAACAGCTAGTGGATGCTGGGCTTAATACCTAGATGATAGGACTGCTGGACACAGTGGCTCACGCCTGTAATCCCAGCACTTTGGGAGGCCGAGGCAGGTGGATCACTTGAGGCCAGGAGTTTGCAACCAGCCTGGCCAACATGGTGAAACCCGTCTCTACTAAAAATACAAAAACTTGGCCAGGCATGGTGGCGGGTGCCTGTAGTCTCAGCTGCTTGGGAGGCTGAGGGACGAGAAGTGCTTGAACCCGGTGGGCAGAGGTTGCAGTGAGCTGAGATCACACCACTTCACTCCATCCTGAGTGACAGAGCGAAACTCCATCTCGAAAAAAAAAAGAGAAAAAAAAACCTAGGCGACAGGATGATGTGTGCAGCAAACCACTGTGGCACATATTTACCTATGTAACAAACCTGCACATCCTGCACATGCACCCCTGAACTTAAAAAACAAAAAAACAAGGTCATTCTCCAGAATAACCACAATACCATGATCACACCTAAAAAAAAAAAAAATTCTCGGGGCCAGGCACGGTGGCTCATGCTTGTAATCCCAGCAGTTTGGGAGGCCGAGGTGGGTGGATCACCTGAGGTCAGGAGTTTGAGATCAGCCTGGCCAACATGGTGAAACCCCATCTCTACTAAAAAAATACAAAAATTAGCCAGGCATGGTGGTGCATGCTTGTAAGCCCAGCTACTTGGGAGGCTGAGGCAGGAAAATCATCTGAACCCGGGAGGCGGAGGTTGCAGTGAGCCGAGATCACACCACTGCACTCCAGCTTGGGCGACAGAGCAAGACTATGTCTCAAAACAAACAAACAAACAAACAAAAATAATTTTCTAATGTCTTTGCTGAAAATAAGAGCTTTTCCCAATCAACTGGGGATGAACTCCATCTCAAAGAAGGATAAATGCTTGAATCTTAGAGATTTTAGAGACATGAGCTGATACAGTAGCCACCTCCAATGCTGGCAAATGTTTGTTTTGGTCTTTTTTTTTTGGAGACAAGGTCTCATTCTGTCACCCAGGCTGGAGTACAGTGGTGTGTGATCTCAGCTCACTGCAGCCTTGACCTCACAAGACTAAGCAATCCTCCCGCCTCAGCCTCCCAAGTAGCTCACCGCCACTCCTGGCTAAGTTTTGTATTTTTTGTAGAGATGGGGTCTTCCTGTGTTGCCCGGGCTGGCCTTGAACTTCTGAGCTTAAGCAATTCCCCCTCCTTGGCCTCCCAAAGTAGGAGGCATGAGCCATTGTGCCCAAATTGTTTTGGTTTGTTTTAAACAGTTTTAATAAGGTATAATTCATACATCATAGATTCACGTGCTTTAATGCTGTTTTAAATAAATTTACAGAGGTGTGTACCAATTACCTCAGTATGGTTTGAGAACATTTCCATCACCCTATGATGCCCACTTATAGTAAATCCCCCAGTCCCAGGCCAGCATCAAGCTACTCTCTGTGTAGACTTGCCTTTTCTGGGCATTTGCTGTAAATGGAATCATCCAATAGGCGGCCTTTGTGGTGGGCTTCTTCAGGTGGAAGCATGTTTTGGAGGTTTATCCATCTGTGGTACGTTTCAGTATTTTATTTCCTTGTTGCTGCACAGTATTCTGCAAATGACCTTTTCCTCTTTTTCTTTCTTTTTTTTTTGAGGAGTGTTGCACTGTCACCCAGGCTGGAGTGCAGTGGTGTGATGTTGGCTCACTGCAACCTCTGCCTCCTGGGTTCAAGCGATTCTCCTGCCTCAGCCTCCCGAGTAGCTGGGACTACAGGTGCCCACCACCAAGCCTGGCTAATTTTTGTATTTATTTTTTTTTTTTTGAGACAGAGTTTTGCTCTTGTTGCCCAGGCTGGAGTGCAACAGCGCCATCTGGGCTCACCGCAACCTCCGCCTCCCGGGTTCAAGCGATTCTCCTGCCTCAGCCTCCCGAGTAGCTGGGATTACAGGCATGCGCCACCACCCTGGCTAATTTTGTATTTTTAGTAGAGACGGTGTTTCTCCATGTTGGTCAGGCTGGTCTTGAACTCCCGACCTCAGGTGATCCACCCGCCTTGGCCTCCCAAAGTGCTGGGATTACAGGCGTGAGCCAACGTGCCTGGCGATTTTTGTATTTTTAGTAGAGGCAGGGTTTTACCATATTGGTCAGGCTGGTTTTGAACTCCTGACCTCATGATCCGCCCACCTCGGCCTCCCAAAGTGCTGGGCTTACAGGTGGGAGACACCATGCCTGGCCATCTCTCAGAGGTTTCTACAACCGAAACTGTCACTTCTAGTTTGACATCACAGGGATCCAGGGCTTCCACAGCCTCCACTGAAATGGCAGTTTCCCGAGGGTGGCACCCAGCTGGCTATGTTCACTCTTCATCCCTGATGCCCACACGTGGTCTGGCATGACTGAGGAACTCAAATATTTCCTGAAGTCAACAAATGAACCTCCAACCCAGAAGGCAGCATCACCATGTTTGGGGAAAGAGGCTGTATTACTCTGTTTTCATGTTGCTGATAAAGACATACCCAAGACTGGGTAATTTATAAAGAAAAAGATGTTAATGGACTCATAGTTCCATGTGGCTGGGGAGGCCTCACAATCATGGTGGAAGGCAAAAGGCATGTCCTGCATGGCAGCAGGCAAGAGGGAATGAGAGCCAAGCGGAAGGGGGAACCCCTTATAAAACCATCAGATCTCGTGAGACTTATTCACTACCATAGGAACAGTATGGGGGTAACCACCTCCATGATTCAATTACCTCCCACCGGGTCCCTCCCACAACACGTGGGAATTATGGGAGCGATAATTCAAGACGAGATTTGGGTGGGGACACAGTCAAACCATATCGGAGGCCAAGAGAGGGAGAGAGCCTTGTTTCCTAAGGGCTTGCTGGGACCCTGAGCACAGACCAGCGTGGCTGGGGTGCGGTGCAATTAGACTCTGTACCTCTAATCTCAGGGCCACCTTGTCTGTGAACTCCCTGCCAGAGGAAAGTCCAGAGGTAAAAGGCCAGACCCTGCCCTGGGACAGCTCTGGAAAAGCCTGGGTTTCAGAGCTTGTCTGATAACCTATGGAGCAGTGGGAGGAGGTGGCCAGCAGTTTGGTTCATGAGACGCAGGAGGTTCTGAACCTGGGCCAGGAGGCCGTGGCAAACAGTGTGCCACTCTGAGCCTCGCCATCCTCAGCTACAAGCTGGGCGCACTTAGGGCTGCCTTGCAGGGCTGTTGTGAAGGTAACAAGAAGGACGCAGCACCTCTCAGGATGCAGAGCCGGCGTCGAGAACATCACTGGTCAAACCCTCAGCTCAGAGAGAGGAGGCAGGCAGCTCGGGCAGCCTCCCCTGGGGCTTCTGGCCATATTCATGCCTGCACCGCCCAGCCCCTGTCCAACAGCTGGGTCCGACTGTGTCACCTCGTCCATCTCATGGGACCCTGCAAGGGTTCCTAGGCACGTCTCCCTCAGAAATGAATCCACAGCTATGATTCCACAGGTACGAGTCCATAGCCGTGCACAGGTTCACAGCAGCAATACTTCTAACACCCCAAACTTAGAAACACCCAAATGTCCATCAAGACTAGAATGGGGGCCGGGCGCAGTGGCTCACATCTGTAATCCCAGCACTTTGGGAGGCTAAGGCGGGAGGACTGTTTGAGGTCATGAGTTCGAGACCAGCCTGGGCAACACAGTGAGACCCTGTCTCTACAAAAAATAAAAAAAGACTAGAATGGGAAATAAACTGTGGAATGTTCACACCATGGAATACCGCACAGCAACGAGAGGAAGCAAATTTCCACTGGAGGCCGCAGCATGGCTAACGCTCACAACCATAATGTGAGTGAAGAAGCCACATACTCAAAAACTGCAGACTGTAGGCTTCCGTTGACAGAAATTCCACAATCCAGGCCAGGCTCCGTGGCTCAAGCCTGTAATCCCAGCACTTTCAGAGGCTGAGGCAGGTAGATCATGAGGTGAAGAGATCGAGACCATCCTGGCCAACACGGTGAAACCCTGTCTCTATTAAAACTACAAAAAATTAGTTGGGCATGCTGGTATGCACCTGTAGTCTCAGCTACTCGTGAGGCCGAGGCATGAGAATCGCTTGAACCCAGGAAGCGGAGGTTGCAGTGAGCTGAGATCACGGCACTACACTCTAGCCTGGGCGACAGAGTGAGACTCCGCCTCAAAAAACAAACAAAACAAAACAAAAATGAAATTACACAATCCAGCCAAACTGAAGGTGTGGTGTCGGAAGTTGGAAGTCACCTGGGGTGACTGGAGGGGCGCCAGGGTTCCTAAGTTCCTGGTTCCTGATGTGGGGGCTGCTTATACAAGTGTGCTTAGTTTATGAAACCACATCAAGCTGTATACATTCGATTTCTGAAATTTTCTGTATGAAATATTTACATATACATATATATGTATATATATATATTTTAGACAGTCTTGCTCTGTCACCCAGGCTAGAGTGCAGTGGCACGATCTCGGTTCACTGCAACCTCTGTCTCCCAGGTTCAAGCGATTCTCCTGCTTCAGCCTCCTGAGTAGCTGGGACTACAGGTGCATGCCACCACACCCAGCTAATTTTTGTATTTTTAGTAGAGATGGAGTTTTGCCATATTGGCCAGGCTGGTCTTAAACTGCTGACCTCAAGTAATCCGCCTGCCTTGGCCTCCCAAAGAGCTGGGATTACAGGAGTGAGCCACTGCACCCAGCCATGTATATATATATATATATATATTTTTTTTTTTTTTTTTGAGACAGAGTTTCACTCTTGTTGCCCAGGCTGGTGTGATGTCCGCTCACTGCAACCTCCACCTCCACATTCAAGCAATTCTCCTCCCTCAACCTCCCAAGTAGCTGTGATTATAGGCATGTGCCACCATGCCTAGCTAATTTTTGTATTTTTAGTAGAGACGGGGTTTCACCATGTTGGCCAGGCTGGGCTTGAACTCCTGACCTCGGGTGATCCACCTGCCTCGGCCTCCCAAAGTGCTGGGATTACAACCCAGCCATATTTTTGAGACAGGGTCTTGCTCTGCTGCCCAGGCTGAAGTGTAGCGGCAGGATCACAGCTCACTGTAGCCTTTACCTCCCCAGCTCATGTGATCCTCCCATCTCAGCCTCCCGAGTAACTGGGACCATAGGTGTGCACCACCATGCCTGGCTAATTTTTAAAAATTTGTTTGTAGAGATGAAGTCTTGCTGTATTGCCCAGCTAGTCCTGAACTCCTGGGCTCAAGCGATCCTCCCGCCTCGGCCTCTCAAAGTGCTGGGACTACAGGTTTAGTCACGGTGCCTGCCCTGAATGTTCTATTTTAAACAAGAAAACCAAACCAAACCCAACAACAAACCCATCCTTCAGAGCTTCCCTCTGTCCCCACCATTAACAGTGCCCTCAAAGTTTCGGGTGGTCAGGCCCCTGTGGGCCTCCTCCCCACCACCTTACCCCTTCTTTCCCTCTTGCCCACTTCATCCAGCCACACGCGGGCCCCAGGACACTGGCTTACACTGTTCTCTCTGCCAGGAAAACCCTCCCTGGGTAACTCCCTCTCATTTCATAGTTCCTCATCCTCATCCTCCCTCGGGAGGCTCCCAGCACTGACAGGCCTGCATTTCATGGACTTTGCTCCCAAGGCCTATTTGGGAGCGGCAATGTGGCCCAGATCATGGATGGCTGTCCTGTCCCAGGGAACTATTCTGAGAAGCTCCCGGCCCGCTCCTCACACCTCCTGCTTCTCAGAGGCTAATAATGACAGTGCCTGAGGAAACCGAGGCCAGCTGACCCCGACGAGCCCAGGCTGGGAGTGCGCACAGCAGGGCAGTGGGCCTTCTGGGCTCTTTGGTGGGTTCTGAGTCGCCATCATCTCCGGCCACACAGGCCAGCTCACGGTCCCCGCTCTACTGGCCTGGCCACTCGCAGAAAGAGCCACTCTCAGTGGGATTTCCTGGGTAATTCTCAACTCACCTCAGGGGCGCTCGTGTCACTTATCAGACACTTGCTCTAGGTCTGGTCTGGACCAGGCTCAGGATGTACCAGGCCCTGTCCTCATGTTGCCCAGGGTTTCTCCAGTGGTGGCTGTAACCACCTGTATCAGAACCACCAGAGCACATAAGAATGCAGACACCTGGGCTCCAACTCAGACCTACTGGATCAACCCAGGCCCCATTGTGACCCAGGAATCTGTGTTTTCTACAGGCTGATCTCAGCACTCCATGAATCTGAGAGCCGCTGCTGACTGGGAGGGATAGGGAGCCGATTACAGTCCAGTGAGGTCAGGGCTGAGAAAGGACAGGAAATGCAACCGTGAGAGCCCAGTACTGGCCCCTCACTTGACTGTGGAAACCTGTAAGCCGAGGAGACACCTGAACCAGATTGGGCCGGGCAAAGTAGGGCAGGAGAGGCAGTACATCCCACGCAGCAAAACAGCACATGGTGGCCAGGGGCGGTGGCTCACACCTGTAATCCCAGCACTTTGGGAGGCCGAGGTGGGCGGATCACGAGGTCAGGAGATCAAGACCATCCTGACCAACACGGTGAAACCCCGTCTCTACGAAAAGTACGAAAATTAGCCGGGCGTGCCACTGCACTCCAGCCTGGGCAACAGAGCGAGACTCCGTCTCAAAAAAAAAAAAAAAAAATTAGCTGGGCATGGCGGCTCACGCTTGTAATCTCAGCATTTTGGGAGCCGAGGCAGGTGGATCACCTGAGGCCAGGAGTTCGAGACCAGCCTGCCCAACATGGTAAGACCCGGTCTCTACTAAAAATGCAAAAATTAGCCGGATGCGGTGGTGCGCGCCTGTAGTCACAGCTACTCGGGAGGCTGAGACAGGAGAATCACTTGGACCCAGGAGGCTGAGCAAGATCGTTCCACTGCACTCCAGCCTGGGCCTCAGAGCAAGACCCTGTCTCAAAAAACAAACAAACAGACAAAAACAGCACATGCTAGCGGCAGGAGACAAGAGGCTGAGCCCTCCCAGCCCACCTTACCTGCACTGTAATCCAATCCAGCCAGAGACAGAGTCGGGTAGGAGAGGTGAAGGCGGGTGGGAAGGTGTGGCTGTTCACGCAGGAATGTCTTGGGAAAACTGAGGGGTAGGTGGAAAACCGACTTCTTGTTTGAAATGCTCCCAAGACGCCTCATTAAGTAGCATAGACGTGACTGAATCAATAAATCTTTATTAAATGAATGAAAGGAGGAAGGAGTCCTTAACTGTAGCTAAGCTTCCACTCTTAAGTATCAATTAAGCTTCTCTGTTCAGTCCAGCGTTTAGGGCGCCTACTGCGCGCCCCGCCCCACACACTTTTGACAAAAAGGTCGCCTGCTCTGTGTGACTTGCCCTTTCGCCGGCCAGTATGGGGCAGAGGGAAATAAGCCCCCTCTGCTCTCTGGTCTCAGTTTACTCGTAACTGAAAGTGGGTCGGTTCAAACCCCCTGGAGCTGAGGTTGCCTCTCCTCTTCGAGCACGCGCTATCGGACGCGCAGGTCCCCAAGACCGCGGATCGGCAGGGGGTACCAGGGAAGCCTTCATTCAGGGCGCAGGTCCCAGCCGAACCAAAGCTCCCACCAAAGTTCAACACGCCCCCAAAGCCAGCGCCTGATTGGCCCGCCCTGCCCACAAGCTGAGGCAGCCTCACCTTCTGATTGGCTGTTATGCTCCCTGTTCGGTGCTGGAACCCTCCCCTTCTCTGATTGGCCAGATGCCTACCTGCGCTCGCCCCAGATTGGGCGCCAGCTGGGGCGGCTCGTTGGCTCCCAGGGGCCCCGCTCTCTGATTCGCCGCTCGGGCCAGCCCCCACGGCCTGCACGCTGAATGGCTGCGCCGCTACCTATATTGGCCTCCGATTGGGTGCACGGCGCCTCCCCGGCGTGATAGGTCAGGACCACCGCCCCCCTGGCTCCCCATTGGCTGCTCGAAGAAGCCCGGTCTCCGGGTAAGATGGCAGCGGACGGACAGTGCTCGCTCCCCGCTTCATGGCGGCCGGTGACCCTCACCCACGTCGAATATCCTGCAGGTAAAAGGCGGTCCCGGCTCCAAGGACGCCTTCCCAGGGACGGCCTCTCAGTCCCGGGCGCTCCGGCCTGCTCGAGCCCGCGGAGGGGGCGCCGGGGGACCGGGGTGGGAACTGTCAAATAGTGAACCACGGAGGGGCTCGGCCGGCGCGCGCGCCGCGCAGGCGCAGTGGTGCGAGGATGAGCTGGGCGAAATTGTGAGGCGCTCGCTCGCGCACTCTGCGGCTGCGCGGCCAGGGCGCTCCCCCGGGTCCCGGGGCGCCGGTGGGCTGAAATGGGTTGAGGATCTGTGTGAGGCGAGAAAAGATCCCTGGCCTGGACCTTGGCCCTTCTTCCCCGCCCTCCCCTGTCCCAGAGAGGCCGCACTCCTGTTCCAGCGTGCAGGGAGTGTCTTGTTTCCTTCGAACAGTGCTTTGGGCTGCTTGTAAGAGAAAGAGCTCCCCGTTGCTGGGAGTGTGCAAGCCGAAGCCAGGCTTTTGAGTACTTGTGGTGCCACGCCCTGAGCAGGGCACGATTCCACAACAGAGAGGACCCGATGAGGGGGCGGGCAGCCTCCGGGAACTTGACTTCTGTTGCTTCCCATCAGACACACCTCTCGAAGTGCAGGGCTTTCCAGTTGAGAGGTCCATTAGCGGCGTTCTGGAGGCTGTCTAGTAAGAGTGGCGCAGAGCCTGGGCGTGGGGGTCAGACCCATCTGGGCTCCAGTTGAGGCTGAGGCCTTGTGCAGGTGCCTGCCTCTGCTTAAGTTAATTCATCTCTAAAGTGGGACTGATTACAGTGCTTACCTTCTGGTGATGGTATGAGCATCAAATAGCAGGAGGCACAAGAAGGGCTGAGTACAGTGCCCGGCATGCAGTAAGCGTTCAGTAAATACCTGCAGTTAATGTTATCCCACCTTGCAAGACCCTCCCTGGGTAAGATGGTTGAGTGCCAGGGAAGGCTGGAGCCCCTCATTGAGCCCTGGTTGCCTGGGAAGGGCCTGCTCATGCTGCTGTCTTGCGAGATGTGAGAACCTGGGTCCGCTGAGGGCACCAGGACTGAATGCCAAAGAACGTTGACGCTGGTGTTCTGGGTTGTACTGGGGGTGGTATGGCCCTGCCAGGTCCTGGGCCCTGCCTGCCTGCCTGTCTACCATTCATTCATCCATTCATTCATTCAGTCAATATCCACTGAACACTTCTGAGTGCTAGGCCCTGGGCTAGCTCTGGTTTTTAGAATGCTTAACAGGCCTGAAATATCCCTGCATTCCTGCACTATGAAAACCAGCTGCTTTATAAGAGGAAAGCCAAAGCCTGGAGGTGGGGAAAGACTTGCTAAGGCCTCTGCACCTTCACAGCTTCCCCTCCTGGCCTCAGAGTAGCTTCTTGGAGTGCTCACAATCCAACAAGCCAGAAGGAACCTGGCAGGCAGTTGTGTGCAGCATGATACAGGCTGTGATGGACCTGGCTGAGCCTGGAGCATCTGGTGAGGTCTAGTCCCCTATTAATGCTTCCATGGTTCCCTGCACTTCTCCGTCACACCCCTCTTCACACCGTCACTTGCTTACTTCATTCATTCAACAGTTTTTGAGCCCAGTTAAGAGCCAGGCCCTGTGCTGGGCTTGGGGGATAGAGTGGGATATAAAGAGACCCTGTCTCTACTCCCAGATGCTGTCCTGATATCTACATTAGTGGATCATGAACTGAGTCTGGATGGCAGATTCTCCCGTCAGACCTCAAGCTCTGCACTAGCAGGGACATATGTGTCTTTTTTTTTGCCACTGTGGTGGGTTCTTAGTTGTTTGTTGAGTTCACCCAGAGAGCGTCCCAGGTGGGGGGAAACTGTGTGCAAAGGTCCAGAAGTAGGACAGGGCACGATGCGCTCAGGGAACTCGAGTTTGGTCCTTGGAACTGGAGCAGAGGTTGAGAGGGAAGCAGGGCCAGGACTGTGCAGGGCCAGATGAGCTGGGCTGAGGGGGAACTTGTCCTAAGGGCAGTGGGAGGCCTGAGGGGGCTTGGATCAGAGAGTAGAGAGGCCAGAGTCCCTGGTAGCATCTTCAGGAAAACCCCAGGGTAGTGCTGGCTCTGGGACAGGCTATGGAGATGGCTAAAGCTTTGGGGGTACCAGTCACTCACTATCTTCATAGCCCAGTGCTGTGAGGGTGAGCTTCATAGTGGAGAGGCCCAGGAAAGAGAAGGGACTCACCCACTGTCACCCAGTGGGACTGTGGCAGCACCAGCACTTGACCCCAGGCACTTAGCTGGGCTGCTCTGCTCTCCCAGACCAACTCCAGGCCAGTCTGATCCTGGGTAGGATGGGCTGGGTAGGATCCTGTGTGTGGATGAGACCGGGCATGTGTGTGTCTATGTCTTCAGCCCTGGAATCTGGGCTCAGCCCTCTGTGGACAACTTCCCTGCTGCTTGTGTGAGGCTGGTGGCATGGACCATTTCCCACACTGGGTTCTCTCCACCTCTGCCCCAACATGGAAGTGTCCTGGTTGCCAGGGACCAAGCTGGGTGTCTCACAGGTCCCATCTCATTGAGTCTCATGCAGCTGTAGGAGGTAGGCACTGATATCCCTATTCCACAAGTGGGTGAGCTGAGGCTTGAATCCTTGCCTCAGTTCATGCAGCCAGTGAGTGTGGGCATAGGAGCTGAACCATGCTCTCAGACCCCAGAGTGGCTACATAGCTGCCTGTCTCAAGTGGTGAGGGTGGCCTTCAGACTCAGCCTCCCCTGCCCTTGGATTCTCAGCTTGAGTGTCCCCATCTCCTAAAAGGGGCCAGTGTTCCTCTGCTGCCTCCATCCCAGGAGTGATGGGAGTGTCAGAAGCTGGTAATCAATAGGTAGGCAGTTTCCTGCCAGAGAAGTGGCGCGCAGCTGTTACCGTCGCCCTATTGGGCTTGGTTTCTGTCCGAGTCTTCAGTGTGGACCCAAGTCTGTGTGGTGTCCAGAGAACGTCGGATTTCCCTGGAGGCCCAGGGCTCAGCCAGGGCAGCCCCAGCACAACAGTGTGTGGCTCTCATGTGCCTGCCGGGCTGCCTCCCAGGTCCCAGGCTCCACCTCTGGAGTCACCAGGCCGGGTTCACCTTCCTGCTTTGGCAGGAGGGATTGGTCTAGTGTCTGGAACAGGTCAGAGACTTGGACTTTAGTCCTGGTCCCACCTCCTTCTGGCTGTGTGACCTTGGGCGAGTCACATAGTTGCTCTGGAATTCAGTTTCTTCATCTATAGAATGGGAACAGTGAAGGCACCTGCTTTAAACGCATGCTGTGTGCACTTTAGTGCTAAGTAGTAGACAGCATCACGTATGGCTGTGACTGAGTTGGCACAATCGGCCGGTAAACAGGTGTCCCTGGCTGCCTGGCCTCCATTCTCCAGGCCCTGCCGGGACCTCCTTTCTGGATCAGGCCTTACTTGTAGGGGGCTGGTCCCTCTTCTGATGCCTGTGCCCTGTCCTCCTGATTCTGTTCTCTGTCTTGCCAGGTGATCTCTCTGGCCACCTCCTTGCCTACCTGAGCCTCAGCCCTGTATTTGTCATCGTCGGTTTCGTGACCCTCATCATATTTAAGCGGGAGCTGCACACGGTGAGTCTGTCTTGCCCACACCCTCCCCACCCCACCCCCAGTGCCCCCACCCTGCTTTGGGAAGCCCGTCCGCCCCTCAGTCCAGGGTTCTCATCCCTGCGTCCACCTGTCTTGAGGTGCGTGGAGCCTCCTGGCTGGTTCTAGGTTACTCACCTGTTGGGCTGGGAGGTTCAGTCAGAGGCCATGGTCTTTGGGACTAGGTAGCAGCCAACAGGTGCACAGAGGCCCAGCTGACCATGCGTCTTCCCCAGCAGATCTCCTTCCTTGGGGGCCTGGCACTGAACGAGGGGGTCAACTGGCTGATCAAAAACGTCATCCAGGAGCCACGGCCCTGTGGAGGTAGGGCCTCAGCTGCGAGGGCCTGAGGTTCCCCCAGGTTGGGGCGTTACTGGGAGGTCTGCATCCCCCCGTGATGCCCTGGTCTCCTCTCTCTCCCAGGCCCCCACACAGCAGTGGGCACCAAGTACGGGATGCCCTCCAGCCATTCCCAGTTTATGTGGTTCTTCTCCGTCTATTCCTTCCTTTTCCTGTATTTAAGGTGAGTTTCCACCCCGGTCAGGATGGCCCTGAACTTGCTCAGGCCGAGTTCTGCTAGGGACTCACTGCTAGCCCTTTGGATGCCCCTGGGGTGGGAGGGGCTGCAGCGGAGGCAGAAGGTACCCAGGGAGCATTTGGATGGGGCCAGGGACTGTTTGGGAGGCCTGGGCTGGGCTGTGGGCTGAGGTCATCTGGTGGGCCTGTTTTCGCAGAATGCACCAAACAAACAACGCCAGGTTCCTGGACTTGCTGTGGAGGCACGTGCTCTCCCTGGGACTCCTCGCTGTGGCCTTCCTAGTCTCCTACAGCAGGTATGGAGGAGGGAGAGCCCCTGCCTGCACCCTGCCCATGTGGGGTCCTGCTGGTTCCTGGTCCCTGTCGGACCCCACCATGGACCCTAGTCCCAGAACCTGTAGTGCAGGACTGGAAAAGGGGTCCCAGACCTCTAGTTTTAAAAGGACAGGGCTCCAGCTGCCTCTTCTAGCCCAGTCCGCACTGAGCCCAAGATTCTGGGACCAACTCCACGTATCAGCCATCTCTTCCCAGCGTTCCGGAGGAGCCCACTGTAGACAAATTCAGAGGTCAAGGGCTAGATGGGAGGCAGGCAGATCCCAGCTGGCCCTTCACTGCTACAGATGGGAGAGCTGTGTTTGGGGTCCAGCGCCCTCCCACTTGGAAATGGATCTGAGGCTGTGCCCCGTGGAGTCAGTGTCCTGTCTGTGTCTCCACATGTGTGGGCACAGGTCCCTGGGAAGCTGGCACATGGGCAGTGGGGATTGTGCGGGCCTGTGTCTGACTGGCTCTCACATACTTCGCTTCTGGCCTTGGCCCAGGGTCTACCTGCTGTACCACACCTGGAGCCAGGTGCTCTATGGAGGCATCGCTGGAGGCCTCATGGCCATCGCCTGGTTCATCTTCACCCAGGAGGTCCTCACCCCGCTGTTCCCCAGGATAGCAGCCTGGTAACTGCCTCCTGCCTTCCTGGGCACTGTGGGCCCTGTCCCCTCCTGTGGGTGGGGCCATCAGTGGGCGGACCTAGGAGTCTTGACCCCAGCCCCTGTCTCCCTGGGAAGGCCCCAGTGCCCCAGGGTTTGTGGCAGAGACACAGGGGGTTTCCTCAGGCCCGGAAGCCAGAGTGCCATCCTCTGTCCTCGCCTAGGTTCTCAGGGACTTAGAAGCCTGAGTCCTGCTGGGCTGTGTGTGCCGTGGGACAGTGCCCCTGCCTGAGGTGACACAGGTGACATAGCTGGGTCTCTCAGTGGCTCTGGGGTCTCAGGCCAGGCAAAGACTCTAGGCAGTCGGGGCGGGTGCCGTGCCAGCCCCGGGCAATGGTGGGGATGGCTGGCATGGTAACAGACTCATGCCCTGATGTGCCCCTGGCTCTCTGATGTCTGTCTCTCCAGGCCTGTCTCCGAGTTCTTCCTAATCCGAGACACAAGCCTCATTCCCAACGTACTCTGGTTTGAGTACACGGTAACCCGGGCAGAAGCCAGGTGAGTTCAGGGGACAGCAGTGCTCACTGGGCCAGCCACAGGCAGCCTCTGCCTCCATGTTTGGAGGGCTCTCCGGGAGCCTCGCGCCTGCCTAAGCACTTCTCTTGCATTAACTCATTGAATCCTGCTGTGACCCCCATTTTGCAGATGATGAAACTGAAGCTTGGAGAAGAGAAGTCACTTGCTCGAGATCTTGCAGATAGTGGGTGGGGGAGCAGGGTGGTGAACCCAGGCTGTCTGGCCCAGGGCCCATGCTTTTAACCTCTGCAGCCCAGAACCAGAGAGCTGGGCAGCTGAGGTTCTCAGGGCTCCTGTGTGTGGACATCCCTAGGGATTAGTCCAGATGCTTTCTTAGGCCTGGGTAAACTGAGGCACATTGAGTTAGGAGGCCAGCCTGTAGTTGTGCAGCAAGTCAGGACAGAGCTGAGCTTTGGAGACTCCTGACTCATGCTGTTTCATTCACCCCAAATCCTGGGTGAGGTTCTTAGGGGAGTGGGAAGGCTGGCTTTTCTTTTTTTTCTTTTTTTTTTTTTTTGAGACGGAGTCTCGCTCTGTCGCCCAGGCTGGAGTGCAGTGGCGCGATCTCGGCTCACTGCAACCTCTGCCTCCCTTGTTCACACCATTCTCCTGCCTCAGCCTCCCGAGTAGCTGGGACTACAGGCGCCCGCCACCACGCCCGGCTAATTTTTTGTATTTTTTAGTAGAGACGGGGTTTCACCGTGTTAGCCAGGATGGTCTCAATCTCCTGACTTTGTGATCCACCCGCCTCGGCCTTCCAAAGTGCTGGGATTACAGGTGTGAGCCACCTCGCCCGGCCGAAGGCCGGCCCTTCTCTGGGTTCAGAGGGGAGCTGAGGCTCCACAGGAAGCCTGGGAGGTTTCTAGGCAGGCTGAGAGGGACTGTGGGGCGGGGTAGGGTGGGGCGTCCTAGCAGCCAGGAAACGTGTTTAGTGCATCAAGGTCCAAATTATCCTAACGAGCTTAAGGGCAAAGCCGGGGATCCATGAGGAAAGGGGATTGGAGGGGGTTAGGGCAGGCAATCCTATTAGAGGCAGAAAGGTCCCAGCTGGCCCCGCTGATCTCTCACTGGCCTGCCCCGCCTCACCCTGCCCTGCCCCGCCTGGCCGGCCTCCACCTGCCTTCATTTACCAAAATCTCAGGGCACACCTGTTCTGTGCCAGGCTGTGTGCTGGGGGCAAGCACAGTGACAGCCATGGTCCCCTGCTCACTGTGTTCACGGCAGGCAGGGAAGAGCTGCGACGCACCTGCCTATGTGATCAGTGCTGTGGCCTGACAGCTTGTGTCGGGAGCCTATGTGGGGACGTGGGAGCTGGGGGTGGGGGGAGGTGGGGGGGGATGGGGGGATGGGGAGGGTAGGGGGGTGGGAGGGTGTTGTGGGGGTTGGGGGAAACGTTCTCAGCAGAGGGAAGGGCATGCACAACTCCTGAAGCTGACAAAGCTTGGTGACTGCACCAGACGGAGGCTGCCGGGGCTGGAGCCCAGGGAGCAAGGGGTGTGTTGTGGGATGAGGCTGGGGACAGATCACACAGGACCAGTCAGGTTTCTAGATTTTAACTGGGACCCTAGACAAACCCCATTCTCCTCTACTGAGTCTCTGTCAGCCCCTCTAGAAAATGGGGGTGATTGGCCCTGGTTCCCTCAGGTTCCTGGGCTCACTCTGGATATAGCCACAGCCCAAATTGGGTGCTCAAATCCCCTCAGTAACCTCCATCAGTAGTTCTCCTGCTTTCGCTTGCATACCTCCCGGATGGGGAGCTCACTACATTTCTGTACTTCTGTTTTGATCAATAACAACTGAGCCCACTTGTGCTGCCTCGTCTATAAAGCGAAACTCCCCATAACTAATTGGAACCCAGCCAGGTCCCTCTTGCCTCTGTAGTCTCATCCTGGTCCCTACCCCTGCTCCAATCCCCTGGCTCCACTTCTGGGATTGCAGAGCTGAGATAACTGAGGTACAGGCCTCGCCGGGGAGATCAGCCCTGTCTAGGTGCCATTCCCAGGGCAGGTGCTCTGATTGGCCCAGTTCAGGTCAATCGCTGGCTACTGGGTGTGGGCATTTGCCTACTTAGTTGGGACTACGGGTGGGGTGGGGACAGCTGTAGGTCACTGAACACCAGATGTCTCCACATCTGACCCCCATCCTGTTTTGCAGGAACAGACAACGCAAGCTGGGGACGAAACTGCAGTGACCAGTGGGTGTGGCTGGGTCCAGCCTCCAGATCTGGCCCGCACGATGCCTTGCAGGATGGACAGGATGACAGACAGGGACGAAGCAGAGACCTCTACAGACCCAAGTCACCAAGTGGAGCCTTTTTTTTTCTTATTTTAATTTTAATGAACAAGGTGGACCAAAGGGCTGAACCAGCCCCTCAACCAGGACCCTGGGGGGCCTGCTGCCTGGGGGCCGTGGCCAGAGACCCTCGCTGTGCTGCTGCCAGCCCCTGGCTGGGCAGAAAGTGCCCTCGGCATGGGCACCTGGGTGTGGGGTGGAGGAGGAGGGCTCGCGCCTCTGGTCTCGGGGCCAGGAATTCCAGGTGGCGTGAGAAGTACACACTATTTATTTTTTGGTTTTGTCAGAGGCAGGCAGGATTTTGGAGCTGGAAGAATCTGCTCTCCGGTGGCTGCCCTGTGAACAGAGGGCTCCCGGTCAGCTTCCCAGGCCCTTCGCCCTATGCCCAGAGGGCAGACTGCCTCTCCCTGGGCCGGGGTGGCCTGGGTGCCAGGAGGAGGGGAGCATACCCCACACCCTCCCTGCCACCGTTGCCGTTCCAGAACCTCGGTCAGTGTTTCCCTGTCTGGGGGCAGGGCCCAGAGCGAGCACGCGTCTGGCGGCTGCTGTCGTTGTGTTCTACCCCGTACTGACCCAACACCACAAGGGCTTTCTCTGGTCCCCTGTCCCTAAGACAATAATCGCTTTCTGACAAAGGAGCCTGCACATTTGGGTGAGCAGACCCAAGCTGTTTACAGCTCTTTCTTGTCCTGCCATCCAGTAGCAGTTAGTCTTCATCCCCACGTGAACAAAATGGGAAGGAGCCGTGAGGAGAGGAGTGAGGCAACAGGCACCCGAAGTCCCTCGTCCTTCCCTCTGTGTGCTCTGAATATGTCCTTGTCCTTCCTGACCCATCTCTGACCAGCTGGGAACCTGCTTGGGGTCCCCCTCAAACCTGTGTCTGGGGTGTGGGCTCACAGATCCCTATCAGCCTGGTTCGTGGGAGGGCTCTTCCTAAAGGGACCCCCATCTCTAAGTCACTCTGAAAGGGAGTTGTGGAGAGGAGACGCCTCCAGACTCTCAGAAGTTTTGAGGACTGAACTGGGTCACTCGGGATCTGTGTTCGAATCCTCCCCACCCCTTTCTTTGTGGAGTTTCCTAACCTGCTGCTGAAGCACAATGTTTTGGTGCTTTCTTTTCTCATTTGTTAAAGGCAGTGTCCAAAAGCCATTCCAGATGCCAAGACCAGGGGCTTATTTCTAGGGAAGGTAGGTCGGTTTCCATGTTTCCCTCCCGTTATTTTTATTTTTTACTTTTTGCCTGAGACAAGCCGAGTATGAGGTGGTTTGATTTAAGAAAAATCAATGAAATTGTTTACTACTGTTTTAAAATAAAACCGTAAACTCTGGCAGCTTGAGCACTTGCTGATTGAGCTCAGGAGAGGAGATTGGGGCAGCTGTGGGGACACATGACCCTTAGGGGCAAGGATACGGTGAAGACCATAAAACCAGAAGTGATCTAGTCCCTTCTAGCCCACAGCAGGGGTCTGAATGACCTCTGCGGCATTTCCTGTCAGGGTCTGTCCAGCTTCTGATTACATCCCTCCAGGGGACCTCACTGAGGGCCACCATACCAAACCTGGACACTCTCAGCCTTAGGAAGTTTTCCTCTTTTCACTGTCAGTCTCCCTCCCTGTGTGGCGCTGGCCCTCCTCTCACTGAGCCTTGTTCCTCCTCTGTGGGACAGCCTTGAGGACTCAGGGGCAGCCAGTGTGCCCTTCAGAGTGTGCCAGGATAAACATCTCCACTTGGTCTGACACAGTGGCTCACGCCTGTAATTTCAGCACTTTGGGAGGCCAAAGGAGGAGGATCATTTGAGCCCAGGAGTTTGAGACCAGCCTGGGCAACGTAGCAAGACCCTGTCTCTACAAAATATTTTTTTAAAAATGAGCTAGGCGTGGTGGTGCACACCTGTGGTCCTAGCTACTCGAGGGGCTGAGGTGGGACGATCGCTTGAGCCCGGGAGTCAAGGCTGCAGCCAACTGTGATCACACCACTGCACTCCAGCCTGAGAAAAACCCCATCTCAAAAACAAATATATGTGGACAAAGATGATCAAATATAAAAGGAAAAAAGACACCATGATGGAGCAGCAGCAGAAAACAGATAATAGAAACAAACCCACAAATTCTTCAAATACTGGAATGATTAAGCAGACTGCTTTACTATTTTTTTTTTGAGATGGAGTCTTGCTCTGTCACCCAGGCTGGAGTGCAGTGGCGCGATCTCAGCTTGCTGCAACCTCCGCCTCCTGGGTTCAAGCAACTCTCCTGCCTCAGCCTCCCCTGGCTAATTTTTTTTGTATTTTTAATAGAGATGGGGTTTCGTCATGTAGGCCAGGCTGATCTCTAACTCCTGATCTCAAGTGATCCACCCATCTCGGCCTCCCAAAGTGCTGGGATTATGGCATGAGCCACCACGCCCAGCCTGTTTTACTATTTTTAAAGAGAACACCAGGCACGGTGGCTCACGCCCATAATCCAGAGATGGGCAGATCACTTAGGGTCAGGAGTTCGAGACCAGCCTGGCCAACATGGTGAAATACCATCTCTACTAAAAATACAAACATTAGCTGGGCATGGTGGCACACGCCTGTAGTCTCAGCTACTCGGGAGGCTGAGGCAGGAGAATCGCTTGAACTCAGGAGGCAGAGGTTGCAGTGAGCCGAGATCGCGCCACTGTGCTCCAGTTTGGGTGATAGAGTGAGACTCCCTCTCAAAAAAATAAATAAATGGCAATATCTGCAGGGAACAGGAAACTATAAGGCGAGCCCTGGCCTCGAATCATAGCTAAAAAACAAGGATCCGAGAGGTAGATTTAACAGCAGATGAGAGAGAGTTAAAAAGGAAAAGCAAACTGGAGGGTGTGTCAGAAGACATCCCGGCTGCAGTGTGGAGTGGGAAAGCTACCGGGAGCAGCTTCAGGCGCACCCGCCCCCGCTAACTCATCGCCTTCACTTCATCCACACTCACCTGCTTACCCTGACCCCGCTCCAACCTGCCCAAGGTGCGGTGCTGGGCAGAAGCCCAACTCTTCAAGCCCTCAGAAGCCTCTTTGAAATATCCACTTTTCGCGGCTGGGCGCGGTGGCTCACGCCTGTAATCCCAGCACTTTGGGAGGCCGAGACGGGCGGATCACGAGGTCAGGAGATTGAGACCGTCCTGGCTAACACGGTGAAACCCCATCTCTACTAAACAAAATACAAAAAATTAGCCGGGCGTGGTGGTGGGTGCCTGTAGTCCCAGCTACTCGGGCGGCTGAGGCAGGAGAATGGCATGAACCCAGGAGGCAGAGCTTGCGGTGAACTGAGATTGCACCACTGCACTCCAGCGTGGGCGACAGAGCGAGACTCCGTCTCAGGAAAAAAAAAAAAAAAAAGTTCATGCCCGCTGGATGTACAGACTTTCCGTAAAGCCACACGTCTATTTCTCTTGAATTCATTAATCTTATTAGGCTGGGCGTGGTGACTCACGCCTGTAATCCCAGCACTTTGGGAGGCTGAGGCAGGCCTGAGGTCAGGAGTTTGAGACTAGCCTGGCCAACATGGTGAAACCCTGTCTCTACTAAAAGTACAAAAATACTGGGTGTGGTGGCACAGGCCTGTAATCCCAACTATTTGGGAGACTGAGACAGGAGAATTGCCTGAACCTGGGAGGCAGAGGTTGCAGTAAGCTGAGATCGCACCATTGCACTTCAGCCTGGGTGACAAGAGTGAAATTGTCTCAAAAAAAAAAAAAATTTATTACTCATTCAAATGTCAAATGATGCATTGCTCAAGATATACCAATTCAGAAGAGCTTTTTTTCACTCATTTTGCAAAAACGAATCACGTTTTTCGTCTGCATCACTGGCGCCAGAGTTTGGTCACCCCTGGAGCCCCCTCTGGGTCAGCTGAGCCTGCTCTCCTGGGGCCGCTGTCTTGGCTATGCTAGCCTTTAAGCAGCGCCTGTAGGATTTCATGCACAGCACTAGCTCTAGAAATTTCATTCCAAGCCACAAGTGCCCCCTGGCACAACGTTAAGCGCTGGTTTATCCCGACATCCAACACTTGAAAGTGTGAGGTCTCAGGAATTACCCCTAAGGAAGAACGGCGAAATCTTGTTTCTTTGCCTTTTTCCCCCACAAAGGACCTCTAGGGATTCCCTCTCACCATGACTGAGGTTGCTCAGATGCTGAATGCGCCCTCCCTGAACAATACTTGGTGGCTCCAAGGAATTGAGGGGGCTTCCATGTGATGGGGCCTGTAATGCCACCACCCTAAGGGGATGCCCCTCAATTCAGAAGGATAATTCTGGGGGAAAAAAAATCCAACCTTATATTCAGACCTGTAGGGTTCTTAGGCGAGTTTTGGGAATCCAGGGTGTCTGTCTGGCAGCCTCTTGACTGTTCGCTCTCCCCTCCCTGTCCTGCCTGGGCTGGCTGCAGGCCCACTCCTGGCTGCTCATGCAGCACTCTGCCCTGCTGTGTACCCTGTTTCCTAGCGGTTCTAGTCACCCCCAGAGGGAGCACCCTGTTGTGTAGCGAGGAGCAGAGTCCGGGTGCTGGTCCAGGTGACATTCTCTTCCAGGCCTGCGTGTTCCCCCCAGAGGCATCCCTTTCTCTGCCTCCATCCATTTCCTCCATTGTCTGGGCTACACCTCCTGTCCCCTTGGGGCACTGGGCAAGTGGCTGCCCTCTCCTGCTGAGTACACCACCAATGGTCAGGCCTGGCAGGTCCCTGCGCCTGATTAGAGCTCAGGCTCAGCCCAGCCTCCCTCTTTACCCGCTTCCTTGTGGTCCTGAGGCTGGGCCGGTTTCCACCCATAGCATCCCTTTCTCCACCCCCTGCTGCGGGACACCTAGGTGGATGTGGCCTGGGGCTGGGGACCTGGCTCTAGGGAGGGGCTTCTTGGAGCCCCGGCCTAGAGGAGACAAGTGTGGCCTCTGTGAATCCTGCTCTGCCATTTAGCGTCCCGGTGACCTTAACCTCGCTAAGCCTGCTTCCTCATCTGACAAACGGAGAAAACCAAAGGCCCCACTCTCGGATGACTGTCCCAGCTTAGTCAGGTCACAGAGCCCTTCACTCACAGGCCAGCCAACCTCCCCCAGCCCACCCCGGCATCCGCCCTTGTGGTTTCACACAGGCCTTCCTCACAGGCCAGTGTCCTAATGGGAGACTCTCCCCTCTCCACAAACTGCACGCTTGGTTTTGCCAGGATGCCCTGCCTCAGCCATGGACACGGGGCTATGGGCAGGTATGTGGTTCTGCTCTGATCGCACCTGCCCACCCCCGAAGGTGTCTGTCCTGGCAGCGGCTGGGCCTGGGGCAAGCTGAGCCTGCTGCTGTACTCCTACTTTTGCTGGGCTCAGTTGGGGGAAGTAGAATGACACCCTGGGCCCCTGGGTATTAGCAACATTCATCAGCCCACCAGACCTGGGCCTGCTGGGCCCCACAGTCCCCTGGGAGAGTTGCCCCTACCCACAACCCATGGGACTTGGGAAGGCCCAAGCCAGAGGTAGGTGGGAAGCTGCTGGTGAAGGACGCAGCCCTGGCTCTGGTATGGTTCTGGGCCCAGTGCCCCAAGGTCACAGCTGGACCTTGGCTCCTGGGCCAAAGCCCTCAGGCCCACCAGCTGCTTGGACACCAGCTCCGAGGCCCAGGGAAAGCTGAAGAGGGCAAGGCCAGGTGCCTGCCCCCACCCTGCCTGCCTCTCAGCTGAAACACCTCTTCACCAACACAATTCCCCTTTATTGATGACCTTCCACATTAATATCATACAGCAGGGCGGGGGCAGGAACCAAGCTGAGTGGAACCAGAGGCGGCTCGCTAGCAATGTTATCCACAGGAGCACAGCCGCAACGGAGGTGAAACCTCACACCCTGGCCCCTCGGCCCCAGACAATCCTGTCTCCAGGTCCTGGGAGTTTGGGAAGCAGGGTACAGATGGTGGCCTGGTCATGGAGTTGGCAGGGAGTGGCCGGGGCTGAGCTGGTGAGACAAAGAGCTCTTGCCAGTCTCCTGCTCTGGAGGGCTGGTTCCCTTCCCCAGAGGAGGCACCGGTGGAGGACGTGCCAGGGGCCCGGGCCTAACGTCCTGCTCAGCCTCTGCACTCAGCCCCAGGTCGGGCCCTGGCAGGTGCTGGGATGACCCACGGAAGGCACTTGGCTGGGGCCTGCAGGCCCCCTGGAGGATGCGGTCCGTGGCTCAGTAGATTTGGGGGGACCAGGGAAGAGGGAACCAAGGAAGAGGGAACCAAGGAGCTGAGCCCTGGTGGGTGGCCCATCCCAGGGTGGGCTTGGCTGTGGCATTGGCAGGCCTGAGTCCTAGGGGCTCAGAGCTTGGCCCGGGGGTGGCTCTGCAGCAGGGCACGCATGTCCAGGAGCGCCTTCTCCAGGTAATGCGCCAGGCGGGCGGCGTTGGTCTCCGCGCAGCTGTTGTAGGCCGACAGGGAGAAGTTGATGTGGGCCTCCATGGGGTTATAGCAGACACCGTAGCCGTCGGGGACCACGGGCCCGAAGAACATGACACAGTCTGTCTTGGCAGGGACCTGGGGACGGCAGGATGAAAGCTCTCAGCTCCCCTACCTTGACGCCCCCAGCACTTCCCAGGCTGCCTGTGCTTCCGCCAAGACTGCAGGCCCCTTGTGGGCAGGGATCATGGTCTGTCCCCTGCTATATCCCAGCAACCACTACAGGCTGGCACGAATCAAATGTTCCTTTATACCTGACCAGTGAGTCAGCGAAGCTGATTCTCCCATGAGGAGCACTGACCCCTTCTCAGCCTGCCTGGGCTGCAGAGAGGCCCCTGCCCCCAGCTCCTCCTCTGGAACTCAGCTGTGTTGGCAATGGGTCAGTGGGGCCTGTGTAGGCCACATCAAACTACCAGTGGGTTCTCTGCCTCCAGCCCCCGGGGCACCTGGGGCAGTGGCCCACCTGGCTGGTGGAGAGGTGGAAGTGCATGGCGATGGCGTAGGAGGTGTCCATGAAGATGTCGGGCATGCTCACCAGGTCCTCGATGGCCTGCAGCTTCAGGCCCAGCAGGTGTCGATCAAAGGCCTCCCCGCGGATGGCCTGTTGGGGTGGGAGAGCTGTCAGGAGCAGGGGCTGTGGACCCCCGGGGTATCCCTGCCCTCTTCAGCCTGTGGCAGCGCCACCCTTCGCAGGCACTGGCCACTCAAAACCACAAGACCAGAGTATTCTGGCCAGAGAGAGCCTTCGTTTCACAGATGGGGAAACCAAGGCTCAGGGAGGGGCGGGGATTTGCCCAGGGAGGCAGGAAAGTGCAGGGTTGTAGGGCAGGGCCCTGGAGCTGGGTGACCTAGCCCCATCCTGGCTGCAGGGCCTTGGCAGGTTGCTTAGGTTCTGGAACTGTAGTGTCTTCATCTGTAAAGAGGGGTGAGTCCTACACTCCCCTCGCAGGGTGGCGGTGAGCTCTAAATGGACGTGTGCATGTAGCACGGTCAGAGCCTGGACACACAGGTGCTCAGAGACAGAGCCAGGACACGCATCCAGACAGCCACCTCCCTGACTGCAGCCCAAGCTGCTGGAGGGCAGGAAACTGGCTGTCTGCTGGACCATGTATACCTAGCGTCAGGGAGAGATACCTAGCATCAGGGAGAGAGTGTGACCCAACATCTAGGGCCCAGGCCAGCCCTGGAACCTGGAACCAAGGCAGTTACTGGGCCCAGGCTGGGTTTCTCCAACTTTAAAATGGGGATATTTGGCCGGGCACGGTGGCTCACGCCTATAATCCCAGCACTTTGGGAGCCTGAGGTGGGTGGATCACCTGAGGTCAGGAGTTTGAGACCAGCCTGTCAACATGGTGAAACCCTGTTTCTACTAAAAATGGAAAAATTAGCCAGGTGTGGTGGTGGGTGCCTGTAATCCCAGCTACTTGGGAGGCTGAGGCAGGAGAATTGCTTGAACCTGGGAGGCGGAGGTTGCAGTGAGCCTAAATCACACCACTGCACTCCAGCCTGGGCGACAGAGCAAGACTCCATCTCAAAAAAAAAAAAAAAGAAAAAGTTGGGGGCTATTCAGCCTGGCTCCAGGTGCTCCCAGGTTGGGGGAGATGTGGTCCTAGCAAAGGGTTGGCAGCCATTGGCTGCAGGGACGGACAGTCAGAGGGACAGACAGATGGCTGACACTAAGGGACAAGTGAGTAGGCACAAGCGGGCTCACTTACCCGGTCGGTGTAGCCTCGGTGGGCCTGCACGGCCTTCCGCAGCAGCTCCACCTTCTGGTGCTCCTAGAGTGGTGAGGGTCAGAGGGAGCTGAAGCACTGTCCCTTCTCTTCTGGCCCACCTCAGTAGCCCACCCCCACCCAGCACTAGATTCTGAGCTCTTTAAGAGGAAATATTGGGGCTGGGAGCGGTGGCTCACGCCTGTAATCCCAGCACTTTGGGAGGCCGAGGCAGGTGGATCCCTTGAGGTCAGGAGTTTGAGACCAGCCTGGCCAACATGGTGAAATCCCGTTTCTACTAAAAATACAAAAATTAGCCGGGCATGGTGGCAGGCACCTGTAGTCCCAGCTACTTGGGAGGCTGAGGCAGGAGGATTGCTTGAACCCGGGAGGTGGAGGTTGCAGTGAGTCGAGATCACACCACTGCACTCCAGCCTGGGCAACAGAGTGAGACTCTTTCTAAAAAAAAACAAGAAAAAAAAAGAGCGAGTATTGCAACTACCAACTCCTTGGTCCTCAGCCAGGGCCTGACATAGGGCAGTTGCTTACTGCCAATGAATAAATGAATGAACAAATGAATGACTCCCTTTTCCTCTTTGGTCCCCAGGAAGCTCAGAGCTAGATTCACGGCTCCAGCTTCTGTTAGATTCCCCGTGCCCACCATGGGGCTGGAATCCTGTAGGTGCTCAATTATTGTGTGTTGACTGAGTGAGCAGGAGGGAGGGGCTCAGGCCCAGCTCACCCACCCTCGCCCCAGACCTCTCACCGTGACGCTGGAGTCATCCATGGCCTTGACAAAGGTGAGTGAGTCCATGGAAGCCGAGCGGATGGTGTCGGTGCGGCCCAGGTGAAACATGCGCAGGGAGGCACTTTCATAGGTGGCACATGCCTGTCCGTAGATCCTGGTGGGAAATGGGGCTAAGCACGCCCCTTGGAGGCGGGCACCCCCTCCCCTGCCCCCAGGTCTCCTCCCTCCTCCATGGGTGGGCCACAGAGGCGCACCTGTAGTAGGCCAGCTGCAAAGCCATCTGGATGAAGGCATCTGGGCTTAGCTTCTCCGACTTGGGGAAGTCTTTTCCAAAATGGTGGAACACCATCACGGTGATATCCAGGTCCTGGATCATGCTGGGGGTGTGGGAAGAGCAGGTGAGGAGCAGGCCCCGGCAGCCCCTGCCAACCCCACGGAGGGTCTGGGTGTCATGACAGAGCTGGCACAGGAGCCTCTCAAGCTCAAGGGCCTGGCCTCACCCATCCAGCACAGGGATGGCGGGGGCAGGCACTTACATGCTGAGGTTCTGCTTGGCCTTCTCGATGTCGCTCTTGATCTCGGGGGTGATGTTGAACCGCAGCTTCTTGGGCATGGGCAGGGGCACCAGGGGAGACCGCACAAGCTCGGGTTTCTTCCTGCACAGTAAACGGGGCCTCAGGCTCATGCTGGTGCCTCTAGAGCCTGGGTCCATTCTGGGACCAGGGTGGGGAGGATGGGTACCTGAAGCTGGAGGGGGCCAGCCCAGGGAGGTGTGAGTTTGTTCTGAAAACCACCCTCACTTCAGCTTTTTTTTCTTTTTTCTTTTTTTTTTTTTTTTAGATGGAGTCTTGCTCTGTTGCCCAGGCTGGAGTGCAGTGATGTGATCTCAGCTCACTGCAACCTTGGCCTCCCTGGTTCAAGCGATTCTCCTGCCTCAGCCTCCTGAGTAGCTGGGATTACAGATGCCCGCCACCTTGGCTAATTTTTTTCTTTTTCTTTTGAGACAGAGTCTTGCTCTGTCACCCAGGCTGGAGCAATGGAACGATCTCGGCTCACTGCAACCTCCACCTCCTGGGTTCAAGTGATTCTTGTGCCTTAGCCTCTTGAGTAGCTGGGATTACAGGCACCCACCACCACGCGTGGCTAACTTTTTTTTTTTTTTTTTTGAAACAGAGTCTCATTCTGTCACCCAGGCTAGAGTGCAATGGTGTGATCTCAGCTCACTGCAACCTCTGCCTCCCGGGTTCAAGCGATTCTCCTGCCTCAGCCTCCCAAGTAGCTGGGATTACAGGCACCCGCCATCATGCCTGGCTAATTTTTGTAGAGACAGGGTTTCACCATGTTGGCCAGGCTGGTCTTGAACTCCTGACCTCAGGTGATCCGCCTCCCAAAGTGCTGGGATTATAGGCATGAGCCACTGCACCTGGCCTAATTTTTTTTTTTTTTTTTTGAGACAGAGTCTTGCTCTGTCACCCAGGCTGGAGTGCAGTGGCACAGTCTCCGCTCAACGCAACCTCTGCCTCCTGGGTTCAAGCAATTCTCCTGCCTCAGCCTCCTGAGTAACTGGGATTATAGGCATGTGATACCACACCTGGGTAATTTTTTTTTTTTTTGTATTTTTAGTAGAGATGGCATTTCACCATGTTGGCCAGGCTGATCTCAAACTCCTGACCTCAATTGATCCTCCCACCTCAGCCTCCCAAAGTGTCAGGATTACAGGCGTGAGCCACCATATCTGGCTGGCTTCCTTGGAAAAAAACAGATTCCCAGGCACAAAGGAGAGTGATATTTCTCTATAAGCTGGTCTATCACCTGTGTGTCACCTGTCACTAGAAGCTGGGGAACTAGGCGAGAGATGTGACTGTACTCACGTGTACTCGATGACATAGTCCAGAAGGGTGACAATAGGGGGCCCCTCCGCTGCAGCATGCTCGTACACAAGCCCACAGGAGCCATCTTCTGCCACGATGAACTGTGGAAGGGAAGGGAGACCCCGGTCAGCCCCAGGGCCCTGGGGGGTGGCCCCTCACCCAACCACTCTTTGGTTGAGGCAAGGGCCTCTCTGAAGCCATCTCAAGGGGCTATGATGACTTATTACTGTTATTAACAATAGCTGACACTCACCAGGTGCCCTGGTGTGCTAAGCACATCCCACGCTCAGCGTGCCTGACTGAGTCCTTCAAACTACTCTACCGGTGAGGTTGACCATCACCCCATTTTACAGGTGTGGAGAGGGACTGTTGTGCCAGGATTGCACTGGTGACCCCGGATCCCAGGTTCTCTGTGAGGTGCTGAGGGGGTGTGCTGGGGGTGACAGCGGTTTCCAGGCCAGAGGCAGGACTGGTGATGACAGGCTGGCTGCCTGGTAATTACGGCAGCGTCCAGCCTGCTGGCTTCCTGCCTGCTTTACAAGCTAGGAGGCTGGGGACGCAGGGCCGGGGACGGGCAGGAAGTCCCGAGGCTGCAGAGGTCCTGTTCAGGTGTGTGTGAGTGGGCGAAGCCCTGCCGGGCCTCACCTGCAGCGTCTTGTCGAACCAGCGGTTGCCGCTGTTGAGCCTGCTGCCGCCCCCATGCAGCATCTGGCCTGCCACGTGGCTGCGGTACACGTCTTCTGAGACCCTGGGCATGGTTGCATCTAGGCACACGGTGAAGATGCTCTTCTGGATGGAGCGCACGGAATCCCGGTTCACCTTGTCTGCAGGTGGCATGGGGCGGGGAGACGCAAAATGGGGTCTCATGGTGTGGGAGAGATGGACCAGCCCCTCCGCAGCCTCCTGCCCTGGGCTCTTCTGACCCATTTGTACCTCTCTGGGATGAGGAGACCCCCCACCTCGCCGGCCCTCCAGGGCATTCACCAAGTGCAGGGTGTGGGTTCAGAGCTTCGAACTCAACAGGACCCTGCAGGCCCACAGCACTCCTCGAGGCAGGGCCCAACACCTGGCCCACTTTAGACACAGGAAACCGAAGCCCAGGGGTCACATGGGAGCTGGTGTGGCAGCCGGGGAACCCACACAGGTGGTCTGACTTTGGGGTCAATGCCCCTGAGCAAGACATGCTTTGGAGGACTGCTGGTACTTGGGGGCACAGGGGGTGTGGAGGCGGGTGGGCTTCTCAGCCAGAGGACTTGGACTCTAATCCTAACTTGCTATTTAGCTGAGAGAAACTACCCTAACCATGAGGTGTCCTCAACTAGGACATGGGGCCCACATTGCCTGCTCCACGTTGAGAGGATGCAGCGGGAAACATGTCTGCCCATGGCTGTGCGGGGCCCAGCATGCCGGGGGAATGTTGGGAAAAGGACTTGTGGGGTGCCTGTATAAACTGGCCATAAAAATAGGGGACAATAAGTTGTGGAAAGCCAGAAGAGGCCACGGAGGAGGAAAGCCTACTAATTGCCATCATGTTCCCATGCTCAGAGCGAGACCCGCTCTCCTATCTGTAAACACTGTGTTCAAGGAGAAAGACACTCCTTTGAAACACTGGGAAGTGGACAGATGTGCAGGCTCCTAGTTAAGCCCGCTCCCACCAGCTACTCTCCGATAAGTTAAAGACACGCTGTTTGAGCACAAAGGAGATTCATTTAAACTGCTATTGCTATAGATTATGCCTCCTATGAGGCACTGCCTCCCTTTCACTGTTTCGCCCTGAACATGTGCTTCTTAGAGCTAAGTGACTGCACTCAATAGTGTGGAGACCAGAACTCTGCGCCTTTTGCAGCCTCCATTTTGCAACTGGCCCCTGGCTCCCACCTTCATGAACTCTTAACCTGTCTCTTCTCATTCCTTTGTTGCCAGCAGACTTCGGGTACCCTACAGGTGGAGTTGAGGCTGGTCCCCAACAGGGGAAGAGGCCTGGGTGTGCAGCCCCAGCACGGCCCCCAAGAGGCACCTTTGATGAGGGTGTTGTATGCCTTGGCCCAGGAGTTGCGGTGGTTGGAGGTGAGGATGCCCACAGGCTCCTTGTTGGTCTGTAGGGATGAGTTCCAGATCTTCTCCAGCTGCACAAAGATCTGATCCGCAGTGAGGGGTGTCCCGTCACTGTGGTACACATCCAGCTCAAAAAACTGTTGGGGCACAGGCAGGTAAGAGGAGGGAGCTGAGTGGGGACCTCAGGCTGAGAGCAGCCACCTCCCCACACCTGCCTCCTCCTGGCCTTGGCCTTGGAGGGGATGGAGTCAGGCCAAGGGTGAGAGGGGGAGGAGGTCCTTGGATCACCCTTCTGGGCTGGGCAGGCCCACGGCCCCTCCTGGCCTCCCTGGGCCCCCAATGGAGAAGCCAGGGGCGCCCATTCCTGGGGCACGTGGGCACGTGTGCTGGGGAACCCCAGTGGGGAAGCCGACTGCGGCCGTCCGGCTGTACTCCTGCAGCAGGGCCGGGGCTTGTAGGTGTGGGTGGGGGCCACCCACCTGGTAGTTGTGTACCACGGTGATGTGCGTGGGAGGCTTCTTGGTCTTGCTGAAGTTGCTGACTGTGTCCTGCTTGGGGCCCGGCACTCGGCAGGAGGACAAGATCTGATAGTACTGGTTCATGCACAGTGGCTTCCCCCCCAGGTACTCCACGGGCAGGGTCTCGCTATGGGGTAGAGGGGCAGTGAGGCCACCACTGGGCAAGTGAATGGGGAGGAGGGCAGGGTAGACAGGGACCTGCTAGGTACTGCTGGGGGCTCACACAGTGTCCCTGCTCCCACTCCCAGATGAGCAGGACACCTCAGGGCTGTGCTGTGGGCAGGGGGCTCGCTTTCTGCCCCAGATGGGCCCTGTTCAGAAGTCATCTAGAAACTCCCTCCTTTCCCCTCTCTGGGCTTCAGTTTGTCACAGGGGAGATGAAGCAGCGAATAAAACTCTGGGGTCCTCTTTAGTTGGGATGGGACAGGGTCACCCACCAAGAGGAGATTCCAGCAGCTGGAGCAGGGCCCAGGGCCCAAGCTGGCATGCCGGGCCAGGGCTGGGGTCAGAGGTGGCTGTGGTAATTAAGCAGGCCTGGGCAGGTGTGGGGCTGGGCAGGGGTGGGGATGCTCACTTGTCAATCATGACCTTGAAATCCAACACACCCTCAATGAGTTTGGCAGCAAATCTGGAAAGATTGATTAGAGATTAGAAGCTGCGTGGACACCCTGAGGGAGGCCCCGGGCTAGGGACACCTGCTTGGGGAGCGGGAGGTCTAGTCTTCCAGCCTCTCTCACCGCTTCCAGAAAGCCTGGGAGCGCAAGGGAGGGGCCTGCGAGTCCCAGCTTGCCAGCCTGTGTGTGCTTCTTCATAACCTCTAGAGGGAGCATGGTCGGGAGGGCTCGGGGAAGTGCTGGTGGCCAAGGGCCTAGTAGGACTTGGGTGCTGGCCCCCTGCAGCTGGAGTGTGGCTTGGTTAGGGGTCAGTGGGCTGGGTCTACCCACAAAGGGCCTGAGCTCCTGAACCTCAGCCTAGAATCTGGAGGGGGTGTCATCTGCTCTGAAGCATCGGTTCTGGAGGCCCCGGGCCCCTGGGGTGGTGTGATGGGAGAGCAGTGGCTCCGGTGTTCCCTCCACTAGGTCCCTTCCCCACTCTGGGCCTCTGTGTCCCCCAGGCCGCCTTCCTCCCAGGGCTGTCTGGCCCATGGCAACCACCCTCAATGCTTGGGGCCGCCCCTGGATCCCACCATGGGGACCAGTGGCTGGAGTTCCTGGGCCTGAACCCCGGCCCTTCCCAGGGTACCCTGGTCCCTTTAAGAGAAGCAGGTGGTGGCAGCCAGTGGCTGGTCCTTGGGCAGGAGATCCTTGTCACTGGTATTTTTATCTCTGGTAGGACTGGAATAGGGGCTGGGGCAGGTGACCTGGCTGAATGTGGAAAAGAGGACTGTGTACAGAGGTCACCCCTGTGGCTAGCTGAGAAGAGTGGAAAGGAGAGGTGAAGTGCTAAAACTGGGGTCGGGGAGAAGCCTCAGGTATGGAGGAGGATGGGGCCTCTGCGAAGATGTGGTGGTTAACAGCCATGAGGCTTTAGAGCTGGAGAGACCCTGCTTCCTGAATGGGGTCTTGGGCAGCTCCCTTCCCTGCTCCGAGCCTCAATTTCCCCATTTGTAAAATAGGGAGGATGCTCCCTACTTCATAAGGCTGCTTGTGGGGCAGAAAGATAAACAGGGTCGGGGCCCCTCCAAGCGGCTGGGCGAAGTGAACTCGAGGGGCCCGGCTGCCTCCTGGCCCCCAAACCCCAGCCACTCACCGGAGCTGACCCTGCAGGTCCACGAAGTCCTGCTTGGGTAGCATCACGCCTGGGCTCGAGTAGATGACCACAGGCTGGCGGTACTGGAGGTAGGCGGTCTTGAGCCACCACTCAGACAGCTGGGAAAAGTGCCAGAGCCTGTCAGGAGGGGTGCATGGGCCCTGGTGCCCCCTGTTCCCCAGGGCTAGGGGACCTGGCTGGCCCCCATGCCCTCTACCTGGCTATGGAGATTCTCAAAGTAAATGCCTAGATCCAGAACCCACCCTCCCTGCCCCACAACTTAAACCCACCAGCCTCTTCCCTTTAGCCCGAGTGATCAGTATTAGCCAGATCAATCCGATGCTGCTGCTAAGAAAGGATGTGAAAGAAAGATCAGGAGGAAACCCGGGGTGTGGGGAGGGGCAGCAAGGTGAACGAATTCTTTTTTTTTTTTTTGAGACAGGGTCTCGCTGTGTCATGCAGGCTGGAGTGCAGTGGCGCAATCTCGGCTCACTGCAAGCTCCGCCTCCTGGGTTCACGCCATTCTCCTGCCTCAGCCTCCTGAGTAAGTGGGACTACAGGCGCCAGCCACCACACCTGGCTATTTTTTTGTATTTTTAGTAGAGACGGGGTTTCACCGTGTTAGCCAGGATGGTCTCGATTTCCTGACCTCATGATCCGCCCGCCTTGGCCTCCCAAAGTGCTGGGATTACAGGCATGAGCCACTGTGCCCGGTCTTTTTTTTTTTTTTTGAGACGGAGTCTCGCTCTGTCCCCCACGCTGGAGTGCAGTGGCATGATCTCGGCTCACTGCAAGCTCCACCTCCTGGGTTCACGCCATTCTCCTGCCTCAGCCTCCTGAGTAGCTGGGACTACAGGCGCCCGCCACTGTGCCCGGCTAATTTTTTTTTTTGTAGTTTTAGTAGAGACGGGGTTTCACCGTGTTAGCCAGGATGGTCTCGATCTCCTGACCTCGTGATCCTCCCGCCTCGGCCTCCCAAAGTGCTGGGATTACAGGCGTGAGCCACCGCGCCCGGCAAGGTGAACAAATTCTCATCTTACACATTCTCTGTCAATGACTGTCATATGTTAAATTAAAATGTATGCCTGAATAGATAGAAAGGAAAAAAGGGAAGGGTCTACAAAAACAAAGTCCAATGAGTGACTTTTTTTTTGAGACAGGGTCTCACTGTCACCCAGGCTAAAGTGCCACGGTGCTATCTCAGCTCACTGCAACCTCCACCTCCTGCATTCAAGCGATTCTCTTGCCTCAGCCTCTTGAGTAGCTGGGACTATAGGTGCGCACCACCATGCCTGGCTCATTTTTGTATTTTTTGCTGCAGACAGGTTTTCACCATGTTGGCCAGGCTGGTCTTGAACTCCTGACCTCAAATGATCCACCTGCCTCAGCTTCCCAAAGTGCTGGGATTCCAGGCGTGAGCCACCGCGTCTGGCCCAATAAGTGAGTTTTTGACCATCCCCAGCAGAGAACTGTCCAAGGAGGCAGGAGACTGGGGTATCAGAGCAGCCTGAGGAACCTGTGGCCTCGGGGAGTAGATACCCACTTTGATCTCAAGGTCAGGGCAATCTTGAGGGGATGCTCCCTGCAAGGATGAATCCTTATGCTAGTGACAAGATGTGGGTGACACATCCTTACTCTCTGCCCTGACGGTCTGTCCTCTCTCTGGGGGGTGGGGGGTCTCTGGGCACCAGCCAGGGATGTGGTATTAAAGGCTCCATGTCTGGCGCTGCGCACACTCCCAGGTGACTGTCACCCTGTGTCCTCTATGCTGACTGCAACACCCACCCTTCCTGCACACAGCCAGTACAGCTTTCTCTGGCCTTCCACCCCCAGAGACCTGGGCCCACCTGCGCCCCCTCAACCCGTGGTGAACAGCAGCAGGATGCGCCTCTTCATCACACGCACTCCCCTGCAGCACTGGGCCACTAGCCTTTGGCAAGGGGTGAGGGGGAGGCAACTTGGCAAGGGGTGAGGGGGAGGCAACTTGTCCCCAAGTTGTACAACAGGTGACTGGTAGCCCCTAAGAACTGGGTCCCTGAGTCAGTCAGACCTTCCTGTGTGGCCGAGGGCTTCCTTGAGAGCTGCTGTGTGGCTCTGGGCTTTTGGGCCACCTCTCTGGGCCTTAGTTTTCCTCATCTGTAGATCAGTGAAGGGCAGACAGGAGCTTCCTTCCCTTGGGGAAACAGCCAGGGGCCTGTACTCCACTAGGGATCCCAGAGCCTCTGGCCAAAGCTTGGGAGACCAGAGGAGACCCCGCAGGTATGGGTACTCCCCCAGCGAGAATCTGCCAGGTGGTGGCGGAGACCCTTCGGTGGCCCCGTGAGTGGAAGGAGGGGTGCCCCCACCCCTTTAACCAGGAGCTTCTGTTTGAAGGAGTCCCAGGCTAAATGAAGTCGGAAAACCACCAGCCCCCAGACGCTCTAAGGACCTTTCGGGGGAAGCATCTTGGTTCTGGAGTCCAAAGTCCTGACCTGACGCGTCTCAGCAAATGTTGACAACTCCCACCTCCTGTGTGCAGCCCCACAGCCTCCGCCAAGCCCCAGGGCTAGAGCTCTACCTCCCCTCCCCATGGCACCCCCTATAACACAGCATTTCCCAGGGCCGGACCCGCTCTGGCTCTCCCACAGGTAGCTTCTCTCTCAGGCAACCCCGACTTGGCAAATTCCACCCGTGCCCCCACCTCATTGGCAAGTGACACTGGCACTGCCTCCAAAACAGTCCTGGACCTAACGACTCTCCCTCTCTCCCATCCGGTGTCAGACCCAGGCTGCCACAGCTCCTTGGGGGTGATGTCACCCCTCCCCCTCGCCTCTGGCTTCCACTCTGCCTCCCTCCCAGCAGCTGGGTCACCTTTTTTTTTTCCCAAGACAGAGTCTTGCTCTGTCGCCCAGGCTGGAGTGCAGTGGCACAATCTTGGCTCACTGCAACCTCCACCTGCCAGGTTCAAGCAATTCTCCTGCCTCAGCCTCCCCAGTATCTGGGATTACAGGTGCGTGCCACTACGCCTGGCTAATTTTTGTATTTTTAGTAGAGACAGGGTTTCATCATGTTGGCCAGGCTGGTCCCGAACTCCTGACCTTGTGATCTGCCCGCCTTGGACTCCCAAAGTGCTGGGATTATAGGTGTGAGTCACTGCATCCAGCTGCCACTTTTTAAATCTGTGTATTGAAGTATGAGATGCAAATAGAAAAGCACACCAAACATTGGTGTAGACATATTTGCCAAACTGGGTACACCTGTGTCATAGATCAGATACAGAACCTGGGCGATCGGTCACTGAGTGACACATATCCCCTGCCTGAGGCTGTCCCACCAAGCACAAGGGCATCTTCTATCTGGTTGTACCTGCCGTGCACCCCACTCCTGCCTCTGTCCTGGAACATGAAACCTTGTCCACAACCTGTATCCTGTTCATTACCTTTCTCTCCTCCCTACTTGAATGTTAGCTCCAAGGAGCTGGTGACTGTGTCCTTCTTGATCACCCAGCACCCTGCCAAGTGCCAGACACAGAGTATGTGCTCACGAAACTCTGGGCAGCAAACGAACGGCCGTGCCAGAGCAGTGGGCACTGGAGAACTGTGCATGTGCAGCCAGCAGCAGGTCACAGTGAGGATGCCCTCACTCACCCAGTTCTCCGTCTTCCTGGCCCGACGCTCCAGCCCCTTCTGCAGGCGCTCCCCTACACCTCCTGAGGCCTGAAACTCATCCACCAGCTGCTTGGTGTGGGCCCACTCCTCCTCACTCACGATGGGCTGCAGCGCCTTCAGGTAGTGGTCCAGGGACTGCTGGAGAGGGGGCACGGGCAGCCGTGGCAGTGCATCCTGGTGTGCCTTGAAGCGGCTGGAAGCCTTCATCAAGGAGAAGGGCTTCAGGAAGCCCAGAGGCTTCACCTGCAGGTAGCAGAACATCCTGTTCATTCCCTCCCCGGCTCTGGAGCCCTGGCAGCCCCAAAGCTGTAGTCCTGGGCACTTAAGTGCCCATCCCTGGGGGCAGAGACGGCCTCTTGGGTGGGGCTGGCCCTGGCCTCCCAGCCCTAGAGCTCTAGGTGTCCCCGCCTCTCTGGGGCCTGGAGATGCAGGTAGGGATGGGGGAGGGTGGGGTGTGGCCATGGTTCTTAGCAAGGCTCAGGGGAACCAAGTCAGGATGAACGGCACCTTTGGGGTGGCAGAGGTGAGGGGGACCGCCCACCTGTTGGGTTGCACAGGCCCCTCCTTTCTCACCCTGGAAGAGGAGCCAGCCAGCAGAGTGGTGACTGTCCCTCTTGGAGGTCCCCACGTCCTTTTCTCCCACCCTTTCCAGGTTGAGAAACAGAAGGGAAGAAGAGAGAATCACAGAGAGCCAGACAATGGCAGCACCTTCGGGTGAGGGGCCTTGGGCTTCCTCCTGCCTTTGAGATGGGGCAGGGGTGGGGTGAGGGCAGTGCTGTGGCGAGAGAGCCGGGTGGCCTGGCATGGAGGGTGAGAGGCGGCAGAGAGAGAAAGAGAAAGTCCAGGAGGCCCTGGAGTGGGCAGAGACAGGAGGGCCCGAGGCTGCTCTTGCAGTGGGCAGGCGAGTGGCAGGAGCTCTGTTCCATACCTTCTCTCTCTGCTGCCCGTCCTCCTCCATGGCAGGACTGAGGTTCTGGGCCCTGTCTGTCTGCCTTGGCTGGATCTCTAAGCCTAACTGTGCTACAAAGTGAGTGAGCAGAACCTAGCCAGAGGCAGCCACTTGCCTGGGCTGGAAAGAGAAGACAAGAGCCAAGATTCAGCGGGAGGCAGGTGGCAGTGGCGATGGCTGTGGTGGAATCGGGGGTTGTGGCAGTGGCAGGGGAAGCTCCTGGACTCTAGAAGCTGCTCCACCCTCCCGAGCTCCCAGAAGTAGAGGAATGGGGAGCAGGTGAGAGGGCTAGTGGGGGGGCATTCCAGTAGAAGGGAACCTGGAAAGTTCTTTCCTTTCTTCTCTGCATGGGCTCAGTGCCAGGGAGTCAGGACAAAAGGTAATAAAAAATCCACCTGTCAGAATCTGCGAAGATCGTTTTGATGAGGGAAAACTTGGCTGGAGGACAGAGACTGCCTGGCCGCTGAGGTTACACCACAGCCCTGGGATCGGTCCTGAAATTAGGGTTGGTGCAAGGGAGCAGACACCAGGAAAAGGCCATCAGTGGATGGGACAGCCAGAAGCCCTGCCTATTTCCTGTTTCTCTCCAGGACTCCTGGGACCCATCTGAGCCATCCCTCTACGAACACTCATTTTTTCCTGAGCTGTGGCTCATTCAGCTAGGGTCCAAGAGCGGAGGACTTTTGGTATGAAAAATAAACCAAAGGACACTGGGATTGGGCTGGATTTGAATGAGCAGGTCCAGGGGACTCTGGGCAAGTCCCTCCTTGCCTCAGTTTCCCTGCAGGAAGGTAACCAGTCCAGTCGGATGGTCCTGGAGGATGATCTAGAGGCTGTTTGTGGGATGGATGCAGCTTGGGAGACAGTGACAAGGGTGCGGTGGAGGCTCAGGGTGTTGCAACACCTAAAAGAGCCTCTAGGCCTGAGCCTGGATGCACCCTCCGCCCTCTGGCCCCGTAGTGTGTGTCTGAGACAGAGTGAGACACCAGCAACATATGCTTGGATCAGGGACGGAAGGGACTGAAATTAGGCTAGCATCCGGGCTGCTCACCGGGGAGGACTGAGGGGTAGATATAGCCAGGGTGGGGAAGGGGGCTAGAGGGGAGGATATAGCCAGGGTGGGGAAGGGGGCTGGAGGGAAGGATACAGCCAGGGTGGGGAAGGGGGCTGGAGGGGAGGGAGACCATGGGGCTGCCACCTGCCAGTTCTGAGGCCTTTCTAGCTTGATGCCTCCGCGTGTTTCTCTGGCCACACACAATTCCCCAGGGACCGTCTGATAAACCAAAGGAGTGTGACCAACTGGACAGGGTCGGAGGAGTGGCTCTGGCCTAAGCGTGCGACGGGTGTGTCAATCGGAGAATAACTGGGAGAGTGAGCTAGGGTCTGGATGCTCCTGGTCTCTCTCCCCTACCGGCCTGTCTCTGGGTCTAAGGGTGGGGGTGCTAACTGAAGCCGGGGTCCCCCTTGTCTTTCCTGGGTCGTTGGAACTGAATGCTCCAGGACGTGGGTTTAATCCCGCTTCTGACCTTGCGCCCCAATCTCCTGCTCTGCCAAACCTGGGACGCCCGCCTGACCCCACCCCATCAGCTGGAGGCCGGGTCGAACAGCGGCCGCAGGACGCGGTCTCCGTTCCCGGACGCAACCGCACGGCCCGCCCAGGCCGTCCAGGGCCCTCAGGCCCGGGATCCGCCGCACTCACCACGGTCCTGGCAGCGAAGGCTAACATCTTCGCTGCCCGTCCGCGGACACGCAGTCCGCTCCGCCCCACACACCGGGCAAAGTCCGCGCCGCCGCCGCCGCGGCTGGGGTCGGTGGGTCCTTGCTAGAGCCTTCGGGCCAAGGTCGCTGAGTTACAGCCGCCAGCCGGTAGAGGCAGCCCCGCGCCCACCCTCTGGGCCGAGCGGGCTGCGGGAAGGCACCCGGGGAGGAGGACTCGCGAGGCGGGGCCTGGGCCGGTAGCGGGCCCCGGGCGGGCAACGGTGCCCGGGAGGTTGGCTGTGGGGCGGGGACGGGGCATCGATGGGGCGGAGTCTCCTTGAGGAGGGACAGGAGGGGCGGGGACGGAGGGGCGGGGCGTCGCCCGGTAGCGGGTCGCAGTAGGCTGGCTGCGAGTCGGGGGCGGGACCACGGCGGGCGGGGACAGAGGGGCAGGGCCGAGGGCGAGTCATTGAGACCTGTGGAGGAGGAAGGAGGAGGTCACCGTCCAGCTGTCTCTCCCCTGTCCCCACATGTCTTCTAAGCTGTTGGAGGTAGTGGTGTGCACCTTTCCAACTCCGTCTGGTGTCCTTGAGCCTAACTCTTAGAGTGATAGGAAAACACAACCATGTTGACCGGGGAATGTCCTCTAATATTCCTTGGGTTAGGGTCAGTACCACCCACAAAGATGACAGGTGGTACTCCGGGACAGGAGACTGTCCCGGAAAAACATGGCTGAGCACAACCCAAACTTGACGCCCCGCACAATCGTGGCAGTCGCGGCGCCCGACGTTCGGGCGGCCGTGAGCGGTCCTAGCGCTTGGCGGCCGTTGGCGCGCATGCGCCCCGCGCGCCCCGCACTGACATGGCCGTCGCCCGGTTCCGCGCGTCCGCCGCGCGCCGGCCGTTAATAGGCTTGCTCCCTGAGCGCCCCGCACCGACATGGCGGCCGTCTTCGCTGTGGTGACTTTAACTCTCGGTTTTCGGTTATAGCCGGCCGGCGCTCACTTGTCTTCAGGAAGCTCGGAGCCTTTGGTGGAGCCGGGGAGAGGAAGGGTGGGTGCAAGAGTGAAAGGCGAGAGGGGACTGCAAGCATCCGGGTCGGCTCCTGGCCGGAGCAAGATGGCTGAGGGCGAGCGGCAGCCGCCGCCAGGTAAGGCCGGCGGGGCCAGGCCGGGCCGGGGTCGGGTAGGGTGGGGGCGGTGCCAGGTGTGGGAGGCTCAGGAGGGCGAGAGTCATGACACGGAGGAACTGGAGGGGCAAAAGCTGAGGGGCCCCGAGGAGGGACTGAGTTGAATGGCCTTAGGGGAGAGGTGGGTGGTGGGGCGCCGCTGGGGAGGGAACCAGGGGCTGCAAAGGGGTGGTGATTGGGGCGCAACTCTGGGTTTTGTGGGAGTCCAGGCTGCCCGAATGCTGGGTGGGCAGCGCCGTGGTCATAAGGGGGCCTTTTGCATCTCTGGGCAGCGCGTGCTTAAGTAAGCTGCTGACTCGGTGGGGAAGCTGCCAGGGAGGGGGGCGAAAGTGATTCCGGAGGCTGCCGTCTTTATTAGTCGCTGCTTAGGGGATGGGGTGGTGCTCCGTGGGCCTGCGCCCGCCTCGCCTCCAGTTTCGGCCTCCGCGTCCTGCTCACCCCTCATCCTCCTACTCTCTGGTTCCAGTGCCTGAGAATTTATTGAGGGAAACTGCCCGTGGTGTCTAAATCCCTAATTTTAAAAGGCTGGTTGTGCAAGGAGGTTAGTCTCTCCGGCATCTCCTTCGGTAACTCTTATTTACCTTGTAGCCTCTTTTTAGTTCATCTTAAATAACTGGGATGGAGGTGCTACGGAAGGATCTTAGAGACCCTTTTTGTGCAGAAGGAGAAGGCTGTTTGCCGACCTACCTTGAACTAAGAAGGACTGGCCATAGATAACTTTTACATTCCCGACAGAGGCAAATAGGTTGGCCGACCAAACACAGCTAATGTTTTGAAAGCATTTGATATTCTTGCTATCCTGTCTCCAATGTTGGGGTCCCTGGGAAGGTCTCAGGAGGGAGAAATGTTGAAAATCAGAAAAGGCATCCCCTCCATGCCCCACAAAAGAGGTGAACAAAGAGCTGGGTTCCGTTTCTTAGGACATTCAAAACCAGACATTTATTTTGTACAAAACCTCTGGGTGTGTGCCCTTAGAACAAGGATGTCCAGGCCAGGCGCGGTGGCTCATGCCCGTAATCCCAGCACTTTGGGAGGCCGAGGCGGGCTGATCACCTGAGGTCGGGAGTTCGAGACCAGCCTGACCAACATGGAGAAACTCCGTCTCTTCTAAAAATACAAAATTAGCCGGGCGTGGTGACACACGCCCGTAATCCCAACTACTAGGGAGGATGAGGCAGGAGAATCGCTTGAACCTGGGAAGCAGAGGTTGCGGTGAGCTGAGATCGCGGCATTGCACTCCAGCCTGGACAACAAGAGTGAAACTCCGTCACCCCCCAAAAAAAAAACCGGGGTGTCCACTCTTTTGGCTTCTCTAAGCCACATTGGAAGCAGAATTGTCTTGGGTCACACATAAAATACACTAACACTAACGATGGCTGATGAGCTAAAAAAAAAGTCGCAAAAAAAAAAATCTCATAATGGTTTTGTGTTTCTTTTTTTTGAGACAGTGTCTCACTCTGTCCCCCAGGCTGAAGTGCAGTGGCATGGTCTCGGCTGACTGCACCCTCTGCCTCCCGGGTTCAAGCGATTCTCCTGCCTCAGCCTCCTGAGTAGCTGGGACTACAGGTGCGCCACCATGCCTGGCTAATTTTTGTATTTTTAATAGGGACAGGGTTTCACCATATTGGCCAGGCTGGTCTCGAACTCCTGACCTCGTGATCCTCCTGCCTCGGCCTTCCAAAGTGCTGGGATTACAGGCATGAGCCACCGTGCCTGGCCTATGTTTTAAGAAAGTTTACAAATTTGTGTCCGGCTACATTCAAAGCTGTCCTGGGCTGTGGGTTGAACAAGCTAGCCTTAGAAGTTCTGGTGATGACTCCGGGCACAGTGGCTCACACCTGTAATCCCAGCACTTTGGGAGGCCGACACAGGCGGATCACTTGAGGTCAGGAGTTCGAGACCAGCCATGGCCAACATGGCAAAACCCCGTCTGTATTCAAAATACAAAAATTAGCTGGGTGTGGTGGCACACGTCTGTAATCGCAGCTACTCGGGAGGCTGAGGCAGGAGAATCACTTGAACCCAGGAGGCGGAGGTTGCAGTGAGCCGAGATTGCTCCACTGCACTCCAGCCACTGCACCCCAGCCTGGGCGAGAGAGCTAGACTCCATCTCAAAAAAGAAAAAGTTCTGGTAAGGACATCAGGAGATAGGAGATATAAGGCAACCACTGTTATCAGTGAGATGAATGTGTCCCTGAAGATGAGTGGGGGTGGGGAGTGGGAGGAGAGAGAACCTGTGCCCTGAAAGAGAGCTGTGCTCAGGGAGGTTATCCGTGGCTGGAAACAGCCAGGTCCCTGGTTGTGGTCCTTTTTTGAAATTTGAAACAGAACTTTTGGGAACAGCTGGAAAGAACTTCTTCTTTTTAGTTTTTTTTTGAGACAGAGTTTCACTTTGTCTCCCAGGCCAGGGTGCAGTGGTGCAATCTCAGCTCACTGCAACCTCCGCCTCCTGAGTTCATGCGATTCTCGTGCCTCAGCCTCCCGAGTTGCTGAGGCGCCCACCACTGTGCCGGGCTAATTTTTTGTATTTTTAGTAGAGATGGGATTTCGCCGTGTGGGCCAGGCTGGTCTCGAACTCCTGGCCTCAAGTAATTCACCCGCCTTGGCCACCCAGAGTGCTGGGATTACAGGCGTGAGCCACCGCGCCCGGCGAGAAGTTCTTAATGTAATGATGAAAACTTTGGATTTTGGAGTCATACATATCTGGCTCTGCCTGGCAAGTCACAGCTCTGTGAGCCTCAGTTACTTCTCTCTTTTTTAAAATTTCTTTTTTTTTCCCTGAGAAAAAGCCTCAGTTATTTCTTAAAATAACTATAGGCTACTATACTTTCTTCATAGAATTGTAGTATGTGTTTTATAAGATGTGTGCAAAGCATGGGACATAGTAGGCGATCAGTAAATGCTGATTGCCCTTATCTTTTTCAAAGTTTCAAAGTTGTACAGGTTGAACATGTAGACGAGTTTCAAATGGCCAATGATAATGCTATATATTATAGTCTTTGTTGGGGGGCTTAGGAAGGAACATTTCTAAAATTCTGAATGTTGATTTTATACTGTGAGGTTGTTGGGAATCCACTGTCCCTTGGAACCTATGTCTCTATAACCTGAGGCTGGAGAGACTGTGGGCGTGACCTCATTTATCACCATCCTGCCTTTGAAGGCTTGTTTCTTTGATTTGGGATTGTGTGTTCTGGCAACTTGTGTGTGTTTCATCAGTAATTTGTTATAGTGCTTCCTGGTAAGGTAGCCTTTTCCCAAACATGGACTGGCCTGAAGGCTCTCTTCCTGTGAAATATCCCGGTTAAATAATGTCAGGAGTGCCATCCCTTTTTTTATTTTTATTTTTTGAGACAGAGTCTCACTCTGTCACCCAGGCTGGAGTGCAGTAGCATGATCTTGGCTCAGTGCAACCTCCGAGGAGAGCTGTCCCTTTGCAGAGAATGGTGATCTCACACATATAAAAGGGCTGTATGTTCCCAAAGATTATTTCCAAGTTGATTATTTGGAATGTGGGACACATTTTCCCATAAAAGCAATGTGGTTGGGTTACTAGTCTGACCTACAAAGCTTTTTATTTGGCATCTTAGTTGAAGTGCCAATTTACTAATAGCAGTTTTGGGTTCTGGGAACAGAGCTTGCAGGACAGGTGGGAGGAGGAAGAGAGCTTCTGATCTCTTTCTGGGGCCTTGGTTTGAGTTAGGCAGAGATTTGTCTTTCTCTAAACTCAGGTTCTCTATCCTTCTCCTTAGGTCTCCAAGTCCCCTGGCACTTTTCTTTTCTTCAGTTCCTCTCCAGACAGGCTCTATTTCTCCAAATGTTATATGTTCCAGAAACTTCTTAGGTCCCTGTCCCTTTTTCTCCATGTAGCTGATGTCAGCCAGGTTTTAGGAGGAAGGCAGGGGGACAAATTTATACCAGGTTGTGAGTGATTGATGATAGTCCTTTACTCTTCCACTTTAGGGAGAGTTTGCATTTTTTTTTTTTTTGAGATGGAGTTTCACTCTTGTTGCCCAGGCTGGAGTACAGTGGCGTGATCTTGGCTCACTGTAACCTCTGCCTCCTGGGTTCAAGTGATTCTCCTGCCTCAGCCTCCCGAGTAGCTGGGATTACAGGTGCCCACCACCACGCCTGGCTAATTTTTTTGTATTTTTAGTAGATATGGGGCTTCACCATGTTGGCCAGGCTTGGTCTCAAACTCCTGACCTCAGGTGATCCACCAGCCTCCGTCTCCCAAAGTGCTGCGATTACAGGCCTGAGCCACCGCGCCTGGCCAACTGCCTCCTGGGTTCAAGTGATTCTTCTGCCTCAGCTTCGCGAGTAGCTGGGACTACAGGTGTGCGCTACCATGCCCGGCTAATTTTTTTTTTTTGAGACGAGTCTCGCTCTGTCGCCTGGTCTGGAGTGCAGTGGCGCGACCTCGGCTCACTGCAACCTCTGCCTCCTGGGTTCAAGCGATTCTGCCTGCCTCAGCCTCCTGAGTAGCTGGGATTACAGGCACTCGCCACCACGCCTGACTAATTTATTTTTTATTTGAGGCGGAGTCTCGCTCTGTTGCCCAGGCTGGAGTGCAGTGGCGCGATCTCGGCTCACTGCAAGCTCTGCCTCCTGGGTTCACGCCATTCTCTCACCTCAGCCTCCCAAGTAGCTGGGATTACAGGCATGCGTCACCTCGCCCAGCTAATTTTTTTTGTATTTTTAGTAGAGACAGGGTTTCTTTTTTTTTTTTTTTTTTTTGAGACGGAGTCTCGCTCTGTTGACCAGGCTGGAGTGCAGTGGCACGATCTTGGCTCACTGCAAGCTCCGAGTTCCATGTTCTCGCCATTCTCCTGCCTCAGCCTCCCAAGTAGCTGGGACTAAAGCACCCGCCACCATGCCCGGCTAATTTTTTGTATTTTTAGTAGAGACGGGGTTTCACCGTGTTAGCCAGGATGGTCTCGATCTCCTGACCTTGTGATCCGCCCGCCTCGGCCTCCCAAAGTGCTGGGATTACAGGCGTGAGCCACTGTGCCCGGCCACACCCGGCTAATTTTTGTTATTTTTAGTAGAGACAGGGTTTCGCCATGTTGACCAGGCTGGTCTTGAACTCCTGAGCCCAGGTGATCTGCCCACCTCTGCCTACCAAAGTGCTGGGATTACGGACATGAGCCACTTCACCTGGCTAATTTTTAAATTGTTTGTAGAGATGGGGGTCTCCCTGTGTTGCCTGGGCTGGTCTTGAATTCCTGGGCTCAAGCGATCCTGCCGCCTGGGCCTCCCAAAGTGCTGGGATTACAAGTGTTAGCCACTGTGCCTGGTCTAGATTTTCTTCTTTCTACAAGTTATGAAAATTTCCATTATGTGGGCATATAATTAATTACACATCATCTTATCAACTGATATTTGGGTTGTTTCTAATTTTTTTTTGTTTTCAAGACAGGGTCTTGCTCTGTCACCCAGGCTGGAGTGCAGCTCACTTCAGCCTCAGCCTCCTGGGCTCAAGTGATCCTCCCGCCTCAGCCCCCGAATAGCTAGGACTACAGGTGTGCACCACTACACCTGGCTAATTTTTGTATTTTTTGTAGAGATGGGGTTTGGCCATGTGGTCCAGGCTGGTTTCAAACTCCTGGACTCAAGCAATCTGCCTGCCTCGGCCTCCCGAAGTTTTGGGATTATAGGCGGGAGGCACTGTGCCTGGCCTAGATTTTATTCATTTTATAAGCTATGAAAATTTTTATTATGTGGGCCTATCTTTTTTTTCTCTTTTTTAAATTTGAGACGGAGTCTTGCTGTGTTGCCCAGGCTGGAGTGCAGTGGCGTGATCTTGGCTCACTGCAACCTCTGCCTCCTGGGTTCAAGCGGTTCTTCTGCCTCAGCCTCCCGAGTAGCTGGGATTACAGGTGTGCGCCACCATGCCTGGCTAATTTTTTGTATTTTTAGTAGAGGTGGAATTTCGCTATGTTGGCCAGGCTGGTCTTGAACTCCTGGCCTCAAGTGATCCACCCGCCTCGGATTCCCAAAGTGTTGGGATTACAGGTGTGAGCCACCACACCCAGCCTCTTTTTTTTTTTAAGACAGTCTCACTCTGTCACCCAGGCTGGAGTGCAGTGGAACGGTCCAGCTCACTGCAAGCTCTGCCTCCCCAGTTCAAGCGATTCTCCTGCTTCAGCCTCCCAAGTAGCTGGGATTACAGGTGTGTGCCGTCATGTCAGGCTAATTTTTGTATTTTTTAGTAGAGATGGGGTTTCAATATGTTTCCCAGGCCTGGTCTGGAACTCCTGACCTCAAATGATCCACCTACCTCAGCCTCCCAAAGTTCTGGGATTACAGGTGTGAGTCACCATGCCGGACCTGGGCATATCATTATTTACCCATTGTCTTATCAACTGATATTTGAGTTGTTTCTTTTTTTTTTTTTTCCCCCGAGATGGAGTCTTGCTCTGTCAACCAGAGCTGGAGCGCAATGGCACGATCTCAGCTCACTGTAACCTCTGCCTCCTGGGTTCAGGCAATTCTCCTGCCTCAGCCTCCTGAGTAGCTAGGATTACAGGTGTGCGCCACCACACTTGGCTAATTTTTGTATTTTTAGTAGAGATGGGGTTTCACCTTGTTGGCCAGGCTGGTTTCGAACTCCTGATCTCGTGATCTGCCTGTCTTGGCCTCCCAAAGTGCTGGGATTACAGGTGTGAGCCACCACGCCCAGCCTATTTGGGTTGTTTCTAATTAATAAAAAATTTTTTTATTTGAGTCAGAGTTTCACTCTTGTTGCCTAGGCTGGAGTGCGATGGCACGATCTTGGCTCACTGCAACCTCTGCCTCCTGGTTCAAGCAATTCTCCTTCCTCAGCCTCCCAAGTAGCTGGGATTATAGGCATGCGCCACCACACCTGAATAATTTTATATTTTTAGTAGAAATGGGGTTTCACTATGTTGGTCAGGCGCATCTCCAACTCCTGACCTCAGGTGTGATCCACCCACTTTGGCCTCCCAAAGTGCTGGGATTGTAGGCATGAGCCACCGCGCCCCGCCTAAAATTTTTTTTTTTTTAAAGTAGAGATGGGGTCTCGCTGTGTTGCCCAGGTTGGTGTCAAACTCCTGGACTCAAGTGATCCTCCCACCTGGGGCTCCCAAAGTGCTGAGATTACAGGTGTGAGCCACTATGCCCAGCTTTTTTTTTTTTTTTTGATGCATTAAACACCTTTGTGTTTCCGTGAGCACATCTGAAAGATAGATTCCTGTAAGTAGACCTGTTGACTCATTGTGTATATGCAGTTTTTTATTCCAAAAGATTGTCCCCTTAGGAGGTCCTTCCCACCCACAGAGCGGGAGAATTCTTGTTTCCTCTTCCTGGAATCTTGTTTTGTTTTTATTGAGACAGAGTCTCGTTCTGTTGTCCAGGCTGGAGTGCAGTGGTATGATCTCAGCTCACTGCAACCCCCACCTCCTGGACTCAGGTGATCCTCCTGCTTCAGCCTCCCAAGTAGCTGGGACTACAGGTATGCAACCACACCCAGCTAATTTTTAAATTTTTTTTGTAAAGATGGCGTTTTGCCAAGTTGGCCAGCCTGGTCTTGAACCCCTGGCCTCAAGTGATCTGCCTGCCTTGGCCTCCCAAATTGCTGGGATTAGGTATGAGCCACCACACCTAGCCAGATGTTTTTAATTTGCCAACCTTATCCAGAAAGAGAAATCACATATAATTTACGTGTCCGTGCTTATTCAGGAGGTTGGCAATTTATTCCAAATGTTTACTGCAATTAGGTTTTTTTTTTTTTTTTGAGACGAAGTCTCGCTCTGTTGCCTGGGTTGGAGTGCAGTGGTGCAATCTCGGCTCACCACAAGCTCCGCCTCCCAGGTTCACGCCATTCTTCTGCCTCAGCCTCCCAAGTAGCTGGGACCGCAGGCGCCCGCCACCACGCCTGGCTAATTTTTTTGTACTTTTTTAGTAGAGATGGGATTTCACCATGTTAGCCAGGATGGTCTCGATCTCCTTACCTTGTGATCTGCCTGCCTTGGCCTCCCAAAGTGCTGGGATTACAGGCGTGAGCCACCGCACCTGACCTGTTTTTTTTTCTTCTGTGAATTGCCTGTGTATGTCTGAAACATCAACTTGGTTTTATTTTTCTAACGGTTCTGCTCTGGGGGGGAGAGGGAAGGGAGGGCATGGTTATTGAAGGGATTGTCAGTATTGCCCTTCTCTTTCCTCCCCAGAGTGAGGGAGGGCAGGAGGCTGTGGGTTTGGCTTAACAAGCCCTTACTCTGTCCTGGAAGTATGTGTCTGGTTTATTCTAAGGCTCAGGTGTTGGAGTCCTGGTTTAAAAGTGAGAGAGAGGCCGGGCGCTTTGGCTCATACCTGTAATCCCAACACTTTGGAGGCCAAGGCGGGTGGATCACCTGAGGTCAGGAGTTTGCGATCAGCCTGGCCAACATGGTGAAACCCCGTCTCTACTAAAAATGCAAAAATTAGCTAGGCATGGTGACATACGTCTGTAATCCCAGCTACTCAGAACACTGAGGCAGGAGAATCGCTTGAACCCGGGAGGCAGAGGTTGCAGTGAGCTGAGATCGCGCCACTGCACTCCAGCCTGGGCGACAGAGCGAGACTCTGTCTCAAAGAAAAAAAAAAAAATTAGCTGGGTGTGGTGGCACGTGCCTGTAATCTCAGCTACTCAGGAGACTGAGGCAGGAGAATCGCTTGAACCCTGGAGGTGGAGGTTGCATTGAGCCAAGATCGTGTCACTGGACTCCAGCCTGGGCAACAAGAGCAAAACTCCGTCTCAAGAAAAAAAAAAAAGGTGAAAGGGAGTGTGTGTGTTGTAGGGGAGGATTCTATTTATCTGTTTGTTTTTTCATTTTTTTTTGTCAAGATTCTTCAGAGGAGGCCCCTCCAGCCACTCAGAACTTCATCATTCCAAAAAAGGAGATCCACACAGTTCCAGACATGGGCAAATGGAAGCGTTCTCAGGTACCATTTGGAACTGTGGTGAGAAACTTGGGCTTTTCAAAGACAGTGGTTTTCCTAGCATGACGGGCGGTGAGTTCCTGGCCCTTCTTGCTCTTGGAGCCTGACTTTTCAGAAGCTAGGGAGAAAGGTGACAGGGGAGCTGGCTGTCTCTTCCCTTCAGAGGCAGTACTCAGAGATGCTTTATCAGGAAGGTTGCCTACTTTTTCAGGCTGCTGCCAGGGTAGCCCGGGAGAGTTCCGCTCCTGGTTCTCTTAAGCCATTGCCCCTTGAGTGTTGCTGTATTGGCTGAACATGAGTGTTTGAAATGATGGAGCGAGTCACTTTGATTCTTGGCTGCAAGTAACAGCAAGTGTGGCAGCCAGTGCCTCAAGGGGAGAAGAGGCTATCTCATGGAAACTTTGGCCAGGGATATGGCTAAGCCTGCAAATACCTGGGAGCTGGGACCCAGAGCACTGGGCACAGACTGGCTTTCTCTGCTGCTCAGCTGAAATGATGGGCAGAAGATAACTACTTGTACCTCTCAGGCTTGTGGTACAGGCTGTGGAAAGACAGACTGAGCAAAAGAAAGCCAATTTCAATTTCTCAGGGAAGGCCTCTGGCCCAGTTCTCGTCAGGCTCCTGCTCCCGGCCTGGTGAGCTGGGCTGGAGAGTGTTGCTCATGCAGAAGGCTGGGCACAGGGGTCCTTGCATGCTGGGCAGATTCTCCAGGAGACCCACACCCTACAGCTTCTATGCCTTGTCCTCACTGGGGCTTGGGGCCATCTAAACCTGTCTGATTCCTTTTTCACAAGCCTGCCCTCTCAGTATTTGGAAATAGTTATCATGTCTTTTCTGAATCTTCACCAGGATCAACAGTCCCTTCAGCCTAGGGGGCAGCTTGGTCCCTTCAGCTGCTCAAAGGATATGGTTTCAGTCCTTTCATCATCTTGGTTGCTTTACCTCGGGGCATCTCAATGTCAGCACTATGGACATTGAGGGGCAGATAATTCTTCATTGTAGGAGGCCGTCCTGTGCCATGTAGGACGTTTACTAATATCTCTGGCTTCTACCCACTAGATGTTGGCAGCATGCCTTTCCCCAGCTGTCACAACTAACATTGTCTCCAGATCTTGTCAGATCTTCTCTGAGCCAGATTGCTCTAGTTGAGAACCTGCTTCTTTGTCTGAATCCAAATGTGACACTTCCTTTGCTGCTTCTCATCCATGTGTTCCAGTGTAGCTGCAGTCAGGACAGGGGCTCAGACTTGCCCTGGTCTGAGAGAGTTGCTTTGGAGAGGCCTGGCCTGCTGGGGGTCATCCCATGGCTGGCAGGAGGATCTTGGTATAGGAATACTTCCTTCTAGATATCAGGGCTTGTCTCAGGGCTTACTGTGGACACCCCGGCTTGGATAAGGAGAAAGGAAGAAAGAGAGAGGAAAAAGGGATGAAGAAGAAACAAAACCAATCAGGAGTCACTTGTTCCCAGCAACTGCCTCTCTAGGGGCCTGCACCTCAATGCTATTTTTTTTTTTGAGACAGGGTCTCACCCTGGCCCCCAGGCTGGAGTTCAGTGATATGATCATGGCTCTCTGCAGCCTCCACCTCTTGGGCTCAAGCAGTCCTCCCACCTCAGCCACCTGAGTAGCTGGGACCACAGGCACGTACCACCACACCTGGCAAACTTTTTAATTTTTTGTAGAGATGGGGTCTCACTATGTTGCCCAGGCTGGTCTCAAGCTCCTGGGTTCAAGTGATCCTCCTGCATCAGCCTCCCAAAGTGCTAGGATTACAGACTTGAGCCACAATACCTGACCCTCAGTGCTTTCTTATCCCTGTGTTGGGTGTAACTGCAGCCCAGCAGGGAAGAAGAGTGTCTAGTTGAAAGCTGGGAATGGTTGTGTGGGGAGACCTGTCTGTGGCAGGCATCTGCACTCCAACTAGACAGCCTGGCCCGCCTTTGGTCGCTGATTGCTGGGGGTGAGACACTTGGTGGTACTCCTTGAATTCCTGGTGGTAGAGCATCATGGACAAGCATGTGCCCACTCAGCTTTGAAGTTAGGCTACTGGGTCCTAGCTCCATGTCTAATGATATCTTGGTCTTGGGAGACCTTGGGCGGATCACTTCTCTTGAAATCTTGGTTTCCTCATCTGTAAGATGGCGCCAGCAGTGTCTACCTTATAGGGCTATTGTGTAAAAAAACTGCTGGCAGCAATAGTGAGTACTTGGTTCACTCTGGCTGGAGATCAGCGTGTTGCTGTGGTCACTGTCTTGCCAGCTTTTCTGGAGGGTAGGGGTCGGTATTTGGCATTACGTTTCTGCTTCTCCTGCTATTGGGTTGGGAGTCAGGGTCAGGAGAAGTAGAAAGCTCGGAGCTCTTTGGTAACCTGGTGGAGCTCGGGGCAGGTGGGGCGGGGGGGTCTGCCACCCCTCTCCCCATCCCCATTCTCCTCTCTGTTTGGTAGGCATACGCTGACTACATCGGATTCATCCTTACCCTCAACGAAGGTGTGAAGGGGAAGAAGCTGACCTTCGAGTACAGAGTCTCCGAGGTAGGCCCAAGGAGGAGCTGCTGCAGCAGCCTTTCCAAAAATAGCTCCAGAGTCACTGGGTGCGGTGGCTCACCTCTGTAATCTCAGCACCTTGGGAGGCCGAGGCAGGCGGCTCACGAGGTCAGGAGATCGAGACCATCCTGGCCAACATGTGAAACCCCATCTCTAGTAAAAATACAAAAAATTAGCCGGGTGTGGTGACGGGCGCCTGTAGTCCCAGCTACTCAGGAGGCTGAGGCAGGAGAATGGTGTGAACCCAGGAGGCAGAGCTTGCAGTGAGCTGAGATCGCGCCACTGCACTCCAGCCTGGGCGACAGAGCGAGACTCTGTCTCAAAAAAAAAAAATAGCTCCAGAGTCTTGTGGGCTCAGTGCCCACCACGGGGCCAGAGCAGAAAATAAGATCGCCCAAATACATGTGCACTTCACATTTTCATATCTATATTTCTAATTTTTGAAATCTGTGAATAGATGGATATTTATAAAATTGAGATCAAGGTAAATATGCTGTTTTGTAGTTAGTATTTTTGCTAATTGGTTTTTTCTTTCTTTTTTTTTTATTTTGAGACGTAGTTTTGCTCTTGTTGCCCAGGCTGGAGTGCAGTGGCGCGATCTTGGCTCACCAAAACCTCTGCCTCCTGGGTTCAAGCGATTCTCCTGCCTCAGCCTCCTGAGTAGCTGGGATTACAGGCGTGTGCCACCACACCTGGATAATTTTTTATTTTTAGTAGAGACGGGGTTTCTCCATGTTGGTCAGGCTGGTCTCAAACTCCTGACTTGAGGTGATCTGCCTGCCTCGGCCTCCCAAAGTGCTGGGATTACAGGCATGAGCCACTGCGCCTGGCCTGGTGTTTTTATATAACTTGAAATTAAAACAGATTACAAAACAGTAAATGTGCTCACTGGAGAGATCAGTAATAGACATGTGTATGACATTCACAGCAGAGCTGATCTCTCCCTGTGTTTCTCATACCCAGCTTCCAGGGCAGCCCCTCCTGACAGTGGTCACCCAGGAAAGCAAGAGCTTCTCTTCTCCTGCAGTGAGCTGTGCCCTCATTTATTTATCTTATTTTATTTTTTTTTTAAATATAGAGACAGGGTCTCACTATGTTGCCCAGGTTGGTCTTGAACTCCTGGGCTCAAGCAGTCCTCCTGCCTTGGTCTCTCGAAGTGCTGGGGTGACAGATGTGAGCCACCAAGCTTGGCCCCTCATTTATTTAAACAGCCCATCTTCAGACTTTTAGGTTGTCTTGGTAAACATTGCTCCTCGCATATCATTGCATCCCCGCACATAGATCTGTGGGCCTTGTTTCCGAAGGATTCATTCTTAGACGTGGAAATGTGGAGTCAAAGGGCACATGCATTTTTTTTTTGCGTTTGGGTTCACACTGCCTGGTGGGTGCTTTTTGGACGTTGTTTCAGAGATAGTTTTGTTTGTGTAGAGAGGGCAAGAGCTGAGGGGAGGCAGATACTGATTGGCAGGTGTGGCCTTACTGGCTGTTTGCTTTTGCTGGATGCTGTCTCCCAGGGCTAGGACCTAGGCCTCCAGGAGCCTCTTGGGTTCATGTCCCACCTTGAGTCTCTTATCTCAGACACCAGGGCCTGAAGGGCCTCCCTTTACTTTGGCCTACCCAGCTCTCTAGCCACAGCCTTGGACCTGTTGGGTAAGATGTAGCCCTGCCCTGGCCCAGTTTTTCCACCTGCCCCAAGATTAACACTGTGTGCCTCACCCTCATACCCGGCCCCTGGCAGAGCTGCCTATTGCTGGGCCTGTCTGGCTATTAGGTGACCTAGGTCCTGTTCTGTCCACTTCAGGAGAACCAGGCCTGTGCTTCTGGTAGACAGCCTTCCCTTGGGAGCCAGGCCCATTAGTGGCTTTTTGGGTTCCTTTTGGGCTCACTCAGTCCTTTGGGACTGAGGCTCTGGGTGCAGGATGGCTGGGGAAAGAGGGGGTTCCTCCTGGAGCCTGTGGTGAGGGATGCTCAGCTGTGCTCAGTGGGCCAGGAATGTCGTGGAGGAAGGCTAATTAAAGGGGAAGGTTGTAATTACCCCAGCAAATCCTTAGCTGCCAAGTCCCCTAATTGCCCGTGGCTTTGATGGTAGCCATCCACACCAAGCAGGTATTGTCTTTTTTTTTTTTGAGTTTTTCTTGTTACCCAGGCTGGAGTGCAATGGCATGATCTTGGCTCACTGCAGCCTCCACCTCCCAGGCTCAAGCGATTCTCCTGCCTCAGCCTCCCGAGTAGCTGGGATTACAGGCGCCCACCACCACACCCGGCTAATTTTTGTATTTTTAGTAGAGACGGGGTTTCACCATGTTGGGCAGGCTGGTCTCAAACTCCTGACCTCAGGTGCTTTGTCCTCCCAAAGTGCTGGGATTGCAGGCGTGAGCTGCTGCGCCCGGCCCAGGTATTGTCTTAGCTCAAGGGCTGTACTTTGGCAGGATTGCAGTGTGGTTACATGCTTGGGTTCTGGAGTCCAGCTGGCTAGTTTCATAACTTGTGAATCATTTTTGACCCTCTGTTTCCTCATCTGTAGAGTGGTAAGAGTCAGCAGACTAGTCATGGCCCCCTGGGGAAAATTCACTGAGATCCCACGAGTAGTGGTTGTCTTTTGCATAGCGCCTAACACATACTAAATAAATACTTCGATTGTTATTAGCTATTGTTACCATTAGGCATTAGTCAGTTCTAATTTTCAATAGTGTTGTTGCATAGAAAGCTAGCTTTTGGCTGGGCGCGGTGGCTCATGACTGTAATCCTAGCACCTTGGGAGGCCAAGGCGGGTGAATCATGAGGTCAGGAGTTCAAGACCAGCCTGGCCAACATGGTGGAACCCCGTCTCTACTAAAGATACAAAAAGTTAGCTGGGCGTGGCGGCAGGCACCTGTAGTCCCAGCTACTTCGGAGGTGGAGTCAGGAGAATCCTTTGAAACCCGGGAGGCGGAGGTTGCAGTGAGCCAAGATGGTGCCACTGCACTCCAGCCCAGGCGACAGTGCGAGACTTCGTCTCAAAAAGAAAAAAAAAACTAGCTCTTATTTTTTTATTATTTATTTATTTTTATTTTTATTTTTATTTTTGAGATGGAGTCTTGTTCCCCAGGCTGGAGTTCAATGGTACGATCTCGGCTCACCACAACCTCCGCCTCCCGGGTTCAAACGATTCTCCTGCCTCAGCCTCCCGACTAGCATGTGCCACCATGTCCATCTGATTTTGTATTTTTAGTAGAGATGGGGTTTTTCCATGTTGGTCAGGCTGGTCTCGAACTCCCGAACTCAGGTGATCTGCCCGTCTTGGCCTCCGTAAGTGCTGGGATTACAGACGTGAGCCACTGTGCCTGGCCAGCTAGCTCTTATTTTAAATGATGCCTGTCCTCCTCTTATGGGGGTTAACATTTTCGATTTTTGCAAAATAAATGTGATAAGAGATTTATTTTTGTTGTTGTTGTTCTGTTTGCTTTTTTAAAACTTACAAGGGGGCAAAATTCAAAAATGGTCAGTAAAATGTTAGGGAAGATTTTACTGGTCCTTGAAATCCAAAAAGGAAACACTGGCCTAGGGAGAATGGGAGAGCTGGAGTTGTTCTTTGTGCCTCGAAGGTGTTTCAGCCCCAGTTCCCTTTCTTTCAGCCCTTCTCTCCCAACACAGCAAACAATAGAGGCAGCCCCTACAACATTCAAAAAGCCCTCTCCTGAAGAGGAGCTGGGAGCCTTTGAATTATTCATTGGCCCAGCTGAGCTAGCAGCTGGGGCCTGGCTCCTGTGACTCCGTCTTCTCTGTCCCCTTCAGTGCCTCGCCTAAGACTGAGATCCCTGGGGAATCTGGGGCTGACTAGTGCTTCCTGGGGCCAAGATGACTGTGCCATCCATTGTAAGCCCCCGTTTCTGCATGGGTTAGGTCTGGCCTGTGCTTATCAGCCATTCCTGGTTTTTCACAAAGCCAGGCTCTGGCAGCGCTCTCACATTTCAGCAAGGCAGCTTTATGCCATCCTAGCCCTCTGCCTTAGCCAGGTGTAAAGGGAAATTTATCCTCTTACAGGCTACTTTTTCTGTCCTCCCATGCCCCAAGCCTAGATAAAGGGGAGATAAGAGAGAGCAGCACTCAGGGCCGGTTTCACATATGCAGCTGGGGGCATGGCCAGCCTGTTTCATTAGCTTAAGCCTGCCTCTCCCCAGGTACATACATAGCTCTTGGCTGAGTCTTTGCACATGGCAGGCCTGGTCTGCCTTGCCCTCCCAGGCGCAACTTCTCATGTGGGCATCACCCTGCTAGTTCTTACCCAGTGCCAGGATTTCCTGTAAGTTTCTTATGCCGTTTGTTTCCATAGACACAGGCAAGATCCACTTCCTGGCAGGGACTCTTTTCTCAGGACTGAATGGCTGCAGATAGCCTCCGCGTTGTATTTTCCACCGGCCCTGGTGCTGGGCTATTTCTAAAAGCCAACCTGGAAGGAGCACCTTCTAACTGATCTTTGGGTTGGATAGACAGCCACCCGATTTCTTCATTGAGTAACATTTTATGTGCCAATGCTGCCCGCACCTCTGACTCCGATTCTACTTCTTGGTCCCTGTCTTCTGTGGGAAAGGTGTAGGGGGATGGGCTCTCAAACTCTGCCACCCTACAAAGCATTGCACACGATGATCTGGCATTTCCACAAAGATTGAGTTGCAAGCTGATTTACCATAGCATTGTGTATGAAATAGGTAGTGAAACAGGTGGAAATAACCCAAACATTTAACAGTGAGGAATTAAATTAATTATAATGCAGTGGCACGATGAAATGTTATTCACTTAGTAAAAGTTGTCATAAGATTATGTTTATATGTAGATGTGGAATGAGGTTCATGAGGAAAAGGAGCAGGCTGCAAAGCAGAGTGTGTCCTGCGATGAATGCATACCATTACCCCGCGCCGGGCACTGTGCACCTTCGGAGGTATTTATCATCAGCCCCATTTTTTAGACGAAGAAACTGAGAGGCTCAGAGTTAGTCACTTGCTCAAGGTCTCACAGCAGCTAAATGGTGTTTTAGCTGGGGTTTGAATCCAGGCCCACCATGCTAAACCATGTAAAACACTATGAGAAGATAACACAGAAGGGTATGTTAAAATGTTTAGTGTAGGCCAGGCACGGTGGCTCACGCTTGTAATCCCAGAACTTTGGGAGGCCGATGCAGGTGCATCACTTGAGGTCGGGAGTTTGAGACCAGCCTGACTAACATGGAGAAACCCCATCTCTACTAGAAGTACAAAAATTAGCTGGGCGTGGTGGTGTGCGCCTTTAGTCCCAGCTACTTGGGAGGCTGAGGCAGGAGAATCGCTTGAACCTGGGAGGCAAAGGTTGCAGTGAGCCGAGATTGCACCACTGCACTCCAGCCTGGGCAACAAGAGCGAAACTCTGTCTCAAAAAAAAAAAAAAAAAGTTTAGTGTATTTCTGGGTGGCAGGATTACTGGTCATTTTCATTTTCTTCTGTTTATATTTCTATTTTTTATGATGAGTAGGTATTGCATACTGAACAAAAGGCTTCCATAAAGTCTTTTTAAAAAGATGTCAGGGCTGGAGTTAGCTTCTCTATAGCAGCAGCCCATGGGTAGGCTGCCTACAGAAACCAGGTGCTAAAGCCACCCCGTCCCTGTCCCATCAGCCTAGTGTGCTTCCCTCTCTGGAAAGCCTATCATGCTCTCCTGACCCTCCTTCATATTCAGAACAGTGGGGAAGAAAGAGGGATGGGGGAGAGTTCCCAGTAGGGGCCATGCCAAGGGGTCATTGTCTGGCAGCAGTGGACTTCCCTCTGTGGCTAAGCGGGAGCCACTTGCTCTGTAGCTTGGACCCCTCTATTTTGCCTCCACAGGCCATTGAGAAACTAGTCGCTCTTCTCAACACGCTGGACAGGTGGATTGATGAGACTCCTCCAGTGGACCAGCCCTCTCGGTTTGGGAATAAGGCATACAGGACCTGGTATGCCAAACTTGATGAGGTGAGGCTGCCACAGGACAGGCCAGGGACTGGGCTGGCAGTGAGGGTGGTTCTGGCACCAGTTGGGGAAGGGCCTGCATTGTATAGCGCTTCTAGGCATATACAAATCTCAGTTTGTTAAAATGTCAATTTCACTTAGCAAAATTACAAATGAGTTTATACTCTGCTTGGTCATCTTCTGGGAAACACGACTGTGCACATACGGCCCTCTGCACTACAAGGCTGTTTATTAAGTCACTGTATTACAGCAAACTGGAAATGTTCCAAGTATCCATCTGTAGGGGATTATTTAAATAAATTAGTCCATCAATATCATGGAGTACTGTGCAGCTATAAAAAGGAATTTTTTTTATTTTTTATTTTATCTTTTTTTTTTTTTAGACGGAGTCTCGCTGTGTTGCCCAGGCTGGAGTGCAGTGGCGCAGTCTTGGCTCACTGCAAGCTCCACCTCCTGGGTTCACGCCATTCTCCTGCCTCAGCCTTCCGAGTAGCTGGGACTACAGGCACCCACCACCACGCCCGGCTAATTTTTTGTATTTTTCGTAGAGACGGGGTTTCACCGTGTTAGCCAGGATGGTCTTGATCTCCTGACCTTGTGATCCGCCCATCTCGGCCTCCCAAAGTGCTGGGATTACAGGTGTGAGCCACCACGCTCGGCCCCAAAAAGGAATTTTTTTCATAGCTGGGCACGGTGGCTCATACATGTAATCTCAGAATTCGGGGAGGTTAAGGCGGGAGGATCACTTGAGCCCAGGAGTTTGTGAGTAGGTTGGGCAACATAGCAAGACCCCGTTACTGCAAAAAATAAGAAATGGTGGTGCACACCTTTGGTCCCAGCTGCTTGGGTGGCTGAAGCAGGAGAATGACTTGAGCTCTGGAGTTTGAGGCTGCAGTGAGCTATGATGGAGCCATTGCACACCCACTTGGAATGCTAGCTGCATACTCCATGGTGTGGATGGACTAGTCTATTGAACTGATCCTCTACTGATGTTTTTATTTTTGAATCTTACGAAGGTGTTACCTATTCAAAGCAAACAAAAATAAAAATGCAGGATCTCAGACCCTGTCTAGAAAAGCAGAGTCTACAGGTCTGGGTAGGGACTGGGAACCTGGATTTTTACTAGCTTTCCAGGAGATGGCTCATGCCAGTTGTCTACAACTGAGCTTAAGGAAATTTGGGTCCTAATTGCTCTGGCCCAATATTTTCACATAGAGCAGAGGGGAGGACTCAGGACCCAGTGAAGTGCTGTTCCCAAGAGACGCCCGGGCCTGCCTCTGGACTCTTAAGATGGTACATGATCTTTTTTTTTTTTTTTTCCTGTTGTTCAGGCTGGAGTGCAGTGGCATGATCTCAGCTCCCTGCAGCCTTGACCTCCTGGGCTCAAGCAATCGTCCTGCCTCAGCCTCCCAAGTTGCTGGGACTACAGCATGCGCCACCATGCTTGGCTAATTTTTGTGTTTTTAGTAGAGACGGGGTTTCATCATGTTGGCCAGGCTGATCTCGAAATCCTGGCCTCAGGTGATCCGCCCACCTTGGCCTCCTAAAGTGTTGGAATTACAGGTGTGAGCCACTGCTCCCAGCCTTAAGTTATATCTTAAAGCTGACAAATCATAGCTTTACAGCTTGATGGATTTTTACATGTTTTTACTCATGGACTCACCACTCATGCCAAGTTTTTTACCCATGGATTCACCACTCATGTCAAGCAATAGAACATTCTAGCTGGAGTGCTCCCCTTCCCAATTGATATCGCCCAGATTATTCTGATTTCTATTCCATAAATTGATTTTTTTCCATGTTTCTGAACTTCGTATAACTCTCTGGCTTCTTTTGCTCAATGTCATGTCTGAGATTCATCCATGTTTTCATGTCTAGCTATAGGTCTTTTTCTTTGCTGTGTAGTATTCTATTGTATGAATATACCACAATTTATTCATTTCACTGTTGATGGACATTTCCATTGCATTTCCACCTTTTGGCTACTCTAAACAGTGCTGTTGTGAACATTCTTCTGCACGTCTTTTGATGGCACATGACACCAGCTCTTGCTGACCTGAGAGTGTGAAGGAAGGTGGCCTGTGTGGGAATCATAGCACTGACCTTCCAGAGTCTCTGTGGGGCTCCAGTGAGTTACCACATGGGAGGGTTGAGGCTTTTTTCCAGATTCCTCCTGTTTTGCCCCTAGACTCCTGTGCCCTGGAAAAATCAGTTGATGATAAGTCGCCTGGGTAGTCTTCTGCTGTGGAAGAATAAATGCTGTCCCTCCCCTTCCTTCTGTGGCCTGTCAGAACAGGAACCAAGCTGGCCTGGCAAGGCAGTGTGGGCCCCCAGTCAGGTGCTGCCCCTGGGCACCTGCCCACTGGGATGCTGCTTAATATGCTGCCACCACTTTGTGTCTCTTGTGTTACCAGGAAGCAGAAAACTTGGTGGCCACAGTGGTCCCTACCCATCTGGCAGCTGCTGTGCCTGAGGTGGCTGTTTACCTAAAGGAGTCAGTGGGGAACTCCACGCGCATTGACTACGGCACAGGTATCTGCTGCTTGTGGGGCTCTGTACTTATCTAGCTTCACTGCTTTCTGTTTTGGGCTTCAGGTGGTCTCTGGGCCCTCTGAGCAAGTGAGAGCAATCAAGAATTCGCCAAGCACCTGCAACCTATTGGGGCCAGCTGGGGTTAGGGTGGCTTCACCGGCAGGGAGGGCGTAGGCATGCAGGGAGGCCCGGATGCTGCAGCTCTGCTGTGGTCCACCAGGGGGAGCTGATGCCCCGTGCATGGTGCTTGCGCAGCGCTGCTTTCTGTTCTTGTGAAAATGGTCTCTGAGCTCCTCATCATCACCAAAATAATTATTAATTGAGCACTTACTGTGTGTCAAGGCAGCAGCTTACTGAAGCTTTGAGAAATGGGAACGCTTCTTGGTGGCCTTTGCAGTGTCGTGGCACACCCTCTCCCTTGAACCCCTTGTCTCTTAGCCACATTCTCTGTGCTATTGGGCTGTTTGGATCTGTGGTCCATGTAAGCCAAGGGACCTGGACTTTGAGGAGAGGGAGTGTGTGGACACTTTAAAAGGGAAGTGTAGACAGGTGCAGTGGTGCGTGCCTGTAATCCTAGCACTTTTGGAGGCTGAGGGGGAGGATTGCCTGAGCTCAGGAGTTTAAGACCAGCCTAGGCAACGTAGCAAGACTCCATCTCTTTTTTAAAAATTTATTTTAAGTTATTTTTATTTATATATTTATTTTTTTGAGACAGGGTCTTGCTTTGTCACCCGGGCTGCAGTGCAGTGATGTGATCTTGGCCCACTGCAGCCTTGACCTCCCGGGCCCAAGTGATCCTCTCACCTCTGCATCTCCCCACTCCCCAGTACCTGGGACTACAGGTGTGCACCACCAGCCTGGCAATTTATTTATTTATTTGAGACAGAGTCTCACTCTGTTGCCCAGGCTGGAGTGCAGTGGCATGATCTTGGCTCACTGCAACCTCCACCTCCTGGGTTCAAGCGATTATTCTGCTGGGACTATAGGCACACACCACCATACCTGGCTAATTTTAGTGTTTTTGGTAGAGACAGGGTTTCACCATGTTGGCCAGGCTGGTCTCGAACTCCTGACCTCTGGTGAGGTCACTTCTCCACCCACCTTGGCCTCCCAAAGTGCTGGGACTGGGATTACAGGCGTGAGCCACTGCGCCCAGCTGATTGTTTTGTATTTTTTGTAGAGATGGGGTTTTGCCATGTTGCCTGGGCTGGTCTTGAACTCCTGAGCTCAAGCTGTTCTCCCACCTCAGCCTCCCAAAGTGCTCAGATTACAGGTGCAAGCCACCATGCTGAGACCCCATCTCTCAAAAATATAAAAGGGAGGTGTTCTCTAGGTCAGGGCATGGCCTGTGGAGCCACCATGCTGAGACCCCATCTCTCAAAAATATAGAAGGGAGGCATTCTCTGTGTCAGGGCACGGCCTGTCGAGCCACCATGCTGAGACCCCATCTCTCAAAAATAGAGAAGGGAGGCGTTCTCTAGGTCAGGGCCTGGCCTGTGCAGCTAAGGAGGACCTCTGCTTTGGTGAGGGCCCGCCTTCCTTCCCTGAGGCAGGCAGATGGGGCACCGCTCAGCCCTCCCCTTGTCTGGGGAATGTGATCCACAGGAGGGAGCCCCAGCCACAGAGGCAGGCCCTGGAGAAGGGCCCTCTTGGACCGGGTGGGGCTTTGACTAAGACCAGCAGGAAAAGATCAAAGAGGGAAGACTGGCCAGGTCAGCAGGGGTTGGTGCCCCAGCTGCATGTGAACCCCTGAACAATGGGAGCCTGGGCCCTGTCTGGTCATAATTGGAAACTGTGGCAGGGGAAGGAAACTGAGCTCACAAGCTTCCAGGCCCTGGAGGGGTCTTCGTCCTCCAGAGACAGGACAGAAGTATTCTCTGACACATTCTCTTCTCACCTCCCTCCAGATAGGTTTTGTGTGACATTGTGAACAATGGGATTCAATCACAGTCCAGTGAGTTGTTCCTACAGTGCAGACCATTCCTGTTTGATATGACTGGGAAAGGAAGGAGGATACTTTTTCACCCTGTAATCTGATCATGTGTTCCCTGCTTAGAAGCCTGCAGTGGCTCCCTATTGCTCTTAGGGTAAAGTCTGAGCTCTTTCCTATGGCCAAAAGGCCCATGTGACCTGTAGCCTCCTGTCATTACACGTTCTCCCTTGCTCTCACTGCCTTCGACATACTGGCCTCCTTAGTGTTCCTCAAACAGATCAAACTTTTTCTTGCCTCAAGGCCTGTGCACATGCTATTCCTTCTGGCTAGAATGCATTTCTTGCTTCCCTCACTCCCTTTGCCTTGCCAGCTCACATCTTTCAGATTTCAGATTAGATGTTACTTCCTTAGGGGAAACCTTGAACCCTTACGTCAGGGTCCTTCTGTGATATCCTCCAGTTAGTACCCTGTCTTTCTCCTTCAGAGCTGGAATCATAGTAGTGACTGTATATTTATAATGTCTGTTGTCCCTGATAGATCATAAACTTTCTGAGGGCAAGGACTTACTTGTCACTGTCTCCTAGTGCGTAACATGGACAGTGACTGCTTACATAGTAGGTGCTCAGTAAATATGGTGGAATTGCTGAGTGAGTTAAACCTACGTAATGAAATGTAAATGTCCAGCCCGGGTCTTTTACGAGTGGAATTATAGTACTGGTAGTTCTTTTTTTTTTTTTTTTTTTTTTTTTTTTGAGACAGTCTCACTTTGTCACCCAGGCTGGAGTGCAGTGGCCTTATCATGGCTCACTGCAGCCTCAACCTCCTGGGCTCAGGAGATCCTCCATCTCAGCCTCCTGAGTAGTTGGGACCACAGGCACATGCCACCATGTCTGGCTAATTTTTGTATTTTTTGTAGAGACAGGGTTTTGCCATGTTGGCCAGGCTGATCTCAAACTCCTGAGCTCAAGCAAGCTGCCTGCCTCAGCCTCCTGAAGTGCTGGGATTACAGGCATGAGCCACCATGCACGGCCAGTACTGGTATTATAGTTCTTGAAAGGAAAGGGCCTAGCAAGTCTTTCTGAATGGGGAAGAGGTCTCATTGTCTCCATGTTGACCACCCTCCTCAGAGGGGCACTTATCAATGATTCGGATTCTGGGAGACTAAAACAATCCCAGTCCTTTACCTGGACTACTGTCAACGCTGGTTGTTTTTCTCCTCCAGGGCATGAGGCAGCCTTCGCTGCTTTCCTCTGCTGTCTCTGCAAGATTGGGGTGCTCCGGGTGGATGACCAAATAGCTATTGTCTTCAAGGTGTTCAATCGGTGAGAGAAAGGACAGGAGGGTTGGAGGAGGGGGCGTGAGGGGCCATCTGTTTCCTCCTCAAACTGGGAAATGGGGTGCTCTAGGGTTCTCCTGAGTAGCTCATGGTTCTCTTGTCCTGTCCTAATCAAGCTCTGGCTGTGGATGGAGTGTCCAAGCCTTTTTTCCAACAGGTTCAAATTAACCTCCAAGTAAAAGCAAGTGAAAGAATTGTCACATAGGCCGGGCGCGGTGGCTCACGCCTGTAATCCCAGGACTTTGGGAGGCCCAGGCAGGCGGATCACGAGGTCAGGTGTTCGACACCAGCCTGGCCAACATGATGAAACCCCGTCTCTACTAAAAATACAAGAATTAGCTGGGCGTGGTGGCACTCGCCTGTAATTCCAGCTACTCAGGAGGCTGAGGCAGAAGAATTGCTTGAACCCAGGAGGCGGAGGTTGCAGTGAGCTGAGATCGTGCCACTGTACTCCAGCCTGGGTGACAGAGTGAGACTCTGTCTTAAAAAAAAAAAGAATTGTCACATAATGTCTGCCAGTATTGACACAGTGTTGACCATATGGAGGAAGAATTCTAAGCACTTTATGTATAACTCATTAATTCTAACAACAACCCTATGAAATAGCAACTGTTATTTCCATTTTACATATGAGGAAACTGAGGCACAGAGATATCCGGTGTCTTCACTGGGTTCACGCCAGCTGAACCCAGGTAGTCAGACTCTGACCTGCTGCCCCACACCACCCAAGCCAGTCGCTGGGCAGCACTGATGTGGATCAGTTACCCAGAGCTCTTAAAATCCCCATTGCGGGCCCCAGTCTAGCAGTGCTGCTGCAGCAGGCCTGTGACGGAGCCCAGGAGCAGTGCTCGATGCTTCACAGGTGGTTGATATGCAGCCTCTGATAATATAGAAGGTTGGAACCAGAAGAACCTAGGAGATAACCTGCTGGGACTTGTGTTAGCTTTCAGACAGGCCAACTGAGGCTGGAGAGGCTGAGGCCCTGCCCAGGGTTTTACAAGTTGTCAGGAGTTGATGGCACCAAAACCCACCTTCCTAATCAGTGATTTTTTATTTATTTATTTGTTTATTTTTTTTGAGACAGGGTCTTGCTCTGTCGCCCAGGCTGGAGTGCAGTGGAGAGATCTCGGCTCACTGCAAGCTCTGCCTCCTGGGTTCATGCCATTCTCCTGCCTCAGCCTCCAGAGTAGCTGGGACCACAGGCGCCCACCACCACACCTGGCTGATTTTTTGGATTTTTAGTAGAGACGGGGTTTCACCGTGTTGGCCAGGATGGTCTCGATCTCCTGACCTTGTGATCCGCCTGCCTCGGCCTCCCAAAGTGCTGGGATTACAGGCGTGAGCCACCGTGCCCGGGCCCTTAATCAGTGATTTTTATGCCTTTCCTGAGCCAAAAGATGGCTGAGTGTTTGTTGGGGGAAATAAAGCTACATTATTGAAATTGAGACCAGTTAACACTCTTCAGTGGTTATTTTGGGGTCTCCTTGTGCTCCCAGTGGCCGAAAGGGTGAGACTGTCTTTTTACTTTTTGCTACCTTCCCTTTCCCTGTCCTCCTGTGCAGGTACCTTGAGGTTATGCGGAAACTCCAGAAAACATACAGGATGGAGCCAGCCGGCAGCCAGGGAGTGTGGGGTCTGGATGACTTCCAGTTTCTGCCCTTCATCTGGGGCAGTTCGCAGCTGATAGGTACTAGAGCGGGAGGTGCCTATCCCTCCACCCCCAACCAAGGCTGCGTTCTGTGGCCCTCCCCTGCCCCTCCTGCGCTCCCTCCTTCCCTTCTTCCTGCCCAGGGCAGACAGTGACAGCTTGGAAAGCAGGGCATTAGACCAGCTATTGAGGGAGGCTGTTTACTGTCGACCTTCTGCTGTGAGAGCCCGTGTGGTGGGCTGGAGGAGGCGGAGGCCAAGCGCCACCAAGATAATGGGAAGTGACATGGGCTGGAGCAAGGGCGCACGCCTGGTGCATAATGGACTGGTGTGAAATGCGCCCCAGCTCCTGGCAGCAGCTGTGGGGTTTTATGTTGAAAATGAGGGACCCTTTTGATTTGGTGACCAGTGTCATCCACTGTTATTATCGAGCTGTGTGCAAAGGGGCCCGTTAGGGAGCAGCCGCCAAGTGCTGGGTGGTGGGCCTGCTTCCTGTGGGGCTCAGAGAGGCCTGCTCTGGTGACTCCCCAACTCTTGAAGCTAGTTTTCAGGATGGGCGTAGGTGATCATCTCTATTTTGATGAAGAATGAACTGCCTACAGACTGATATTCATAAATGACCATTAGTTGTGGCCTCGGGTGCATTGCCTCCCCGAATCTTCTCAGTGACACTGCGAAGGGTCTGCCAGCATGAAGCCGGCTCTGCTGACTGGCACCTGCACCAGGCACCATACTGAGTGCTGTAGGTGTGGTAATTGTTGTCATGGCCCCTAGGAGGAGGTGCTCTTCTTGTCCCCAGTGTCCAGGTGAGGAAACTGAACCTTGGCAGGCTGAAGTCATGCGTCCAACGCCATGCAGCTAGAGCTTAGCACATTAGAATACACAAACCCAGAGTTACTTATTGCTCCTTCAAGGTGAGGTGTTGAGGGCACCACGGGCAGGACTGAGGCCCCTGGGGGGGTGTGACTGCTGGGCCGGGTTGCCCAGGTAGTCGTGGGGCCTGGTTCTGAATGCTGGGGCCCATTCCTTTTCCCAGACCACCCATACCTGGAGCCCAGACACTTTGTGGATGAGAAGGCCGTGAATGAGAACCACAAGGACTACATGTTCCTGGAGTGTATCCTGTTTATTACCGAGGTGAGGAGGAGGGGTGAGAGAGAAGCCCATGGCTGCCTCCAGGCTCAGATGAACCAAGGCTGGTGGCCTTACAGTGGATCAGAAGAGCCAGAGCTGCTGCCCAAAATGGCAGGGCCGGCCGGAGCGGGTTATTGAAAAGGAAGCACCACTGGGCCTCTTCCGAAAGAGCCGCTGCTGACTGTCAGGTCCTCCGCCCAGTTCTCCTTCAGTTTCTCCTGAACACCACAGGAGTCTTGAGATGAGGGTCTAAGACTTGGTCACTAACTGGCCTTGGTGACTGCTGCAGCAGGTCTGAAAGGGTCGGGGCGGGCGGAGGTTTGTGGGGGAGGGTCAGCATCTTTCGGTGGGGCCCCACAAGGGTCTGTAGAACCATGTGCTGTGGATGTGTAAAATGAAACCACCAGAGGAGATGGAGCGAACTTCTGGTGCAGACAGCTTTTCTGTCGAAGGGACACGTCTCTGTCAGTGCCTGAGGACGTGGGCCCGAGCAAAGTGCTGGAGTGGGAGTGCGCAGGCCTGGCCTGTGGTGGCAGTCACTGGATAGCCAGCCCCACGGCTGGGTTCTGGAACTGGAAGTTATTGTCTCACCAAGGCAGGATTCCTTGCAGTGGGCCCTGGACCACTTGTGCGAGATCTCCTAGTGTGTTTGTTAAAACGCACATTCCTGGGCCCTCCATCCCAGCTTATTGCATCAGAATCTTAGGGGACAAGAGCCAGGAACCTGCATCTAAACACACGTGCCAGGCGACTGCACAGGAAAGCTGGGGACCCTCTGCTCTCTGGACCTCTCTTGAGGGAGGTGTTAGGACTTCTCATCCTCTCTGCCATCCCCATGCCCCAGTTTCCAAAGGGCGCCCTCGCTCAGCTATCTGGAGAGGGTTTGAGAGTTCTATCCCTCCTCAGTCCCTTTCCCGACACCAGCACGGATGTCTGCTGCCTCAGTGAGGTTCCTAGCAGGCCTGTGGATGCTGGCCACGGGGGCTGCTCTCCGTCCGGGCTGTGTATTCTGAGCCCCCGACGAGGTGGAGAAAGCTGGGTTATAACCAGCAGCCTTGGCTCCAGGCTCTTCCTGGTCAACATTCGGCTCAGGCTTCTGCCAAACTCCAGAGGCCAGAGGGGAATGACACATTTTTTCCAAGTCAGCAAATGGAGCCGGGACTGACGGCTGGGCGGCCACCACTTCATTCCCGGAGATCTGCTGCCCTCAGCAGTGTGGCAGGCCCAAGGTCGGGAGGACTTGGGGGCAGCCTGGCTCACTGCCTTGAAAGCCAGTCACGCGCTGCTCTCTGTGGAGTGGAATGTGGGGGTCTGCGGAGCCCTGGGGGACCTCAGGATAAGCTGGAGGAGCAGGGTGGGAAGAAGGGTGCAGATGCCACACTGAGTTCTTGGGTGTGGCTGAAAGGCTGAGCTGTTTGGGCTCCCCCGGCGGCTGGCCAGGCCTCTGGGTCCCTGTCGGTATTCTAACTAGGAGGCATGCCAGGCCTGGCCTCCAGGATTTTGGGAATTGATTCCATGGTAAAATTTTGTCTTTAGTTGGTTGGTTGATTTTGTTGGTATAAACACCCCAAAAGCTTTTCCAAAGTTTGGGACCCAGTTCCTCCAGTAGAGGAAATCTCAAAGTAGCCACTAGGTGGCAGGAGAGGCACACTGAACTTGGAGAGGGTTTGGTGACATTTATTTGAGGCAGCAGAAGGAACAGGGAGGGGAGGGCGTGCCTAGAGTTGTTGGCTGTTCCGCACCTTCTCCACAGGTCCGGGTTTTCACTTTGGGTCTAGGCTCTTGGGCATGGTGTTCAACAGTAGACCCTAGGAGGAGTGTGCCCAGGAGCCGGGGTGGCTGCAGCAAGGGCCCATCTTGCCACGTGGCCGCTGGTTGCAGCACACGTTGTGTTGGTTCTCCAGAGCGCCCACCCTCTTCCACCTCGGAGCAGTGAGCAGCATTTTGCAGTCCCTAGTTGGTGAGTGGCCTGGCCTAGCTCACTGGGGACCTGGAGGCTTGCATGGAGTTCTGTACGCCTTGCTTGGGAAGGAGGCAGTGTTTCCTCTGGAGACCCTGGATTCACCATGGTGCTCTTTTAACTGGGAGATTAACTAAAACACCGAGAACTTGGGAGTGGAATCAGGCAGCCCTTTCAGGGTCTCATGCCAAGACTGCCCTGATACCCGTGGGCATCCTAGGTGAGGGACCCCACCTTGCAGGGCCTCTACAGCCTCTGTAAATGCAGCCCTGGCGCCTTTAAGAGCCCAGGGCAGGCAGGAAAAGAATTTCAGTTTCAATCTGGCTTCTAAATTTGGAGTTTTGGGAAGGGAGGGATCAGATTTCAGCTGGAAGGGAAGGAGCTGACAGGAAGGCGCTGTGCAGAGCCTCCCCACCCCCGCCCATCCCCCCAGTTACTGACAGAGGAGCCATTTACAAAAGGCCGATTCTCTGGGGAGTGGAGAGGCAGGAACGCAGCGTCTGTGAGTAATTTCCTGCTCAATATGGCTGCTCTGACTCACACGATTCCCCTGGGGTCACTGCGGGCTGCAGCTCGCTCGCTCATTCTGGTTCTTTCTCTTCTCCCTTTGTGGCTAGAATGAGCTAATTTTTTCTTTGTCTTCCAGCCCCGATTCCTTTTTCTCCCACTCGTCTGTTTTCCTTTGCCAGAGTTACAGGCAAAGGACTGTAACCTCCCTGAAGGACTTAGGGAGACCCTGGGGTACTGAAGGCCTGGGGGCAGCCTGCAGCCCCTCCAAAGAAACTACCTCTCTGGCCTTTCTGTGTGTAGGGGCCCAGGGCCACTGGAGCTCCAGGACATGGGCCTAGCCCTGGCTCTGCCAGAGGCCTTTTGAGGATCTGTTCTTTGGCCCTGGTAGGCGAGGCTGGCCAGGAGGCAGGGGCTCTTGTCTTCCAGTGCCCATCTGCCTGCCTTTGCCTCGGAGCCCTTGCCGGGCAGGCCCCTGGCAGACAAAGCCGACAAAGCCGACAGGGTGCCTCCTGGTTGCTTGCTCAGAGGGCCCTGTCCAGAGAGTGAAACTGGTTACACAGCTCCATGCTCCCTGAGCTTTCCTGGGCCTGGAAGTGTGCACAGGGCTGGAGCCTGCAGACTGGGGAAGGGGTGGGGTAGGGTGGGGAGGTGGGGGAGGGGCTGGGGGTGGAGTGTGGTTGAGCAGGGCAGTTGAAACAAAGCTCCCCAGAGGTGAGGCCCCTGTAGGCTCGGGGTGCCTGGCTGCCCTCCTGGAGGAGAGAGCCTGGGGTGATTCTGAGTGAAGCGAGTGGTCCAAGACAAGGCCCCCAGGGACCAGAGTGGGCTTTGTCTCTGTTGGGTGCCTCGGGCTCTTGCCTGGCTGTGGTGGAGCCTGGGAGAGAAGAGGAGGGGAGGGAGGAGCCTGTTGTCCTTGCTCCTGAACATGGGTGTTTGGATGGGCTTTTTGGGAACCTGGGCCAGGGGAGGGAAATGAGGGGGATAAAATGACAGGTTTTTTTTGACTTAAATCTTAAAAGTTTTGTCACAGTTGCCCTTACTAGAGAAGTAAGAGGCCTGCCAGGAGTGGGTCACCAGGTGGCAGCCCATGGCTCAAGAGTGGGGGCTCCTGAGGGCTCTTGTGGTGAACTGATGCCCCTTTTTGGAGAGCGTTTCTGGCTTATCTTTTCTCCTTCAAAAAATAACCCAGTCTCCCCTGACACCCGCATGTTTCTAGAACCTTCCAAGTCTCTGTTTCTTTGCCAGATTCAGCCTCTTTGCAGAGTCTTCCTTCTGCAGCATGGGTCTGGGGTACAGAGCCCTGTTCCCCTGTAAATGCTGCCTATGAGCTGGGGGGCTGTGTCGAGGGGAATTATGAACTGCTTGGTTAATAAATACAAATGTGCTGGACTTGCGGTGTCAGGGGGATATGCTCAGGCACACAGGCGTCCCTCTGTGGTTTCTGACGTCATGGGAACTTCATGCTGGCTGCAGAATCTTTCTCTTCCGTCCTGGAGGGTCAGACTCTTTGGCAAGAGGGAGGACCAGGAATGGAGCCGTCCTTGTGCCTGCCTCTTTCAGCTGCTGTGGCGGCCACCCCTTCCCCACCTCCTGGCCAGGCCAGGCTGGCTGCTGCTTCAGGCACCCCTGCCTCCCATCGGCCCTCTCTTCCCTGCCTGCATGGCAGGCAGAGGGCTGTCGGATACCTGGGTTTGGTCATACCCACCTTGGTCCTCTTGCAAATTGACCCTTTCCTCATCTCTTCTAGCTCTGCTGGTGGCAGGTGCAGACCACGTGTCCTGTGGGGGGGCCTGGGGGAGAGGGGGTGGGCCTGGAGGGGTGGGGCCTAGCTGCTGCTGCTATTTATCTGAACCCAAGTGAATCCCTGTGCTGGAGAGGCGCTCTGAGGCTCCTGGGGAGTCGGTGGGAACGACACCAGAAGCTCAGGTGGAGATCTTATCTTCCTGAGGCTGCTGGATTTGGTGGGCGATAGGAATCAGGCCCCCTTTTTTTGGCTGTGGGAGAAAGAGGGGTGACTGCGGGTAGGTGGGCAAGGAATGTTATATTTTCCTAGCAGGCCTTGAGGGCCAAAGGGGAACCTTGTCTCTGGCACTTGCATGTGCCTGTTTGTATGTTTGCCCCTCAGGCAGATGCTATAGCTTGGTCCCCAAGTGTCTGCGCGTGCATTGTGTGCGTGTGCGTTTGTGTGTGTGTGTGTGTGCATGCATGGGTGTGACTTTGCTGCAGGGGAGGAGGGATGAGCTCCCAGCCAGAACCTGTCTCTTCAGCTTGTGGCTTCTCTTTTTCAGATGAAGACTGGCCCATTTGCAGAGCACTCCAACCAGCTGTGGAACATCAGCGCCGTCCCTTCCTGGTCCAAAGTGAACCAGGGTCTCATCCGCATGTATAAGGCCGAGGTGAGTGGGGGCTGGCCAGTGTGCCCGTCCCTGCTGCCGCACTTGGTCCTGGGCTGGGGACAAAGCAAAAGATGTGGAACCTGGGGCTCCTGCTTCCTCCTACCCCACTGTTTTGCTCTGAATCTTAGGCCAGCCCCTCTGACACTTGGGGCCTCGGAATCTCCCATCTGGGGCATGGGCAGTCAGAGAAGCACCAGCCACCCCAGCCCCGAAAAGCTGCAGTCCAGCTCTGTCCTGATGAGCTTGGAGGCTGAGGCAAGGACCTGCTGCATGGGGAGTGGGGGCGATGGGGGCCTCCCTTCTCCTTTATCAAGTGGCCAAAGGCTCCTCAAAGCTCGGGCAGTCTGAGTCTGGCTCTCCCATGGCATACCTGGGAAGGGTCTTACCCTTTGGAGGCATCTCCAAAGTGCTGCCTTCAAATGTTAGTGTGTATGATCACTGAGTGGTGGGAGGTCTGAGGGTAGGCCGAGAATTGGCATTTTTATGGACCGCTTCAGGGATTTTGATGCAAATGGTTTTCCCTGCTCTCAAATCAGATGCTGAGGAGAGGAGAGCTGAGGCTTCCTGGAGCTCCCCCTGCTGGCAGGCAGCCGAGGGTGTCTCCTGCCCTCTTGGCACTGTTCTCCCAGCCAAGGAGGTGGCCTTTTCTCTCTTCCAAGTGGGGAGGAGACATTTTATTTCTACTCTGTCCCTTCTGCTAGCTCCTCCCACTTCCTGGGAAGACTAATTCTAGAACTGCTTGACCTTGGCCAGGGAAGGGCTGGATGTGAAGTTCCACACCTGGAGTGATGGGTCCTTAAAGTCCCTTCTTTCTGTTCTCAGGCTGGCCCTTGTGACTAGTTCATGGCCTCAGACACTGTACTGTGGGCACCATCTCTTGACTCCTGGCCGGCCTTCTCTTCTGGGAAGGGGCTGCTCCAGGTCTTCATTGGACCCAGAGCTTCCTGGATCCCATCAGCAGAGGCGGGACAACGGGGAAGGGTGCCAGAGGCCAGCGGGGTGGGGGAGCACAGATGCTTCCAGTTGGCTTGGCTCCCTGCACTTGGTCCTGAAGGGGTTAATGAGGCTTGAACTGAACAGACCGGGCCCTCACTCCCTTCCGCCCCCTCCCCCTTTGGTCCCCTTCCTCTGGACCTCACATCCTGTGTTTAGGTTCCAGCCCACATACCTCTCTAATCTGAGAGGCCTGAGAGCCCGTTGGCTGGAGCTGCCTAGGTTCCTTCCGGCTGCAGCTGGCCACCCCCGGCTCTCCACTCCGACTCTGCCCTGGGTCACTGCCCTCTGGTGTCCTGATGTTCCTGACCCCACCCCCGCCTGTCCCACAGTGGGGGCTGCTGGGGAACTCTCACTCTGCTGTGCCCCGCCTCCAGGGTGTCTGAGCATGTGAGAGGTGCACATCGCCCACCAGCCACCTCCCAACCCCAACCCTTGTGTGCCAAAGAGAGGACTCTGGCTGCCTTCTCTGCTTGGTACCTGAAGTACTGTCTTCTCTACAAGCCTCTTAATTCAAGTGACTCTAAACTTCTCTCGACTCAGGCTCTAAGGCCCAAAGGATAGGGCAAGAGACCCTGTCCCCTTCTCTCACCTGCCCTTCCAGAGACAAAAGAACTCCAGGCTGCCAGAGGATGAGGGAGGAGCATATTCGGATTGAAAATGGTGATGGTGTGGCAGGAACACAGGGACTGTCCACTCTGCACAGGCTGTCGGGGTCTCCGTGGGGGCTGAGCACAGGGTGGCAAACACAAAGAGGACACTGAAAATGACCAACTCAGGATGGGGGAGCTCTCTAGTAATCTGAAAAAGGGAGATTCTAGCCCTAGTTGAGGCCGGCGCTGTGTGGGGAAGGGGACAGGCTCCTGTATAGGGTGACGCTGGAACTCCCTGACTTTAAGATCACCAAGTCAGGCCGGGCGTGGTGGCTCACGCCTGTAATCCCAGCACTTTGGGAGGCCGAGGTGGGCGGATCACGAGGTCAGGAGATCGAGACCATCCTGGCTAACACAGTGAAACCCCGTCTCTACTAAAAATATAAAAAAATTAGCCGGGCGTGGTGGCGGGTGCCTGTAGTCCCAGCTACTCGGGAGGCAGAGGCAGGAGAATGGCGTGAGTCCGGGCGGTGGAGCTTGCAGTGAGCTGAGATGGTGCCACTGCACTCCAGCCTGGGCGACAGAGCGAGACTCTCTCAAAAAAAAAAAAAAAAAAAGATCACCAAGTCTTTGCCTGTAATCCCAGCAATTTGGGAGGCTGAGGTGGGTGGATCACTTGAGGCCAGGAGTTCGAGACCAACCTGGGCAACATGAGGAAACCCCGTCTCTACTAAAAATATAAAAATTAGCTGGGTGTGGTGGCTCATGCCTGTGGTCCCAGCTACTTGGGAGGCTGAGACGGGAGAATCGCTTGAACCTGGTAGGCGGAGGTTGCAGTGAATTGAGATCACACCACTGCACTCCAGCCTGGGCAACAGTGTGAGACTCCGTCTCAAAGAAAAAAATCACTGGTTGGGTGCGGTGGCTCATGCCTATAATCCCAGCACTTTGGGAGGCCAAGGCAGGTAGATCACCTGAGGTCAGGAGTTCATGACCAGCCTGGCCAACACGGTGAAACACTGTGTCTACTAAAAATACAAAAATTAGCCTGGCATCGTGGTGCGCACCTGTAATTCCAGCTACTCAGGAGGCTGAGGCAGGACAGTCACTTGAATTTGGGAGGTGGAGGTTGCAGTGAGCCGAGATCATGCCACTGCACTCCAGCCTGGGCAACAGCGAGACTCCATCTCAGGAAAAAAAAAAAAAAAGATCACCAAGTCTTTGCAGTGTTCAACACTCATTGACAACTTACTAGCAACTAGCCCTTAGTCCTTGGTCCCGAAGGGCCCATGGGCTGGCATGTTGCCTACACAGAGGTCCAAGGAGAGGGCTTGTTTTCTCAGGCCAGTTCTTAGCCCCTAAGGAGGCCCTCCAAGGCCTGCCAGTCTTGCAGTCCAGGGGTGGGTAGGAAGGCTGGGTCTCCAGTCAGAACTGGTTGATTGAGGGGAGTCAGCCTCCTGGGCTGCCACAGAAGTCTGACCAGCCTGGCAGTAGGTGGCCTCAGGATTTGGGTCTAACTCTGCTCTGTCCCAGCCTTTCTGACCGAAGAACCAAGTGCTCTCAGGGGCCTTGTGTGGTTGCGGGGCGGCGGGGGGGAGGGTCTGTCTTTCCTCTGGGCCATGGCTGTGTGGGTGCTGCCTTCAGAAGGACCTTGTCAGGACCCAGGGAGTCCCTTCCCCAGCTTGAATCACCTCTGGCTGGAAGGTCAGGGGGCAGTCTGAAGCCGCTGCTCCGCCCAGGTACATGGGAGGGCCTTGCTGGGAGAAAGGCTGGGCTGGAGGCTCCTCCTGCCCTGGAGCCTTAGGCTTCCTTGGCCCAGCTCCTGTGGCTCTGAGGGGGCTGGCTCTGGGGTCCTGTGGGCAGAATGGGAAGAACCCCTGCCTCCACCCCTTCTCGCCTTGCAACTTCTTCTATGGGAGCTAGAGGGAGGTTGACCTTTGACCCCTTCTGGAATTCCAGGGCCCTTGGGGGGTGGGGGGGCTCTTATGACCACTTCTGGGATGACATAAGCACCATGGCAGCTGCCTTGGCCTCTGGCCTGGATCTGCGGCTGCTCCCCCTCCCGCCCAGGGACCACCTCCCGCTCCCTGCTCCCGCATTCTGTGTCTCAGGCCCAGGATCCTGGCTGTGGCCAGGGCTCTGCTCCCCACCCCACCATGAGCTTGGTTTCCATCCTTCTTTCCCTCCCCTCCTGGCGCCTCTTTGGCCCACTCGTCACCCTGGTGCTTCTCCCTCTTAGGTTCCACAGCTGATTTTTGAGGAGAGGGAACCTGGGCCAGTCATAGCACCCGTTTGTCTCTAAGTTAGTTGGAGGTTAAGATCACAGCCACAGAGTGAGGCTCTTACTCTCTCTGAGGCCATAAGTCTTGTTCCACCCCAGCCAGGAGGTGCCTAACATACTCTGTTTTCTGTGGCCAAAGGTGTGGGAGGAGGCCCTGGTCAGTCTTGGCAGATCCAACCCTCGCATGCCCAGAACGGCTCCTGTGAGAGCTAGTGTCCAGGTGTGGCAGGCATGGGGGTGCTGTTGCGGGAGCTGCAGCTGGAAGCTGGGGTTGGCTGCCTGTGGGCCAGGCCAGCTTCTGTGATAGGCCCTGTCACTTGCTCTCCAGCTCTGCTCCTCTGCTAGGAGCCCGGGCTGGGCTGGGCTCAGGGAGTCGGGCCTCCCCCGTGCTCAGCCATTCCCCTGTTCAGCGCTCTTTTTCCCCTGCCCCCCACACAGGCTGCTGGGAATTGCCCAGGGGTGGGGGGAACTCAGTGTCAGCTGGTTCTTATTGTCTCGCTCTGAAGTGCCAAGATGCCTTTTTCAGTCCAGAGAACTGAAAGCTGGAGAAAACAGGCTTTGGGACCCGGCCTCAGCCTCTTAGGCTTACGTTCAAATGTCCCCACGTCTCTTCTCTAGAACTGGGACCTGGGCTGGGGGTCCCCAGTGATCAGGAGGGTTCTTTCCACCTCAGGTTCCCAACTTCCCTCTCTGGGCCAAGTGATGGCACCTGGCTGCCTCTCTTCTCGGTTTCTACCTTGTAGGTTTGGGCTGCCTTTTCTCTTTCTCTCTCTCGTGGGTCTCGTTGTGGAGTGGGTGTCTTTGGATAGAAGGAGTGAGGAACTGGGGGAGGAAGGCCTGGGGGATCCCCTGGCGGGGCTACTTCCTGGGCCCGGGATGGACACCTGGGAGCTGCTGCGGTTGTTGGGGTCCTGGCAGGGGTGTGGTGTGGCCCTCACCACTCTGCTCACCTGCTCCTTCCTCACAGTGCCTGGAGAAGTTCCCTGTGATCCAGCACTTCAAGTTCGGGAGCCTGCTGCCCATCCATCCTGTCACGTCGGGCTAGGAGGGGCCAAGCCGAAGAGCCACCCAGGCCACAGTTCCTGTGCCTGCCTTCCCCACCCCAGCAGTGGCCCCTCCCCATCCCCTCCCTCTGTTCGTCCCGTTTGATGAGAGGCTGTTTACTGGGGTGGGGTGGCGAGATGGGCTTGAGGGGGCTCAGAGCATAAGGCTTCAGGGCCCAAGTTGGGAGAAGTGACCAAAGTGTAGCCAGTTTTCTGAGTTCCCGTGTGCTAGACTGGCCAGAAGAGAGGGTCTGGGGCCTGGTCACTCGGCCACTCTCTCCTGTTTCTGGCCTCTTCTCCCTTCACTCCCGTCCAGTCTGGTTTTGAGAGCAGGGGCTGTTCTGCAGCACCGCAGGGAAGGGAGGAGAGATACCTGCTGCTTCCATTGCTTTTCCCTTCCTGGAGTCGATGCCTTTCTAAGGGTTGGAGCTGCTCCTTGCAGGGGCGGGTCAGTTTCCCAGGCCATGCCGGGGTGGCCATCTATGGTAGGGCTGGAAGCTGAGGCTGGCCGCCAGCTGTGGGCTGGGGTGGGGTGGGTGGGGTCGGGTGGTGGAGAGGCCTTAGCTGTCCTGGCTGGTGCCCCTCCCAGGCTCCTTTTCACCCTGCCCCCTGGGCCTGAGGCCCCCTGTGTCCAAGCCTCCCCCTGGCTCTTCAGTTCTCTAGCCCTTGGCTCTGCTGGGTTTCCTGACTGTAGCCACATCTCTCCCGCTCCCTAAGGGTAACCTAGCCAATGGAAGCTGCCCTTTGGGTAGGTGCTGGGCTCCTGGGAGGGCCCAGATGATGGGGTGAGGCATGTCTTTCCAGAACTTTCCCTGGCAGGGAGGGGATGGCAGAAACTCAGGGAGGGGCTTGGGGCCCATTGTATCTGGAGAGCCTGGATTCCTCTTGGCAGTCTTAGGCCCGGCCACTTCTGCTACCTTTGCGCTGCTGTGAGCCTCACCCTGGGCCCCTGGGCCCTGCTTCTCTGCTCCCCTGGGTGATGGGTGGGCCCAGAAGGTGGCAGTCCCACACCTTGTCCTCCCACCTCCCTGAACTGTCCATTGCTTTTATAGGGTGAGGTAAGAGACAGCCTCCCAAGCCCAGGCTTTGGCACTCAGAATGGGCCCAGTGGGGGCTGGGCAGGCCCATTGAGGGCCACCGCCGAGGTTTCTCCTAGGGCTGTTCCTGGGCCTGGCTCTTACAGGCTCGTCCCCCAGGCCTGCCCTTCTCCACTGCCCCCTCCTGTGTCTGGGTCCACACACCCTTCAGGAAGGGGGAGCACTGAGAAGCACAGCACAGGGGCTCAGCCTGGGATCCGGTGATGGTCTGGGCAGAGGCTGGGTCAGGAGTCCCAAAGGTCAGTGACAGTTTCTCAGAAGAGGCCCAGCGTCCACCTCTCTCCCAGGGCCAGACAGCCCTTCCTGGCTCCCCCATCCCCCTATGGGCTCCCAGCCCCTTGCACCCTCATTGCTGTTCAGATTAAAGCCTCTGTTTTGCACCTGTCACTTGTGTGAGGTATGTCTTTTCATGTCACATGTTTAACCCATTTCTGCATGACTGACCTCCATCAGGTCCCCTTCTCTCAGGCCACAGTGTCTGAGACGAGCTGTTTCAATTTGGGTTGAGCCTTTCCTGGGTTTAAATCCTAGCTGTCTGCAGTCCCAGCTGCAAGGTTGTAAGTTACTGAAGCCCCTGAGCCCCAGCTTCCTCAATTCACAAAATGGGGACAGTCACAGGGTGACTGCCAGCAGTGGACAGCAGATGTGAAGTCCTCAGCTCAGGGCCTGGCACATAGCATATCCCGGGTGGTCACTGCAGCTGTGCTTGGTGAAGGGGGCCCCTCTGGACTCCCAACTTAGCCCCAAGCTGGCCAGGGAGCCTTTGGATGGGCTTTGACAGTGGAACATGCACCTGTGGTTTGTGAGGGGGTGGCCCTCTATTCTCCCTCCTCTGCCCCTCCTGTCCCTGCTGGGCTGGAGTTGAGGGTCTCTGGGGCTGCTGTGCCCCAGACTTCCTTAAGACACTCTTGCTCAGAGAACAAGGGTCCTTGACCTTTCTCTTGGCCTTAGAGGCCTTGCATGGACTGGAAAGCCTCAGCCCCTCATCACCTTGCGCTGCCTCAGGCACACCCGAGTTCAAACTGAGCAGCTGCTGCTTACTCACCAGGAAGTAGAGGGCCCTCATGGTTGACTTCTCTCTGAGCCTCAGCTTCCTGATCTGAAAAATGGGCATAATGACGTTCCTATCATTGGTCTTGAGGATTCCTTCATTTCACAAATAGTGGCTGCATGTTCCTCATGACTGCAGTGCACCCAGATATGACAGTGTTAGGTAGCCGGTGGATTATGGAGAAAATAACGTCAATTAGAGAAGGCGTTGATGGGGGCAGGGCAGGGGGTTACTTGCTCTAAAAGGTCCTGTGAGCTGAGACCCTGAGGACAAGAAAGAGCCGCTGTGGAGAGCTCAGGCCTGGGCCTGGAGGGCTAGGGTTGGGTATAGGGGCCAGACTTTTAGGCCGGGGCCTTGCGGGCTCTGCTGAGTTTGGACAGTGTTCTATGGGAAGGTGCTGGAAGGTTTTGTTGGGGAGAAGGGGAGATAGGACCATTTGGGAGGTTGTAGTTGTGATTGGGCACAGGGATAGTGGCCTGGGTGAGGGTTCAGAGTGGGATGGTGGGAAGTGGTCCAATTTAGGCTGCATTTGGTGTCGCTAACAGGAAGGGAGTTATGACAGGGAGCCGAGCAGCCAAGAACCCCAATTCTTGGCTTGTGTGGCTTGGTGCCATTTCCTGGGGTGGGGGGCCCTGAGGGAGAGGAATTGCTGTGGGGGCGCGGAACTGCCTGTTAGCTTCTAAGAGGAGGTGCTGAGGATGAGGGCGCTGGGGTGGGCTGAAGAGGATGGAGGTGGCGGGCATGGTGACGAGGCGTAGTGCCAAATGGGTGGAACATGCAGATGAGGGAGAGGAGAGGGCCGGCTTCTGCACAGAGGAGGGTGGAGTGTGGGCAGGGGACCCAAAGCTGCAAATACAAGGAGCATTGGCCCTGGGTGGGCTTTCGTGGGGTGGGGGAGGGGGGAGCAGGGATGAGAACGCAGACCGCACCCTGTGAGGTCTGCTTGTCATGGCACAGGCCCCCACCCTAGGAGGAAGATGTGGAGGGATGGTCTGCTGCTTGAGGTGGATACTGACCAGACATCACTCGCTTCTCTTCTGAGTTTCACTGTGGTGGGAGTGGGGACGGGAGAGTGGGCAGGGTGGTGGCCAAGGGACTGCCTTGAAGGTGGGCTCTGGTCAGACTGGCAAGGGGCTGCCTCCTGCTGCATGCTGGGAAGGTCCAGGAGAGCGGGAGGTTGAAGGGAGCGAGGTCCTGAGAAGGTACCGGTGGCCTTCACGGGGCAGGTGGCTGAGGCAGGATGCTCGTTTCTCCCTGTGGGAGGAAGGCAGACCCTGCGCCGGTTTGGCGGCGGGTTGGGCTGGGTTTATTTTTACAGGGAAATGTAAGGCATGAGGGGCAGTGAGAGCTCCGAGGACGTGGGCGTGGGCTTCTGGGCAGGATGGGAGCCCACTCAGGCCCTGGGAGATGGGCCATGGAGGCACGTGCACCTGTAGCCTGTGCTGTGCTCGGTGGAGGTTGGCCTGCTGCTGGCACCCCAGCGGCTCAACATGTCCGAAAGAAGCCCTCTGAGTGTGGGGCTGGCTGCAGAGCTGAAGGGCGGGTGTCACTTCCCAGCATCCTGGGCCACAGGAGCTCCAGGATGGACAAGCTGAACTCAGCCACTTGTGCTCCTTTTTGGTTCGCCGGGGCAGAGGCCGCTTCATGCTCGTGAGAGGTGAGAGGAAGAAGCCTTCCTGGGAGGAAAATCCTGGGCAGAGGTTGGGGTTGGAAGGAGAGCAAAGCTGAGGGTTTGGTGTGCCCAAGACTTGGGCCTAAGTCAGGTGATATGTTTTTCTTGAATCCCACAAGCATTAAGCATGTGTTATATATGTATGAGGTATTGGAGGAATGTGGAGATGAGAAAAAGGTAAGAATCTGCCTTCAAGAAACTTCCAGCTTACTGGGGAAACAGAGAGATGGAGAACTAGTTGCAAAGGAGGGCGGAAGGTGATGCGGCCGGGTGGACTTTAGGTAAGCTCTGGAATACTCTGTGGAGGAGGTGGCGTGTGGGCATCCTCTCACCTGGGTGATGGGCGCAGACCAAGGACGTGCTCGCGGGGCCATTGTGCACAGAGATGTGGAGGGGTGGCTGGCAGGGGACACAGTTGCAACAGCAGGTCGGGGCTGGCCTGCAGAGGGCTTTAACACCAGCTCGGGATCCAAGACCCCCGCCATGGATGCCCGTAGCACTCCACACGTGGCCTTGACACTTGCCTAGCGGCATTTAATTCTCTACAAAATGCATTGCTTAAGGTTCGTCTTCCCTGCTAGAAGATGAGCCGCAGGAGGCCAGGGACTGTCTGTCTTGCCCACTGCTGTATCCCAGTGCCCAGCAGAGACTGGCACACAGCAGGCACCCGGAAGCAGGAATCAGTGGTTCGGTGGGGAGTTGGTGGGGAGCTGGGGAAGTATGTAACTGGTGCCTCTGTGGTGTGTGTGAGAGATGAGGATTGGGATTTAGGAAACTCATGGGCAGCTGGCTGGATGCTGGTGATGGGACTGTGGATGCTGGTGATGGGACTGGGGCCTTGGCCCAGATAAGGGATGTTGAAGGCCCCAAGCAGCACAGAGAGAGGCCCTGGGCTGGGAAGCGGAGGGTGGAGGTGGGAGCTGGTGCTGAGGAAGAGGGAGGGGTTCTTAATGACCCTAGGCACATGCCTGAGAGGAGGACTCCGGCAAAGGTAGCTCAGCCAGGGGTGCAGAGTTTGAGGAGCTCTGGTAGACATGTTGCATGGGCTGAATGGGAGGCTGGCAGGGCTGCCAGGACCCAACCCCTGGTAGAGTGGGGAATCTGGGGCCAAAGAGATTCCCAGAATCCTCTGCTGTGCCCTGCTTGTTCTCCAGCCTCAGGCCCTTGCCCACACCCTTGCTGTGTCAAGGTCCAGCCACCCTGGCTGCCTCTCTTCCTCACACTCCTGGAGCCGCTGATCAGTTTGGCCCTGTTCGAAGAACCCTTTACCCCACTGGGCAACCCCTGGTGTTTCTTTGGGGCTCAGCTGAGGCTTCGCTCCCTCTGAGAGGCCTCGCCTGGCCCCCTAGATCGGGGCTGGTCTCCTGGGCCTGCTTGCCTGGGTGTCCCCACCCCACCCAGCACTCAGCCACACCCCTGCCGTAGGGACACCGGGGTCTTTGTTGGGGAGGGGCAGCCAGCTGGTTAGAATTTGGGGTGGTAGGGGGCTGTCTGCAGACACAGCTTCTCTTTACTTGGGGTTCCTTGGTGGGGGCTGATGGAGATTCACATGAGGCAGGCTAAGGCCCACCACCTTGCACTCAGCACCTAGCTTTGCTGCTCCTGTGAGGCCAGACACCTCATCTGTCCTATTTCCTGCTAGCCCTAGGAAGGTCCTGCAGACACTCGGTACATATCTGTGAAATGGCTGTGACAGTGGCAGGGGCCCTCGTGCAGAGCATGATACAGACACAGGAGGGGGCAGGTCAGCCCTGGAGAATCCGTGGAGAAAGGAAGCTGGTGCCCCGCCTGGGGCAGGTGAGTGGAATGGGCAGGGAGACTGAGTGGCCACTGTTGCCCTGGTGCCAGGCAGCCAGCACCGGAGGTGGGTATGGGGCCTGTGAGAGGGCAGTTCTGAGTGCTGTGGAGCCAAGCAGAGGAGCAGTGGGCTGGAGAGAAAGGAGGGTGAGGTTGGCACAGTGGGGAGGAAGAAGGAGGCAGGTGGGCATGGGGGGCCCCTGGGGTACCTGAGTGCCACTGCAGGCGGAGGGCGGAGGGAGGGAGCTGAGGAGAGGACCAGAGAGGCCCAGGTCAGGGTTGAGCCGGGAGGATGGCTTGCTTTCATTCACTCAGCAAACACTGTCAGAGCCCTCTCTGTTCCAGTCTGGGGACAAGTGCTGGGGCGCTGCGGTGAACAAGACAGGCAGCACCGTCCCTCCTGGAGGATTTTCCCTCTTGGACTTATTCCAGCAGAACCTGGGAAACACTCTATATGTTCAGCAGTTGGGGATTGTTAGGGGGCTGGAGGGAGCAGTCATCCTATGGGCTGTCAGATGACGCGATTATCCATTTATTTGTCCAGAAAGATGCGGATAATCTGTTATTCGTGGGGAAGGCAGCTGCAAAGACTGCAGGTGAAGGACAATGCTTTTTTGTAAAAAAGCAGAAATCTGCATTCTTGATCCGTCCGTCTGTCTGTCCATCTACATGAACACAGGCCCAGGTAGTGATGAGCTTATCTCTGGGTGGTGGGGATATGAGGGTTTTTGGAAAATTCTTAATGCTTTTCCTGCTTCCAAAGATAGTTATGAAAATGCCAACATGGCCGGGCATGGTGGCTCGCCTGTAATCCCAGCACTTTGGGAGGCTGAGGCAGGCGGATCACGAGGTCAGGAGATTGAGACCATCCTGGCCAACATGGTGAAACCCCGTCTCTACTAAAATACAAAAAATCAGCCGGGTGTGGTGGCACACGCCTGTAATCCCAGCTACTCGGAAGGCTGAGGCAGGAGAATCGGTTGAATCCGGGAGGGGGAGGTTGCGGTGAGCCGAGATTACACTACGGCACTCCAGTCTGGGCAACAAAGCAAGACTCCGTCTCAAAAAAAAAAAAAAAAAAAAAAAAACCCTAACATTACTGAACCACAAAAGAAAAAGTAGTGGCGGGTCAGTTTTAACCTTGCTTTATGTTTTTCGTATTTGATTTTTAAATCTTTCTACCATATCCACATACTACTTTTGTAATAAGAAAAAAAAAGAAAGGAAACTGAATAAAAAGATCTCCCCGCTAACAAGCGCCGGAGGATGGTGCATCTTGGGCAGAGAGGAGGGGGCTTGTCCTTCTAGTCAGGAGGGAGAGGAAGGAGAGGGGCCTTGCTCACATCTGTTGGGATAAAGGAAGGGGAGGTGAGTTCTTGGTAGGTGCTTTGGCCCAGAGACCCCCTGAGAGGGAGTGGGCAGTCGGGGCTGGGGGATTCAGGGAGTGAGAGGTATTGGGGAAAAGTGTTTGAGAGTCCATGTGAGCTGGACCCAGGGAGAGGAGGCAGCCTAGATCCTGATTCCTCAGGGGGCCTTTGGACTGGGGAGAGTTGTGGCCAGCAGTTCCCTGGCGGGCATCTGCAGCCTTCCTGGTGACCTCTGGGACCCAGCTTCTGTTCTCAGGACCCCAGCACATGTGAGTTGGATCCAGAATTCAGTCCCAAAGTTGAGGTGCTCTTTCTCCTGCCTGGGCCCTGGATGGGGGGTTTGGTGGTTAAGAACCAAGGGACGAACGGTTCAATTTCTCTCAGTGCTTGTGATGCTGCTGGGAGTATTTTCCTGAATCCCAGTGAAGAGGCGAAGCCCCTGATGGGTCCAGCTTCATCCACCATCCTCCCCTGAGCAGGTGACATCAAGGGATACCTGGGACAACACCCAGGAGTAGACGGACCTGTGAGGATGGGGCTCAGAGCTGCGGCGATGAGACGTACTCCACAGTGGCTGGGGCTCTGGGAGGCTTCCTCTCCTGGCAGGGCAGCTGGCTGTATCCCCAGTTCTGGCCCCGAGGCCGGGCCTTTGCTGGCCTGTAGTGAGATCTCCCAGTCTGAGCCTGGACAGATTTCTTGACCCTTGTTATTTACATGAGACAAAGTTGGGGCTTTTCAAAAGGGACACTGCAAAGGCAGGCCGAGTGCAGCACCTCATCTCCAGGTAACTGGACCCAGCCCCGGGCAGGACAGGCAGGTGGGCGGGCTGCGGACGGAACAGCCTGCTCCTGCTCCCCACCTCTGCTTGGTGAGATTGGGCCTGGCCCTTGCTGGGCTGACGGACTGCGCACACCCTCTAGAGCCAGCTCCTGCCCTCTGCAAGGGGTGGGGAGCGTGGTGGCCAAGGTGTGCGTGGGCTCTGGAGTGGCTCTTGCATTTCCCTCTGTGTGACCTTGAGCCATGACTGAACCCCTCTGAGCCTCAGTTTCCTTACGTATAAACAAGGTAAGTAAACATGGCCTTACAGGGTGGATGTACCAGACACCGAACGGACACAGCCCAGGGCTTTGCTGGCACCGTCTCATTGAATCTCCGCAGGCCACCCTGCGAGGTGGGCATGTGGCAACCGAGCCATGGGGGAATTCCTTGGTGGTAAGTGGGTTTCAAACCTGGGCCATCAGGCTCCAGCGTGGACATTTCTTTCTTTCTTTCTTTCTTTTTTTTTTCTTTGAGACAAGAGTCTTGCTGTGTCATCCAGGCTGGAGTGCAGTGGTGCCATCTCTGCTCACTGCAACCCCCAACTCCTGGATTCAAGCGATTCTCCTGCTTTAGCCTCCCAAGTAGCCAAGATTACTGGTGTGCACCACCACACCCGGCTAATTTTGTATTTTTAGTAGAGACGGGGTTTCACCATGTTGGCCAGGCTGGTCTCGAACTCCTAACCTCAGGTGATCCACCCACCTTGGCCTCCCAAAGTGCTGGGATTACAGGCATGAGCCACTGTGCCCAGCTCAGTGTGGACATTTCTACCCACTGAGCCCAATAATGGCTGTGAATCTGTCCCACGAACGTTTACTGAGCACTTGCTCTGCCAGGCTCCAAGGAGACCCCAAGGACCATGGAGGAGGCAGATGCGGTTCCGTCCCTCATGGAGGTTTAAGGAGGACACGGGGCATGTGGGGAGCTGTGGGAATGTCGTGGACAGGGTGGAGAGCCTTCCTTGAAGGCAGGATGAGGGCTCCGGCAGCAAGGCTGGGAGGTGTGCTGGGTGTCTGGAGCTGGGGCGGTCGTTCCCTTGCTGGCTACTGGCCCCAGGCCTGGCTTCTGCCCGGACTGTGGTGGCCTGGCCATTCCTTCAGGAGTGGCTCCTGCCCTACTCCATGCAAATTCCTGGTCCCCATGTCTCAGTTGCCACTGCTGCTCCAGGCCCCAGCAGCTGTCTGCCCCCTGATGTCTGGGGGTTCCCGCAGCGAGCCTGGAGCTTGTGGCTCCTGCATGCGGCCTATGTGTCTGGCCCTGAGCTAAGTGCTTCGAAGCTTCTCTTGCCTCATCCTCACAATGGGCGCTGATGTCCTCATTTCACAGAAGGGTCTGGGGTCTCTTTCCCGCCAAAGCTCGTGCTCCTGCAGCCTCTCCACGGGGCCTGACCTGAGGGCTCGGGTGGCATGGGCTGCCGTGTGCTGCCTGTCCCCACTGTGGTGGCCTGAGAGCCCTCCTCCACTCCACTTCACTCTACCCCCTCCCCCTCCTCCTCCTCTTCCTCCTGCTCCTGCACCCATCTCTCCAGGACTGGCCCCAGACCCTGGGCTTCTCTGAGAGGCACCTCTTCCAAGGGCCCAGTTTCTTTTTGGAGGCAGGGCCGATTTGCACAAAGATGACGAAGACGCATGACAGCAATGACTCTCTGGCTGGTAGCGTGCCTCTTGGTGTGTGCAGATTGTGCTTTATGTGTCACCTCGTGGAGTCCCCACAGTGAGCCGAGAAGGTGGCATCACATTCCCAGTCAAGGGCTTTTGGTGGTGGGGCTCAGATCTTAGTGGCGTCCCAGGGCCTCCAGCTTGTCCAAGTGGGTTCAGGGTGGTGCCCAGGTTTGTCTGACACCAGGTCCTACAAAGGCCAGCATGGTGGGGTACCCGGAGCTGGGCAAGGGAAAGATTGGCTATGGCCACGTGGCTCCTTGTTCTCCCCAAGGCAGTCTGTCTCTGCGGACAGCCATCAGGCCCCAAATCCAGGCGTCATCCTTTTTATTTTTTGAGACAGGATCTTGCTCTGTCACCCAGGCTGGAGTGCAGTGGCTCGATTTCAGCTCACTGCAAACTTTGCCTCCCAGGTTCAAGTGATTCTCCTGGCTCAGCCTCCCTAGTAGCTAGGATTATAGGCCTGCACCACCACGCCTGGCTAATTTTGTATTTTTAGTAGAGACCGGGTTTCACCATGTTGGCCAGGCTGGTCTCCAACTCCTGGCCTCAAGTGATCCACCTGCCTCAGCATCCCAAAGTCCTGAGATTATAGGAGTGAGTCACCGTGCCTGGCCCAGGTGTTATCTTTTTTATTTTTATTTTTTGAGACAGAGTCTTGCTCTGTCGTCCAGGCTGGTGCAGTGGCACAATCATAGCTCACTGCAGCCTTGGCCTCGTTTACCCTCTATTGCTTGAGAGTTTACTCTCCTGGGTCCACACCTGGGACTACAGGTGTGCACCATTATGCCCAGCTAAATTTAAGAAACTTTTTTTCTGTAGAGACAGGGTTTCCCTATGTTGCCCAGGCTGGTCTCAAACTCCTGAGCACAAGTGATCCTCGTGCCTCGGCCTCTCAAAGTGCTGGGATTATTACAGGTATGAGCTACCATACCTGGTGCAGGTGTTATCCTGAATTCCTTTCTTTTCCTCTACCTCTCAAATCCAACCCATGAGCAGGTCCTATTGGGTCTCCCTCCAAATTGTAACCCAAATCTGCCCGCAGCCAGGGAGCACGGTCAGCTCTCCCAGGAGCGCTGGCCAGCAGCATCTCCTCTCTGCTCTCCTGACTCCACTCTGCCACTGTCCCTGGGCTCTACCCTGAGGTGCTTAAAGGTGATTCTACCCTGAGGTGCTTGAAGGTCACTCCCATCAGATCCCTACTTGAAGGGTGGCTCCTGACTGTGCACAGAAGGCCCCACGAGGTGATGAGCCACTGTGCCCCCGCCCCACTCGCCCACTCCCGTACTTCAGTCATGTTGCCCTCTCTCTGGTCCTCCAGAATGTCTTTTTTTTGTTTGTTTTTGAGACAGAGTCTCGCTCTGTCACCCAGGCTGGAGTGCAGTGGCGCGATCTCGGCTCACTGCAAGCTTCGCCTCCCGGGTTCACACCATTCTCCTGCCTCAGCCTCCCGAGTAGCTGGGACTACAGGCGTCCGCCACCACACCCGGCTAATTTTTTTGTATTTTTAGTAGAGACGGGGTTTCACCGTGTTAGCCAGGATGGTCTCGATCTCCTGACCTTGTGATCTGCCCGCCTTGGCCTCTCAAAGTGCTGGGATTACAGGTGTGAGCCACCATGCCCTGCCTGGTCCTCCAAAATGTCAAACTTGTTGCTGCCCCAGGGCCTTGGCACTTGCTGTTTCCTTGGCTTGCACTGCTTGAGCCCAGGCTGAGCAGAGGCACCCTCTGGTTGTTCAGGGCCCAGTTCAGATGCCACCTCCCGAGAGAGGCGTCCCAGCTTTCTTTTTTTTCTTTTTTTTTTTTGAGATGGAGTCTCGCTCTGTCCCCCAGGCTGGAGTGCAGTGGCGCGATCTCGGCTCACTACAAGCTCCGCCTTCCAGGTTCACACCATTCTCCTGCCTCAGCCTCCCGAGTAGCAGGGACTACAGGCACCCACCACCACGCCCGGTTAATTTTTTGTATTTTTAGTAGAAACGAGGTTTCACTGTGTTAGCCAGGATGGTCTTGATCTCCTGACCTCGTGATCCACCTGCCTCGGCCTCCCAAAGTGCTGGGATTACAGGCATGAGCCATTGTGCCCGGCCACACTCCAGCTTTCTCTGAGTTGCTCCTAACTTGAGCCTCCATCCGCCCTCTGTTCCAGTTGCCTTCATGAGCCCAGTTTCATCTCAAGTTTTATTATCTATGAACTTGTTCACTTGGTGATCATCTCCCTCTCAGTGGATGGTAAGCCCAGTGAGGGAGGGCACAGGCTTACTGTGGCCAACACTGGGCCCCCAGCACCAGGAGTAGGGGCTGGCCCAGACTACGTGGATGCCCAGTTACTACCTGCTGAACCATGAATGAATGAATGAATGAATGAATAAAAAAGTAAGTCCTCTGTCCCTGGTGTTATCCTAGAAGAAGCTGAACAACAGGTGCTGACCAGGGCCTTGGCTGCAAAGTTGCTCTCCCCTTACTCCAATGCAGGAGCTCTGGGGGTCCCGTGGAGGGCCCTGCGGGCAGGACAGCTTCCCAGTGTCCCAAACTCTGAGGGTTTGTGCTTCTGCAGCTCACTCCCAAGTTTGGGCAGCACCCTTGATGGAAACGGGCAGACTGCATGGACTTGGCCTCAGGCAGGTGAAGTCCGTGGGACATTCCCAAGGTTGGAGAGGCAGAGCAGCAAGGGAGAGGCTAAGTGGGAGTCACGCTGCTTTTGATAAACTAGTGATGCCAGCCGGGTGTGGTGGCTTACACCTGTAATGCCAGCACTTTGGAAGGACAAGGGGGTCCGATCACCTGAGGTCAATAGTTCGAGACCAGCCTGGCCAACATGGTGAAACCTTGTCTCTACTAAAAATACAAAAAATTAGCTGGGTGTGTTAGTGGGCACGTGTAATTCCAGCTACTTGGGAGGCTGAGGTGAGAGAATCACTTGAACCCAGGAGGCGGAGGTTGCAGTGAGCCGAGATCATGCCACTGCACTCCAGCCTGGGCAACAGAGGGAGACTCTGTCTCAAACAAACAAAACAACAAGAACAACAACAACAAAAAAACTAGTGATACCACCTGCCTTGGCAGGATAAAGGTCCCAGTGCTTGTCTTGGCACCCAAGGAGCAGTCGAGCCCCCTTTGCTGGCCTCCTTGCCTTCCTCTGGAACCTCTGCTTCAGTGACAGAGCCAGGGCTCATTCACAGCTATGTTCTCAGTGCCTGCCTGACCCACAGAAGTGTTTTGTTGTTTTTTTTTTTGAGACGGAGTCTGGCTCTGTCACCCAGGCTGGAGTGCAGTGGTGCAGTCTTGGCTCACTGAAGCCTCCACCTTCTGGGTTCAAGCGATCCTCCCACCCTAGCCTCCCAAGTAGCTGGGATTACAGGCACGCACCACCATGCCCAGTTAATTTTTATATTTTTAGTAGAGACAAGGTTTCACCATGTTGGCCAGGCTGGTCTCGAACTCCTGACCTCAGATGATCTGCCTGCCTTGGCCTCTCAAAGTGCTGGGATTACAAGCACAGTGAGCCACTGTGCCCGACCAGAAGTGGGTTCCTTCCATGCGCCATTCCCTCCAGGTGCTGGGGACAGAGGGGTGAACTGGTGAATTTCCTGCCCTTGTAAAATTTGCGTCTAGTGAGGACGATAGACAAATAAATATACAGCAAAATACTGGGCAGCGATAAAGTCTATGAAACAAGGGTAATTGTGATAGAGAAATATTATTTTGAAGGGGGTAGTGAGGGTGGCACTTGAACAGAGACCTCAGTTCGTGACAGAGATTACCCTGAAAGGAGCTGAGAGAGCATTCCCGGCAGAGGGAACAGCAAGTACCAAGGCCCTGAGGTGGGAACAGCTTTGACACTTGGGGAACAGCAAGGAGGAGGCTACAGGGCATTGAGTGATGGGGAGGGGTGGGGATGAGTGGAGAGGCAGCGGGCTGGCTCAGCAGGGCCTTGCAGAGGCCATAGTAAGGACTCTGTTTGCCTTGCTTGCCCTTCCTGTTTTCTCTCCCTTTCTCCCTCCTTTTCTCCCTCCCTCGCTTCCTTCCTTTCTTCCCCCTCCCTCTCCCCTCCCCTTCTCTCCCCTTCTCTTCTTTCCTTTCCTTCCTTCCTTTTCTACCTTCCCACTTGCCCTCCCTCCTTCTCTCTCTCTCTCTCTTTTTTTTTTTTTTGAGACAGGGTCTCACTCTGTCGCCCAGGCTGGAGTGCAGTGGTGCAATCATGGCTTACTGCAACCTTGACCTCCCAGGTCCAAGTGATCCTCCCACCTCAGCCTCCTGAGCAGCTGGGACTACAGGCATGCGCCACCACACCCAGCTAGGCTTTTATTTTTGGTAGAGACAGGGTCTCCTTATGTTGCCCAGGCTGGTCTCAAACTCCTGGGATCAAGTGATCCTCCCGCCTTTGCCTCCCAAAGTGCTGGGATGACAGGCATGAGCCGCTGCGCCCGGCCTGTGTTTTGTTCTGAGTGGAGTGGGGGCAGTGGTGTGCTCACACTGGCTTGCGAGAGCTGACTGTGCACATTCCTCTCCCTCTCCATGTTCAGCGATGTCACATGGTAGCTAGGAATTGGCCAAAATGGGAGTGTTTACACCACAGGAATTGGCAAATTCTTCAAGTGAGCTCCACCCACCAGCTGGTTTTAAACATTTACACTACTGGGAAGGTTTGAGATGGGGAGAGCTATGATTCGACTTCAACATGTTCGCATGTACGGGAGTGGAGAGGAGGAGAACGGCCAGTAGGAGGGCAAGCGCGAACACAGGAAGACCAGGGAGATCTGCAGGGAGGTTAGTGCACTAGTCCAGGAGGGAGGTGGTGTGGCTGGGCTGGGAGAGCAACAGCAATGGTACTAAGGTAGATTGTGAAGCTCTTCTTTTTTTTTTTTTTTTTTTGAGACGGAGTGTCTGTCACCAGGCTGGAGTGCAATGGCGCGATCTCGGCTCACTGCAGCCTCTGCCTCCTGGATTCAAGTGATTCTCCTGCCTCAGCCTCCCGAGGAGCTGAGATTACAGACATGCGCAACCACGCCTGGCTAATTTTTGTATTTATTAGTAGTGATGGGGGTTTCACCATGTTGGCCAGGCTGGTCATGAACTCCTGACC